>NW_012132918.1:0-320750 GCF_000001405.40 Homo sapiens | reverse complement strand
TACATGACAAAGCAGATTCTCAGAAAGCTTCTGTCTGGTTATCATTTGAAGATATTTCCTCTTTCACCTTAGGACTGAATGCACTCTGAAATATCCCTTCACAGATTCTACAAAAACAGTGTTTCCAAACTCCTGGATCAAAAGAAAGGTTAAACTCTGTGAGACGAATGCACATATCACAAAGTAGTTTCTCAGAAAGCTTCTTTCTACTTTTTACTTAAGATATTTTCTTTTTCACCATAGGTCTCAGTCTGCCCCCAAATACACTTTGGAGATGCTACAAAAACAGTGTTTCAAAACTGCTGAATGAATAGAAATGTTTAACTGTGTGAGATGAATGCACACATCACAAAGTGGTTTCTCAAATAGCTTCCTTATAGTGTTTATCCTGGGATATTCACTTTTTCTCCACTGGCCTCAATGAGCTCCCAAATGCCCATGCACAGAAGGGACAAAAACAGTGTTTCCAAGTGATTGAATCAAAAGAAAGGTTTAGCTCTGTGAGATGAATGCACACATGACAAAACAGTTTGCCAGAAAGCTTCTTTCTAGTTTTTATCTGAAGATATTTTCTTTTTCACCATAGGCGTCAATGCACTCTGAAATATCCCTTATCAGATTCTTAAAAAAACAGTGTTTCCAAACTTCTGAATGAGAAGAAAGGATTAACTCTGTGAGAGGAATGCACACATCACAAAGCATTTTCTCAGGTAGCTTCCTTCTAGTGTTTCTCCTGGGATATTCAATTTCTCACCATTGGCCTCAATGAGCTCCCAAATGTCCATTCACAGAATGGACAAAAACAGTGTTTCCAAACTGCTGAATCAAAAGAAAAGTTTAACTCTCTGAGATGGATGCACACATCACAAAGGAGTTTCCCAGAAAGATTCTTTGTAGTTTTTATATGAAGATATTTACATTTTCACCATAGGCCCCAATGGGCTCCCAAATATCCCTTTGTAGATACTACAAAAACAGTGTTTTCAAACTGCTGAATGAAAAGAATGGTTTAACTCTGTGAGATGAATGCACACATCACAAAGCAGTTTCTCAGATAGTTTCCTTGTAGTTTTTAACCTGGGATATTTGCTTTTTCTCCACTGCCCTCAATAAGCTCCCAAATGTCCTTTCACAGAATGGTCAAAAACACTGTTTCAAAACTGTTGATTTAAAAGAAAGGTTTAACTCTGTGAGATGATAGCCCATAGCACAAAGCAGTTTCTCACAGTTCTTCTGTCTAGTTTTTGTTTGAAGATAATTCTTTTATCATCATAGGCTCCAATTCGCTCTGAAATATCCCTTCCCAGATCCTACAAAAGCAGTGCTTCCAAACGTCTGAATGAAAAGAATTGTTTAACTCTGATAGATGAATGCACACATCTCAAAGCGTTTTCTCATGTAGCTTCCTTCGAGTTTTTACCCTGGGATATTCCCTTTTTTGCCTTTGGCCTCAATCACGTACAAAATGTCCATTCGCAGAATGGACAAAAAGAGTGTTTCCAAATTGCTGAATCAAAAGAAAGGTTTAACTCTGTGAGGCGAATGCACCTATCACAGAGCAGTTTTTCAGAAAGCTTCTTTCTAGTTTTTTTGTCTTAACATATTTTCTTTTTCACCATAGGTCTCCATGCACTCCCCAATATCCCTTCACAGATTCTACAAAAAAAGTGTTTCCAAACTGCTGAATGTAAGTAGAGGTTTAACTCTGGGAGATGAATGCACATATCACAAAGTGGTATCTCAGATAGCTTCCTTGAAGTCTTCATCTTGGGATATTTGCTTTTTCCACACTGGCCTCAAAGATGTCCCAAATTTCCATTAGTAGAATGGACAAAAGCAGTGTTTCCAAACTGTTGAAACAAAAGAAATGTATAACTCTGTGAGATGAAAGCACATACCACAAAGCAGTTTCTCAGAAACTTTCTGTCTAGGTTTTATTTGAAGATATTTTCTTTTTCACCATATGCCCCAATGTGCTCCAAAATATCCCTTTGCAGATCCTACAAAAACAGTGTTTCCAAACTGCTGGACCAAAGAAAGCTATGAATATGTGAGGTGAATGCACCCATCACAGAGCAGTTTCTCAGAAAGCTTCTTTCTACTTTTTATCTTCAGATTTTTTTCACCATAGGTCTCAATGTGCTCCCAAATATCCCTTCACAGATTCTAAAAAAACAGTGTTTCCAAACTGCTGAATGAATGCAATGGTTTAACTCTGCAAGATGAATGCACACATCACAAAGCAGTTTTTCATATAGCTTCCTTGAAGTTTTTAACCAGTGATATTCACTTTCTCTCCTTTGGCCTCAATGAGCGCCCTAATGTCCATTCACAGAATGGACAAAAACAGACTTTCAAAGCACAGAATGAAAAGAAATGTTTAACTCTGTGAGATGAAAGCACACATCACAAATCAGTTTCTCAGAAAGCTTCTTTCTAGTTTTTATCTGAACATATTTTCTTTTTAACCATAGGCCTCAGTGCACTCCAAAATACCCCTAAACAGATTAAACAAAAACAGAGTTTCCAAACTGCTGAACTTAAAGAAAGGTTTCATTCTGTGAGATGAATGCACACATCACAAAGTGGTTTCTCAGATAGCTTACTTGATGTTTTTATCCTGGGATATTCGCTTTTTCTCCATTGGCCTCAATGAGCTCCAAAATGTCCATTGGCAGAATGGACAAGGCAGTCTTTCCAAACTGCTGAATGAAAAGAAATATTTAACTCTGAGATGAAAGCACACATCACAAAGCAGTTTCTCAGGAATGCTCTTTCTAGTTTTTGTCTAAAGATGGTTTCTTTTTCACCATGGGCCCCAAAGTGCTCCAAAATATCCCTTTGCAGATTCTACAAAAACTGTGTTTCCAAATCACTGAATGAAAAGAAACATCTAACGCTGTGAGATAAATACACACATCTCAAAGCAGTTTCTCATGTAGCTTCCTTCTAGTTGTTACCCTGGGACATTTGTTTTTTTGTCATTGGCCTCAATCAGCTACAAAATGTCCATTCACAGAATAGGCAAAAACAGTGTTTCAAAACTGCTGAATCAAAAGAAATGTTTACCTCTGTGAGATGAATACACTCATCACAGAATGGTTTCTCAGAAAGCTTATTTCTAGTTTTTATCTTAAGATATTTTCTTTTTCACCATAGATCTCCATGCACTCCCAAATATCACTTCCAAGATTGTACAAAAACAGTGTTTCAAAACTGCTGATTGCAAGGAAATGTTTGACTCTGTGAGATGAATGCAAACATCACAAAGTGGTTTCTCAGGTACCTTCCTTGAAGTTTTTATCCTGGGATATTCACTTTTTCTCCATTGGCCTCAATGAGCTCCCAAATGCCCATTGGCAGAATGGACAAAAACAGTGTTTCCAAAGTGTTGAATCCAAAGAAAGGTTTAACTCTGTGAGATGAAAGCACACATCACAAAGCAGTTCTCAGAAAGCTGCTCTCTAGTTTTTATTTGAAGATATTTTCTTTTCCACCATAGGCCTCAATACACTCCAAAATAACCCTTCACAGATCCTACAAAAACAGTGTTTCCAAACTGCTGGATCAAAAGAAAGGTTTAACTCTGTGAGATGAATGCACACATCACAAAGCAGTTTCTCAGAAAGATTCTTTCTAGTTTTTATATGAAGATATTCCCTTTTTCACCCTAGGCCTCAATGGGCATCCAAATATCCCCACACATATTCTGCAAAAACAGTGTTTCCAAACTGCTGGATTAATTAATTAAAGGTTTAATTCTGTGAGGTGAATGCATACATTAGAGAGTGGTTTCTCAGAAATTTTCTCTCTACTTTTTATCTGACGATATTTTCTTTTTAACCATAGTTCTCAACATGCTCCCAAATATCCCTTCAAAGATTCTATGAAAACAGTGTTTCCAAACAGCTGAATGAAAGGATCCATTTAGCTCTGTAAGATGAATGCACACATCACAAAGTGGTTTTTCAGATAGCTTCCTTGTATTTTTTATTCTGCGATATTCCCTTTTTCTCCATTGTCCTAAATGAGCTCCCAAATGTCAATTCACAGAATGGACAAATATAGTGTTACAAAACTGCTGAATAAAAAAAAAAAAGTTTAACTCTGTGAGATGAAAGCACACATCACAATGCAGTTTGTCAGAAAGCTTCCTTCTACTTTTTATCTGAAGTTTTTTTTTCACCTTAGGAATCAATACACTCTGAAATATCCCTTCACAGATTCTACAAAAACAGGGTTTCCAAACTGCTGAATGCAAAGAAAGGTTTAACTGTGCAAGATGAATACACACATCACAAAGCAGTTTCTCAGATAGCTTCCATGAAGTTTTTATCCAGTGATATTCACTTTCTCTCCATTGGCCTCAATGAGCTCCCAAAAGTCCAGTCACAGAATGGACAAAAACAGTGTTTCCAAACTGCTTAATCAAAAGAAAATTTTAAGTGTGTGAGTTGAATGCACACATCACAAAGCAGTTTCTCAGAAAGCTTCCTTTTAGTTTTTATATGAAGATATTTACTTTTTCACCATAGGCCTCAATGGGCTCCCAAATATCACTACACGGATTCTACAAGAACAGTGTTTGCAAACTGCAGTGTTTGCAAACTGCAGAATCAAAAGAAAGGTTTAACTCTGTGAGATGAATGCACACATCAAAAAGCCATTTCTCAGATATCTTTCTTGAAGTTTTTATCATGGGATATTTGTTTTTTCTCCTTTGGCCTCAATGAGCTCTCAAATGTCCATTCCAAGAATGGGCCAAAACAATCTTTCAAAAAGGTTGAATGAAAAGAAATGTTTAACTCTGTGAGATGAAAGCATACATCACAAAGCAGTATCTCAGAAAGCTTCCTGCTAGTTTCTATCTGAAGATATTTTCTTTTTCACCATAGACCCCAATGTGCTCCAAAATATCCCTTCACAGATTCTACAAAAGCAATGTTTTTATACTGCTGAGTGAAAAGAAATGTTTAACTCTGAGAGTTTAATGCACACATCTCTAAGTGGTTTCTCATGTAGCTTCCTTCTAGTGTTTACCCGGGGATATTCCCCTTTTTTGCCTTTGGCCTCAATCAGCTACGAAATGTCCATTTGCAGAATGGACAAAAACGGGGTTTCCAAACTGCTGAATGAAAAGAAAGGTTTACCTCTGTGAGGTGAATGCACCCATTACTGAGCAGTTTCTCAGAAAGCTTCTTTCTAGTTTTTATCTTAAGATATTTTCTTTTTCACTGTAGGTCTCCATGCACTCCCAAATATCCCTTCGCAGATTCTACAAAAACAGGGTTTCCAAACTGCTGAGTGTAAGGAAAGGTTTAACTCTGGGAGATGAATGCACACATCACAAAGCAGTTTCTCAGATGGCTTCCTTGTAGTTTGTATCCTGGGATATTTGCTTTTTCTCCTTTGGCCTCAATGATCTCCCAAATGTTCATTGGCAGAATGGACAAAAGCAGTGTTCCCAAACTTTTGAATCAAAATAAACGTTTAACTCTCTGAGATGGAAGCACGCATCACAAAGCAGTTTCTCATAAAACTTCTTTCTAGTTTTTATCTGAAGATATTCACTTTTTTACCATAGGCCTCAATGGGTTCCCAAATATCCCTTCACAGATTCTACAAAAACAGTGTTTCCAAACTGCTGCATCAATAGAAAAGTTTAACTCTGTGAGGTGAATCCCCATCCCCGAGTAGTTTCTCAGAAAGCTTCTTACTAATTTTTATCTTAGGATATTTACTTTTTCAACTTAGGTCTCAATGTGCTCCCAAATATCCCTTTGCAGATTCTACAAAAAAAAAGCATTTCCAAACTGATGAATGAAAAGAAAGGTTCAACTCTGTGAGGTGAATGCACACATCACAAAGTGGTTTCTCAGATAGCTTCCTTGTGGTTTTTATTCTGTGATATTTTCTTTTTCTCCATTGGCCTCAATGAGCTCCTAAAAGTCCAGTCACAGAATTGGAGAAAAACAGTTTTTCCAAACTGCAGAATGAAAAGAAAAATTTAACTCTGTGAGATGAATGCACACATGACAAAGCAGTTTCTCAGAAAGCTTCTTTTTAGTTTTTATATGAAGATATTTACTCTTTCACCATAGGCCTCAAAGGGCTCTGAAATATCACTTCGCAGATTCTACAAAACTGTGTTTCCAAACTGCTGGATCAAAAGAAAGGTTTAAATCTGTGAGGTGAATGCACCCATCACAGAGCAGTTTGTCAGAAAGCTTCTTTGTAGTTTTTATTTGAAGATATTTTCTTTTTCACCATAGGCCTGAATGCACTCCAAAATATCCCTTAACAGATTCTACAAAACAGTGTTTCCAAACTGCTGAATGAAAGGAAACTTTTAACTCTGTGAGATGAATGCACACATCACAAAGCAGTTTCTCAGATACCTTCCTTCTAGTGTTTATCCTGGGATATTAGCTTTTTTGCCATTGGCCTCAATCAGCTACCAAATGTCCATTCACAGAATGGACAAAAATGATGTTTCCAAACTGCTGAATCTAAAGAAAGGTTTAACTCTGTGAGGTGAATGCACACATCACAAACCGGTTTCTCAGATAGTTTCCTTCAAGTTTTTATCCTGGGATATTTCCTTTTTCTCTGTTGACCTCAATGAGCTCCAAAATATCCGCTTGCAGAATGGACAAAAACAGTGTTTCAAAACTGTTAAATCAAAAGAAATGATTAATTCTTTGAGATGAAATCACACATCATGAAGCAGTTTCTCAGAAAGCTTTTCTTTAGTTTTTATTTGAAGATACTTTCTTCTTCACCATGGGCCTAAATATGCTCCAAAATATCCCTTTGCAGATTCTACAAAAACAGTGTTTCCAAACTGTTGAATCAAAAGAAAGGGTTAACTCTTTGAGATGAATGCACACATCACAAGGTGGTTGCTGTGTTTATCCTGGGATATTAGATTTTTTGCCAGTGGCCTCAATCAACTACTAAATATCCATTCACATAATGGACATAAACAGTGTTTCTAAACTCCTGAATTGAAAGAAACTTTTAACTCTGTGAGGTGAATGCACCCATCACAGACCAGTTTCTCAGAAAGCTTCCTTCTACTTTTCATCTTTTTTTTTTGAGATGGTGTCTCACTCTGTCCCCCAGGCTAGAGTGCAGTGGTGAAATCTCAGCTCACTGCAATCTCTGCCTCCCAGGTTCATGCCATTCTCCTGCTTCAGCCTCCCAAGTAGCTCAGATTACAGGCACCAGCCACCACGCCCAGCTAATTTTTTTGTATTTTTAGTAGAGACGGGGTTTCACCATGTTAGCCAGGATAGTCTCTATCTCCTGAACTCGTGATCTGCCTGCCTTGGCCTCCCAAAGTGCTGGGATTACAGGCTTGAGACACCACACCCCGACCTACTTTTTATCTTAAGATATTTTCTTTTTCACCACAGGTCTCAATGCACTCCCAAATGCCCCTTTGCAAATTCTTCAAAAAACAGTGTTTCCAAACTGCTGAATGAAAGGAAAGGTTTAACTCTGCAAGATGAATGCACACATCAAAAAGCAGTTTCTCAGATAGCTTCCATGGAATTTTTATTCTGGGAAATTCCCTTTTTCTCCATTGACCTCAATGAGCTCCCAAATATCTATTCGCAGAATGGACAAAAAGTGTTTCAAAACTGTTGAATCAAAAGAAAGGATTAATTCTGTGGGATGAATGGAGCCCTTTGCAGATTCTAAAAAACAGTGTTTCCAAACTGCTGGATCAAAAGAAAGGTTTAACTCTGTGAGGTCAATGCACCCATCACAGAGCAGTTTCTCAGAAACCTCCTTTCTACTTTTTATCTTAAGATATTTTCTTCTGCAACATAGGTCTCAATAGGCTGCAAAATATCCCTTCACACATTCTGCAAAAACAGTGTTTCCAAACTGCTGAATGAAAAGAAATGTTTCACTCTGTGAGATGAATGCACACATCACAAAGCAGTTTCTCAAGTAGCTTTTTATCCTCAAGTAGTTTTTATCCTGGGATATTCAATTTTTTGCCATTGGCCTCAATCACCTGCAAAATGTCCATTTGCAGAATGGACAAAAACAGTATTTCCAAACTGCTGAATCAAAAGAAAGGTTTAAATCACCAAGATTAATGCACCCATCACAAAGTGGTTTCTCAGATAGCGTTCTTGAAGTTTTTATCCTGTGATATTCACTTTTTCTCCACTTGCCTCTATGTGTTCCCAAATGTCCATTCTCAAAATGGACAAAAACAGTCTTTCTAACTGCTGAATGAAAAGAAATATTTAACTCTGTGAGATAAAGCACACATCACAAAGCAGTTTCTCAGAAATGTTCTGTCTAGTTTTTATCTGAAGATATTTTCCTTTTAAACATAGGCCTCAATGCGCTCTGAAATATTCCTTAACAAATTCTACAAAAACAGTGTTTCCAAATTGCTTAAGGTAAAGAAAGTTTAAATCTGTGAGGTGAATGCTCACATCACAAAGTGGTTTCTCAGATAGATTCCTTGAAGTTTTCATCCTGGGACATTTGCTTTTTCTCCATTGGACTCAATGAGCTCCCAAATATCCATTCACAGAATAAACAAAAACAGTCTTTCCAAACTACTGAATGAAAAGAAATATTTAATTCTGTGAGATGAAAGCAGACATCACAAAGCACTTTCTCAGAAAGGACGTTTCTAGTTTATATCTGAAGATATTTTCTTTTTTACCATGGGCCTTAACATGCTCCAAAATATCCCTTCTCAGATTCTACAAAAACTGTGTTTCCAAATGGCTGAATGATAAGAAAGTATAAACTGTGCAAGATGAATGCACACATCACAAAGTGGTTTTCTCAGATAGCTTTCTTCCAGTATTTATCCTGGGAAATTTGATATTTCACCATTGGCCTCAATGAGCTCCCCAATGTCCATTCACAGAATGGACAAAAACAATGTTTACAAACTGCTGAATAAAAATAACGATTTAACTCTGAGAGATGAAAGCACACATCACAAGGCAGTTTCTCAGAAAGCTTTCTTCTACTTTTTATCTGAAGATATTTTCTTTTTCACCCTTGGCCTCAATGCACTGGGAAATATCCCTTCACAGATCCTAAAAATACAGTGTTGCCAAACTGCCGAATGTAAAGAAAGGTTTATCTCTGTGAGATGAATGCACACATCACAATGCAGTTTCTCAGAAACATTATTTCTAGTTTTTATAAGAAGTTATTTACTTTTTCACTGTAGACCTCAATGGGCTCCCAAATATACATTTGGAGATTCTACAGAAAAAGAGTTTCCAAACTGCTCGACCTCTGTGAGTTGAATGAAACCATCACAGAGAAGTTTCTCAGAAACTTTCTTTCTACTTTTTATCTTCAGATTTTTTTTCACCAAAGATCTCCAAGTGCTCCCAAACATCCCTTTGCAGATTCAACAAAAATGTGCTTCAAAACAACTGAATGAAAAGAAATGTTTAACTCTGTGAGATGAATGCACACATCACAAATTTATTTCTCAGATAACTTCCTTGTAGGTTTTATCCTGGGATATTTTCTTTTCCTCCACTGGCCTCAATGAGCTCCCATATGTCCATTCACACAATGGACAAAAACAGTGTTTCCAAACTGTTCAATCAAAAGAAAGTTTTAACTCTGTGAGATGAAAGCACACATCACAAATCAGTTTCTCAGAAAGTTTCTGTCTAGTTATTATTTGAAGATATTTCCTTTTTCAGCCTAAGTCTCAATGCACTCCAAAATATCCCTTCACAGAATCTACAAAAACAGGGTTACCAAACTGCTGGATCAAAAGTAAGGTTTAACTCTGGGGGATGAATGCATACATCACATAGAAGTTTATCAGAGAGCTTCTTTCTAGTTTTTATATGAAGATATTTACATTTTCACCGTAGGCCTCAAATGGCTCCCAAATATCCCTTCATAGATTCTACAAAAACAGTGTTTCCAAACTGCTGAATGGAAAGAAAGGTTTAACTCTGCTAGATAAAGGCACACATCACAAAGTAGTTTCTCAGTTAGCTTCCTTGTAGTTTTTATCCTGGGATATTTGCTTTTCCTCCATTGGCTTCAATGAGCTCCCAAATGTCCATTCACAGAATGGACAAAAACAGTGTTTCCAAACTGGTGAAACTGAAGAAAATTTTAACCCTGTGAGATGAAAACACACATCACAAAGCAGTTTCTCAGAAAGCTTCTGTCTAGTTATGGTTTGAAGATATTTCTTTTTTCACCATAGGCCTCAATGTGCTCTGAAATATCCCTTTGCAGATTCTACAAAAACAGTGTTTCCAAACTGCAGGATCAAAAGAAAGGTTTAACTCTGTAAGGTGAATGCACACATCATGGAATAGTTTCTCAGAAAGCTTCTTTCTACTTTTTATCTTAAAATATTTTCTTCTACACCATAGGTCTCAACGCACTACAAAATATCCCTTTGCAGATTACTCAAAAGAGTGTTTCCAAACTGCTGAATGTAAGGAAAGGTTTAACTCTGTGAGATGAATGCACATACCACAAACTGATTTCTTAGATAGCTTCCTTGATGTTTTTATCCTAGGATATTCACATTTTCTCCATTGGCCTCAATGAGGTCCAAAATGTCCATTCACAGAATGGACAAAAACAGTGTTTCCAAACTACTGAATGAAAAGAAACGTTTAACTCTGTGAGATGAAACTACACATCACAAAGCAGTTTCTCAGAAAGCTTCTTTCTAGCTTTTATCTCAAGATATTTTCTATTTCACCATAGGCCTCAATGCACTCCCAAATATTCCTTTGCAGAATGGACAAAAACAGTGTTTCAAAACTGTTGAATCAAAAGAAAGTGTTAACTCTGTGAGATAAATGTACACATCACAAAGCAGTTTCTCAGAAAGCTTCTTTCTAGTTTTTATATGAAAATATGTACTTTTTCATCATAGATCTCAATGCAGTCCCAAATATTCCCTCACACGATGGACAAAAGCAGTGTTTCCAAACTATTGAATGAAAAGAAAGTTTCAACACTGTGAGATGAATGGACACATCACAAAGCAGTTTCTCACATAGCTTCCTTGAAGTTTTTATCCCAAGATATTCACTTTTGCTCCATTGGCCTCAATGATCACCAAAATAGCCATTGGCAGAATGGACAAGGACAGTGTTTACAAACATTTGAAATAAAAGAAGGTTTTAACACTGTGAGATGAAAGAACATATCAAAAAGCAGTTTCTCAGAAAGCTTCTGTCTAGTTATTATTTGAAGATATTTCCTTTTTCAACATAGACCTCAATGCTTTCCGAAATCTCCTTTTGCAGATTCTACAAAAACAGTTTTCCAAACTGCTGAATGAAAATAAAGGTTTAACTCTGTGAGATGAATGCACACATTGCAAAGCAGTTTCTCAGAAAGCCTTATTCTAGTTTTTATATGAAGATATTTACTTTTTCACCATAGGACTCAATGGGCTCCAACATACGCCCTCTCAAGGTCTACAAAAACAGGTTTTCCAAACTGCTGAATGGAAAGAATGGTTTAACTCTGCAAGATGAATGCACACATCACAAATCAGTTTCTCAGATACCTTACTTGTAGTTTTTATCTTGGGATATTCACTTGTCCTCCATTGGCCTCAATGAGCTCCCAAATGTCCATTCACAGAATGGACGAAAACAGTGTTTCCAAACAAAAAAAGTTTTCACTCTGTGAGATGAAAGCACACATCACAAAGAAGTTTCTTAGAAAGCTTCTTGGTAGTTATTATTTGAAGATATTTCCTTTTTCACCATAGGCCTCAATGTGCTCTGAAATATCCCTTTGCAGATTCTACAAAAACAGTTTTTCCAAACTGCAGGATCAAAAGAAAGGTTTAACTCTGTGAGATGAATGCACCCATCACAGAATTGTTTCTCAGAAAGCTTATTTCTACTTTTTATTTTAAGATATTCTCTTCTACACCATAGGTCACAATGCACTCCCAAATATCCCTTCACAGATTCTACAAAAACAGTGTTTCCAAAGTGTTCAATGAAAAAGAAAGGTTTAGCTCTGTGAGATGAATGCACACCTCTCAAAACAGTTTCTCAGAAAGCTTCTTTCTAGTTTTATTTGAAGACTTTTTTTTCACCACAGGCCTTAATGGGCTCCCAAATATCCCTTCGCAGAATGGAGAAAAAATGTTTCCAAGCTACTGGATCAAAAGAAAGATTTAACTCTGAGAGGTGAATACATCAATCACAGAGCAGTTTCTCAAAAAGCTTCTTTCTACTTTTTATCTTAAGATATTTTCTTCTACACCATGGGTCTCAAAGCACTCCCAAATATTCCTTCACAGATTCTACAAAAACAGTGTTTCCAAAGTGTTGAATGAAAAAGAAAAGTTTAACTCTGAGAGATGAATGCACACATCTCAAAGCAGTTTCTCAGAAAGCTTCTTTCTAGTTTTTATTTGAAGATATTTTCTTTTTCACCACATGCCTCAATAAACTCCCAAATATCCCTTTGCAGAATGGAGAAAAACAGTGTTTCAAAGCTGTTGAATAAAAAGAAAGGATTAACTCTGTGAGACGAATGCACAAATCATGAAGCAGTTTCTCAGAAAGCTTCTGTCTAGTTTTTATTTGAAGATATTTTCTTTTTCACCATAGACCTCAAAGTGCTCCCAAATATCCCTTCACAGAATGAACAAAAACAGTGTTACAAAACTCTTGAAACAAAAAAAGAATTAACTCTGTGAGATGAATGCACACATCACAAAGCAGTTTGTCATAGAGCTTCCTTCAAGATTTTATATGAAGACATTTACTTTTTCTTCATAGGACTCAATGGGATCCCTTATGCCCCTTCACAGATTCCGCAAAAACTGTTTCCAAATGGCTATTAGAAAAGAGAGATTTACCACTGTGAGGTGATTGCACACATCACAGAACAGTTTCTCAGAAAGCTTCATACTAGTTTTAAGATATTTTCTTCTACACCATAGGTCTCAATGTGCTCCCAGATATCCCATGGCATAATCTACAAAAACCGTGTTTCCAAACTGCTGAATGAAAAGCAAGATTTAACTCTGGAGATGAATGCACACATCAGAAAGCAGTTTCTCAGCAAGCTTGTTCTAGTTTTTCTCTGAAAATATTTTCTTTTTCACCATAGGCCTCAATAGCTCCCAAATATCCCATTGCAGAATGGACAAAAACAGTGTTTCAAAATTGTTGAAACAAAAGAAAAGAATATCTCTGTGAGATGAATGCACACATCACAAAACAGTTTCTCTGAAAGCTTCTCTCTAGTTTTTATTTGAAGATATTTCCTTTTTCACAGCAGGCCTCAATGCGCTCCAAAATATCCCTTCGCAGATTCTGCAAAATCAGTGTTTCCAAAGTGCTGGATCGAAAGAAAGGTTTACCTCTGTGAGATGAATGCACCCATCACAGAACGGTTTCTCAGAAAGCTTATTTCTAGTTTTTATCTTAAGATATTTTCTTTTTCACCATAGGTCTCCTTGCACTCCCAAATATCACTTCCAAGATTCTACAAAAACAGTGTTTCCAAACAGCTGAATGAAAAGGAAGGTTTAACTCTCAAGATGAATGCATACATCACATAGCGGTTTCTCACCTGGCTTCCTTGACTTTTTTATCCTGGGATATTCACTTTTTTTCCTTGGAGTCAATCATCTCCAAAATGGACATTGGTAGAATGGACAAAAACAATGTTTCCAAACTATTGAAACAAAAGAATCTTTATCTCTGTGAGATGAAAACACACATCACAAAGCAGTTCCTCAGAAAGCTTCTATCTAGTTATGGTTTGAAGATATTTCCTTTTTCACCATAGGCCTCAATGGGCTACCAAATATACCTTCACAGAATGGACAAAAATAGTGTTTCAAAACTGTTGAATCAAAAGAAATGTTTAACTCTGTGAGATGAATGCACAAATCACAAAGCTGTCTCTCAGAAAGCTTCTTTCTGGTTTTTATGTGAAGATATTGACTTTTTCACTGTAGGACTCAAAGGTCTCCCAAATATCCCTTTGCAGATTTTACAAAAAAGGTTTTGCAAACTGCTGAATGAAAAGAAAGGTTTAAATATGCGAGATGAATGCATACATCACAAATCAGTTTCTCAGATTACTTCCATGTAGTTTTTTTCCTGGGATATTCACTTTTCCTCCATTCATCTCAAAGAGCTCCCAAATGTCCATTCACAGATTGGACAAAGCAGTGTTTACAAACCGTTGAAACAAAAGAAATTTTTACTCTGTGTGATGAAAGCAGACATCACAAATCGGTTTACCATAAAGCTTCTGTCTAATTATTATTTGAAGATGTTTACTTTTTCACCGTAGGCCTCAATGCACTCCTAAATATCCCTTCACAGATTCTACAAAAACAGTGTTTCCAAATTGCTGAATGAAAAGAAAATTCTAACCCTGTGAGATGAATTCACACATCACAAGGAAGTTTAACATAAAGCTTCTTTCTAGTTATTATATGAAGATATTTACATTTTCACCATAGGCCTCAAAGGGCTCCCAAATATCCCTTTGCAGATTCTACAAAAACAGTGGTTCTAAACTGCTCCTTCAAAAGAATGGTTCAACTCTGTGAGAGGAATGCACACTTCACAAATTCGTCTCTCACAAAATTTCTATCTAGTTTGTATCGGAAGATATTTCATTTTTCACCACAGGCCTCCATATGAATCCAAATATCCCTTCACAGATTCTACAAACACTGTGTTTCCAAACTGCTCAATGAAAGAATGGTTCAACTCTGTGAGATGAATGCACACATCAAAAAGCAGTTCCTCAGGAACTCTTTTTTTAGTTTGTATTGGAAGATATTTCCTTTTTCACAGTAGGATTCAATGCACTCCCAAATATCCCTTTGCAGATTCTAGAACAACAGAGTTTCCAAACTGCTCAATGAAAAGAAATGCTTAACTCTGTGGGATGAATGCACACATTAGAGATTATTCTCTAAGAAAGCATCTGTCTAATTTGTATCAGAAGATATTTCCTTTTTCACCACTAGCCTTCATGCAAATTCAAATATCCCTTCACAGATTCTACAAACACTCTGCTTCCAAACTGCTCAATCAAAAGAATGGTTCAGCTCTGTGAGATGAATGCACACATCATACAGCCATTTTTCAGAAAGCTCCTTTCTAGTTTTTATGTGAGAATATTTCTTTTTTCACCATAGACCTCAAAGCACTCACAAATATCCCTTTGCAGATTCTAGAAAAACAGTAGTTCCAAACTGCTCAATCAAAAGAATGGTTTAACTCTGTGAGAGGAATGCACACATCACAAAGCAGTTTCTCAGAAAGCTTCCTATGAGTTTTTAGGTGAAGATATTTCCTTTTTCATCATAGGCCTGAAAGCACTCTGAAATATCCCTTTGCAGATTCTACAAAAACAGTGTTTCCAAAATGCTCCATCAAAGGAAAGTTTTAATTCTGTGAAATGAATGCATATATCACAAAGCAGTTTCTCAGAATGCTCCTTTCTAGTTTTTATGTGAGGATATTTCCTTTTTCACCGTAAGACTCAAAGGGCTCCCAAATATCCCTTTGCAGATTCTACTAAAACAGTGGTTCTAAACTGCTCCTTCAAAAGAATGGTTCAACTCTGTGAGAGGGATGCACACTTCACAAATTCGTCTCTCACAAAATTTCTGTCTAGTTTGTATCGGAAGATATTTCATTTTTCACCACAGGCCTCCATGCAAATCCAAATATCCCTTCACAGATTCTACAAACACTGTGTTTCCAAACTGCTCAGTGAAAGAATGGTTCAACTCTGTAAGATGAATGCACACATCACAAAGCAGTTCCTCAGAAACTCTTTCTAGTTTGTATTGGAAGATATTTCCTTTTTCACCATACACCTCAATATGCTCCTAAATATCCTTTTGCAGATTCTGAAAGAACAGAATTTCCAAACTGATCATTGAAAAGAAATGTTTAACTCTGTGGGATGAATACACACATTACAAAGCATTCTCTCAGGAAGCTTCTGTCTAGTTTGTGTCAGAAGATATTTCCTTTTTCACCACAGGCCTCCATGTGACTCCAAATATCCCTTCACAGATTCTAGAAACACTGTGTTTCCAAACTGCTCAACCAAAATAATGGTTCAACTAGGTGAGATGAATGCACACATCACAAAGTGGTTACTCAGTAACACTTTTTCGAGTTTATTGGAAGATATTTCCTTTTTCACTACAGGCCTCTATGCACTCTCAAATATCCCTTTGCAGATTCTACAAGAACAGAGTCTCCAAACTGCTCAATGAAAAGAAAGTTTAACTCTGTGAGATGAGTGCACACATCACAAAGCAGTCTTCCAGAAAGTTTCTGCCTAGTTTGTATCAGAAGATATTTCCTTTTGCCCCCTAGGCCTCAAGGTGAATCCAAATATTCCTCCGCAGATACTTCAAACACTGTGTTTCCAAGCTGCTCAATCAAAAGAATGGTTTAACTCTGTGAGATGAATGCACGTATTACAAAGCAGTTTCTCAGAAAGCTCCTTTCTAGTTTTTATGTGAGGATATTTCCTTTTTCACCATAAGACTCGAGGGCCCCCAAATATCCCCTTGCAGATTCTCCAAAAACAGTGGTTCAAAACTGCTCCATCAAAAGAATGGTTCAACTCTGTAGGATGAGTGCACACATCACAAAGCAGTTTCTCAGAAAGCTTCCATCTTGTTTGTATCAGAAGATATTTCCTTTTGCCCCCTAGGCCTCAAGGTGAATCCAAATATTCCTTCTCAGATACTTTAAACACTGTGTTTCCAAGCTGCTCAATCAAAAGAATGGTTTAACTCTGTGAGATGAATGCACATATTACAAAGCAGTTTCTCAGAAAGCTCCTTTCTAGTTTTTATGTGAGGATATTTCCTTTTTCACCATAAGACTCGAGGGCCCCCAAATATCCCCTTGCAGATTCTCCAAAAACAGTGGTTCAAAACTGCTCCATCAAAAGAATGGTTCAACTCTGTAGGATGAATGCACACATCACAAAGCAGTTTCTCAGAAAGCTTCCATCTTGTTTGTATCAGAAGATATTTCCTTTTTCAACACAGGCCTCAATGCAAATCCAAATAATCCTTTGCAGATTCTACTAACACTGTGTTTCCATACTGCTCAATCAAAAGAATTGTTCAACTATGTGAGATGAATGCACACATCACAAAGCAGTTTCTCAAAAACTCTATTTCTAGTTTGTATCGGAAGATATTTCCTTTTTAACCATAGGCCTCAATGCACTCCCAAATATCCTTTTGCAGATTATAGAACAACAGAGTTTAAAAACTGCTCAATGAAAAGAAACTTTTAATTCTGTGGGATGAATGCACACATTACAAAGCATTCTCTCAGAAAGCTTCTGTCTAGCATGTATTGGAAGATATTTCCTTTTTCAACACAGGCATCCATGTGAAACAAAATATCCCTTCGCAGATTCTACAAACACTGTGTTTCCAAATTGCTCAATCAAAAGAATGGCTCAATTCTGTGAGATTAATGTACACATCATAAAGCAGTTTCTCAGAAACTCTCTTTCTAGTATGTATCAGAAGATAATTCCTTTTTGACCATAGGCCTCAAAGTGCTCCTAAATATCCCTCTGCAGATTCTACAAAAAGACTGTTTCCAAACTGCTCAATGAAAAGAAATGTTTACCTCTGTGAGATGAATACACTCATGACAAACCAGTTTCTCAGAAAGCTTCTGTCTAGTTTTTATGTGAAGATATATACTTTTTCAACATAGGCCACAAAGCATTCACAAATATCCCTTTGCAGATTCTACAAGAACAGAGCTTCCAAACAGCTCAATGAAAAGAAACGTTTACCTCTGTGAGATGAATGCACTCATGATAAACCAGTTTCTCAGAAAGCTTCTTTCTACTTTTTATGTGAACATATTTCCTTTTCACCATAGGCCTCAGTGCACTCCCAAATATCCCTTTGCAGATTCTACAAAAAGACTTTTTACAAACTGCTCAATCAAAATAATGGTTCAACTCTGTGGGATGAATGCATACATCACAAAGCAGTCTCTCAGAAACTCGCCAGTTTGAATCTGAAGATATTTCCTTTTTCTATCTAGGCCTCTATTCTCTCCCAAATATCCCTTTGCAGATTCTAGAAGAACAGCATTTCCAAACTACTCAATGAAAAGAAACGTTTACCTCTGTGAGATGAATGCATGCATCACAAAGCCATTTCTCAGAAAACTTCTTTCTAGTTTTTATGTGAAGATATTTCCTTTTTCAGCATAGGCTTCAACACACTGACAAATATGCCTTTGCAGATTCTAGAAGAACAGAGTTTCCAAACTGCTCAATGAAAACAAATGTTTACCCTTATGACATGAATGCACACATCACAAAGCAGTTTCTCAGAAAGCTTCTCTCTAGTTTTTATGTGAAGATATTTCCTTTTTCACCATAGGCCTCAACGTGCTCCCAAATATCCCTTTGCAGTTTCTATGAAAAGACTGTTTCCAAACTGCTCTATCTCAAGAATGGTTCAACTCTGTGAGATGAATGCACACATCAAAAAGAAGTTTCTCAGAAAGATTCTGTCTAGTTTTTATGTGAAGATATATCCTTTTTCAACACAGGCCTCAAAGCACTCACAAATATCCCTTGGCAGATTCTACAAGAACAGAGTTTCCAAACTGCTCAATGAAAAGAAAGGTTTAGCACTGTGAGATGAATGCACACATGACAAAGCAGTTTCTCAGAAAGCTTCTTTCTACTTTTTATGTGAACATATTTCCTTTTCACCATAGGTCTCAGTGCACTCCCAAATATCCCTTGCAGATTCTACAAAAAGACTTTTTCCAAACTGCTCAATCAAAACAATGGTTTAACTGTGTCAGATGAATGCAAACATCACAAAGCAGTTTCTCAGAAACTCTCTTTCCAGTTTGAATCAGAAGATATTTCCTTTTTCTATCTAGGCCTCTATGCACTCCCAAATATTCCTTTGCAGATTCTAGAAGAACAGACTTTCCAAACTGCTCAATGAAAATAAACGTTTACCTCTGTGAGATGAATGCATGCATCAAAAAGCCATTTCACAGAAAGCTTCTTTCTAGTTTTCATGTGAAGATATTTCCTTTTTCACCATAGGCTTCAATGCACTAACAAATATGCCTTTGCAGATTCTCCAAGAACAGAGTTTCCAAACTGCTCAATGAAAAGGAACGTTTACCCCTGTAACATGAATGCACACATCACAAAGCAGTTTCTCAGAAAGCTTCTCTCTAGTTTTTATGTGAAGATATTTCCTTTTTCACCATAGGCCTCAATGCATTCTTAAATATCCTTTTGCAGTTTCTATGAAAAGACTGTTTCCAAGCTTCTCAATCACAAGAATGGTTCAACACTGTGAGATGACTGCACACATCAAAAAGAAGTTTCTCAGGAAGCTTCTGTCTAGTTTTTACATGAACATATATCCTTTTTCAACATAGGCCTCAAAGCACTCATAAATATCCCTTGGAAGATTCTACAAGAACAGAGTTTCCAAACTGCTCAATGAAAAGAAAGGTTTGCCTGTGTGACATGAATGCACACATGACAAAGAAGTTTCTCAAAACCTTCCTTCTAGTTTTTATGTGAATATATTTCCTTTTCACCACAGGCCTTAGTATTCTCCCAAATACTATTTTGCAGATTCTATTAAAAGACTATTTCCAAACTGCTCAATCACAAGAATGGTTCAACCCTGTCAGATGAATGCATGCAACACAAAGAAGTTTCTCAGAAAACGTCTTTCTAGTTTTTATGTGAATATATTTCCTTTTTCACCATAGGACTCAAAGTGCTCACAAATATCCCTTTGCAGATTCTGGAAGAAAAGAGTTTCCAAACTGCTCAATGAAAAAATCGTTTAGCTCTGTGAGACGAATACACACATCACAAAGCAGTTTCTCAGAAAGCTTCTTTCTAGTTTTTATGTGAAGATATTTCTTTTTACACCATAGTTCTAAAAGCACTCCCAAATATCCCACTTCAGGTTCATATAAAAAGACTGTTTCCAAACTGCTCAATCAAAAGAATAGTTCAACTCTGTGAGATGAAAGCACACATCACAAATAAGTTTCTCAGAAAACTTCTGTCTGGTTTTTACGTGAAGAGATTTCCTTTTTCACCATAGGCCACAAAGTGCTCCAAATATCCATTTGCAGATTCTACAAAAACACTGTTTCCAAACTGCTCAATAGAAAGAAAGGTTCAGCTCTATGAGATGAAGAACACATCACAAAGTAGTTTCTCACAAAGCTTCTGTCTAGTTTTTATGTGAAGATATTTCCTTTTTCATAATAGGCCTCAATGAGCTCCAAATATCCATTTGCAGATACTATAAAAAGACTCTTTCCAAAACTGCTCAGTAGAAAGAAAGGTTCAACTCTGTGAGATGAAAGCACCCATCACAAAGAAGGTTTTCAGAAAGCTTCTGTCTAGTTTTTATGAGAAGATATTTCATATTTCATCATAGGCCTCAAAGGGCTCACTAATATCTCTCTGCAGATTCTACAAAAAGATTGTTTCCAATCTGCTCAATCAACAGTAAGGTTCATCTCTTTCATATGAATGCACACATCACAAAGAAGTTTCTCAGAAACCTTCTGTCTAGTTTTTATGTGAAGATATTTCCTATTTCACCATAGGCCTCAACTGGCTCCCAAATGTCCCTCTGCAGTTTCTACAAAAAGATTGTTTCCAAACTGCTCAATTGAAAGAAAGGTTCAACATTTGAGATGAATGTGCACATCACAAAGAATTTTCTCAGAACGCTTCTGTCTAGTTTTTATGTGAAGATATTTCCTATTTCACCATAGGCCTCAAAGGGCTCTTAAATTTCCCCTTGCAGATTCTACAAAAGGACTGTTTCCAAAGTGCTCAATCAAAAGAAATCTTCAAGTCGGTGGGATGAATCTACACATCTCAAAGCAGTTTCTCAGACTCTTTCTGTCTAGTTTTTAGGTGAAGATATTTCCTATTTCTCCATAGGCCTCAAAGGAGTCACAATATCCCTCTGCAGATTGTACAAAAAGAATACTTCCAAATTGCTTAATAAAAAGACAGTTTCAACACTTTGATATGAATGCGCACATCACAAAGAAGTTTTTCAGAATGCTTCTGTGTAGTTTTTATGTGAATGTATTTACTATTTCTCCATAGGCCTCAAAGGGCTCACAGGTATCCCTCTGCAGGTGGATGAAAAGACTGTTTCCAAACTGCTCAATCAAAAAAAAAAAAGGTTCAACTCTCTGATATGAATGCACACATCACAAAGAAGTTTCTCAAAATGCTTCTGTTTAGTTTTTATGTGAAGATATTTCCTTTTTCACCATAGGCCCCAAAGCACTCCAAATATCCATTTGCAGATTCTACAAAAAGACTGTTCCAAAACTGATGAATGAAAAGAAAGTTTCAACTCTGTGAGATGAATGCACACATTGCAAAGAAGTTTCTCAGAATGCTGCTTCCAGTTTTATGTGAAGATATTTCTTATTTCGCCACAAGCCTCAAAGGGCTCTGAAATAATATCCCTTTGCAGATTCTACAAAAAGATGGTTTCCAAACTGCTCAAAAAGGAAAGCTTCAATTCTGTGAGATGAATGCATATATTACAAAGGAGTTTGTCAAAACCTTCTGTCTAGTTTTTCTGTAAAGATATTTTCTTTTTCACCATGGGCCTCAAAGTGCTCCAAATATCAATTTGCAGACTCTAAAAAAAGACGGTTTGCAAACTGCTCAATCAAAAGAAAAATTCAACTCCGTGAGATGAATGCAGCAATCAAAAAGAAGTTTCTTAGAATGTTTCTGTCTAGTTTTTATGCTAGGATATTTCCTTTTTCACCATAGCTCTCAAACCACTCACAAATATTCCACTGCAGATTCCACAGAAAGACTGTTTCCAAACAGCTCAATCAAAAGAAAGTTCAACTCTGTGAGATGAAAGCACACATCATGATGAAGTTTCTCAGAAAAATTCTGTCTACTTTTTATGTGAGGATATTTCCTTTTTCAAGATAGGCCTTATAGTCCTTTCAAATATCCCTTTGCAGATTCTACAAAAAGACTGTTTCCAAACTTCTCAATCCAGGGAAAGGTTCAAATCTTTGAGTTCAATGCACAGATCACAAAGAAGTTTCTCAAAAAGCTTCTGTCTAGTTTTTATGTGAAGATATTTCCTTTTTCACAAAAGGCCTCAAAGCGCACTAAAATATCATTTGCAGATCCTACAAAAAGACTGTTTCCAAAATGCTCAATCTAAAGAAAGTTTCAACTCTGTGAGATGAAAGCAAACATCACAAAGAAGTTTCTCAGAAAGCTCCTGTCCAGATTTTATGTGAAGATATTTCCTTTTTCACCATAGGCCTCAAAGGGCGCTAAAATATCCCTTTGCAGAGTCCACAAAAAGAATGTTTCCAAACTGCTCAATCAAAAAAAAGGTTCAACTCAATGAGAGGAAAGCATCCATCTCAAAGAAGTTTGTCAGAAAGCTTCTGTCTAGTTTTTATGAGAAGATATTTCCTGTTTCACCGTAGGCCTCAATGGTTTCAAAATATCCCTTTGTGGATTTTACAAAAAGACAGTTTCTAATATGATAAATCAAAAGAAAGTTTCAACTCTGTGAGATGAATGCAAACATCACAAAGAAGTTTCTCAAAAGTCTTCTGTCCAGTTTTTATGTTTAGATATTTCCTTTTTCACCATATGCCTCAAACCACTCACAAATATCCCTATGCAGTATCTACAAAAATCTTATGCAGTATCTACAAAAATACCCCTATGCAGTATCTACTCTTTCCAAACTGCTCAATCAAAAGAAAGCTTCAACTCTGTAAGATGAATGCACACATCACAAAGAAGTTTCTCAGAAAACTTCTGTGGAGTTTTTTGTGCAGATATTTCCTTTTACAACATAGGCCTCAAAGCACTCCAAATATCCATTTGCAGATTCTACAAAAAGACGGTTTCCAAACTGCTCAATGAAAGGAAAGGTTCAACTCTGTGAGATGAATGCACACATCACAAAGAGGTTTCTCAGAATGCTTCTGTCTGGTTTTCATGTGAAGATATTTCCTTTTCCATCATAAGTCTCATATGGCTCCAAAATATCCCTTTGCAGATTCTACAAAAGATCTATTTCCAAACTGCTCAATCAAAAGAAAGCTTCAACTCTGTGAGATGAATGCGCACATCACAGAGAAGTTTCTCGAAAAGCTTCTGTCTAGTTTATATGTGAAGATATTTTCTTTATCCCCATCTACCTCAAAGCACTTGAAATATCAAATTTCAGACTCTACCAAAAACTGTTTGCATACTGCTCAATCAAAAGGAAGATTCAACTCTGAGACATGAATGAACACATCACAAAGAAGTTTCTCAGAATGATTGTGTCTAGTTTTTATGTGAAGATATTTCCTATTTCACCATTGGCCTCAATGGGATCACAAGTATCCCTTGGCAGATTCTACAAAAAGACTATTTCCAAAGTACTCAATCAAAAGAAAACTTCAACTGTGTGAGATGAATGCACACATCACAAAGAAGTTTCTCAGAATGATTGTGTCTAGTTTTTATGTGAAGATATTTCCTTTTACCCCATAGGCCTCAAAGCACACCAAATATCCATTTGTGGATTCTATGAAGACTGTTTCAAAACTGCTCTATCAAAAGAATTGTTCAACACTCTCAGGTGAATGCACACATCACAAAGAAGTTTCTCAGAATGCTTCTGTGTAGTTTTTGTGTGAAGATATTTCCTTTTTCCCCATAGGCCTCTAGGAAGATATTTCCTGTTTCTCCATAGGAGTCTGAAAGTGCACCAAATATCCATTTGTAGATGCTATGAAAAGACTGTTTCCAAACTGCTTTATCAAAAGAATTGTTCAACACTCTCAGATGAATGCACACATCACAAAGAAGTTTCTCAGAATGCTTCTGTCTAGTTTTTATGTGAAGATATTTATTTTTCACCATGTGCCCCAAAACACTCAGAAATATCCCTTTTCAAATTGTACAAAAAGACTTTGCAAACTACTCAGTGTAAAGAAAGGTTCAGCTCTGTGAAATGAATACAAACATCAGAAAAAAGATTCACAGAAAGCTTCTGTGTAGTTTTTATGTGAAGATATTTCCTTTTTTACCATAGACCTCAAACAACTCATAAATATCCCTATGCAGAATCTACCAAAATACTGTTCCAAACTGCTCAATCAAAAGAAAGCTTTAATCTTGTGAGATTAATGCATGCATCACAAAGAAGTTTCTCAGAATGCTTCTGTCTAGTTTTTATGTGAAGATATTTCCTGTTTCACCATAGACATCAAAGGGCTCACAAATATCCCCCTGCAGATTCTACAAAAAGACTGTTTCCAAACTGCTCAATCGACAGAAATGTTCAAGTCTGTTAGATGAATGTATACATCACAAAGAAGTTTCTCAGAATCCCTCTGTCTAGTTTTTATGTGAAGTTATTTCCTATTTCTCCATAGGTCTCAAATGGCTCACAAATATCCCTCTGCAGATTCTACAAAAAGAATGTTTCTGAACTGCTCAATTAAAGAATTCTTCAAATCTGTGAGATGAATGCACAGATCACAGAGAAGTTTCTCAGAAAGCTTCTATCTAGTTTTTATGTGAAGAGATATTTCCTTTATCACCATAGGCCTCAAAGCACCCAATATATCCATTTGCAGATTCTACAAAAAGACTGCTTCCAAACTGTTCAATCAAAAGAAAGGTTCAACTCCTTGAGGTGAATGAAAACATCACAAAGAAGTTTCTGGTAATCCTTCTGTCTGGTTATCCTGTGAATATATTTCCTATTTCACCATGGGACTCAAAGGGCTCACAAATATCCCTTTCCAGATTGTACAAAAAGACTGTTTCTTAACTGGTCAACCAAAAGAAATGTTCAAGTCTGTGAGATGAATGTACACATCACAAAGAAGTTTCTCAGGATCCTTCTGTCTAGTTTTTATGTGAAGATATATCCTATTTCTCCATAGACCTCAAAGGGCTCACAGATATCCCTCTGCAGGTGTACAAAAAGGCTTTTCCCAAACTGCTCAATCAAAAGAAAAGTTCAACTCTTTGAGATGAATACACACATCACAAAGAAGTTTTTCAGAATACTTCTGTCTAGTTTTTATGTGAAGATATTTCCTTTTCCACCATAGGCCTCAAAGCGTTCCAAATATCCATGTGCAGATTCTACAAAAAGACAGTTTCCAAACTGCTCAATCAAAAGAAAGGCTCAACTCTGTGAGATGAATGCCCACATCAAAAAGAAGTTTCTCAGTATGCTTCTGTCTAGTTTTTATGTGAAGATATTTCCTTTTTCACCATACGCCTCAAATCACTCACAAATGTCCCTATGCAGAATCTACAAAAAGACTGTATCCAAACAGCTCAATCAAAAGAAAGCTTCAACTCTGTGTGATGAATGCACACATCACAAAAAATTTTCTCACAAAACTTCTGTCTAGTCTTTTTGTGAAGACATTTCCTTTGTCACCTTAGGCCTGAAAGTACTCAAAATATCCATTTGCAGATTCTACAAAAAGACTGTTCCAAAGCTGCTCAATCAAAAGAAAGTTTCAACTCTGTGAGATGAATGCACACATCACAAAGAAGTTTCTCAGAATTCTCCTTCCAGTTTTTATGTGAAGATATTTCCTATTTCACCATAGGCCTAAAAGGGCTCTAAAATATCCCTTTGCAGATTCTACAAAAAAAAGGTTTGCAAACTGCTCAATCAAAAGAAAGCTTCAACTCTGTGAGATGAATGCACACGTTGCAAAGGAGTTTCTCAAAAAGCTTCTGTCTTGTTTTTCTGTGAATTTATTTTCTTTTTTGCCATGGGCCTCAAAGAGCTCTAAATATAAATTTGCGGACTCTACAAAAAGACTGTTTGCAAACTGCTCAATCAAAAGAACAGTTCAACTCTGTCAGATGAATGCACACCTCAGAAAGAAGTTTCTCAGAATGCTTCTTTCTAGTTTTTATGTAAGGATATTTCCTTTTTCACCATAGCTCTCAAACCACTCAAAAATATTCCACTGCAGGTTGCACAAAAAGACTGTTTCCAAACTGCTCAATGAAAAAAGTGTTTACCTCTGTGAGATGAATGCACTCTTGACAAACCAGTTTCTCAGAAAGGTTCTTTCTAGTTGATTTGTGAACATATTTCCTTTTCACCATAGGCCTCAGTGTGCTCTGAAATATCCCTCTGCAGATTCTACAACAAGACGTTTTACAAACTGCTCAGTAAATAATGGTTCAACTCTGTCAGATGAATGCACACATCACAAAGCAGTTTCTCAGAAACTCTCTTTCCAGTTTGAATCTGAAGATAATTCCTTTTTATATCTAGGCCTCTATGGTCTCCCAAATATCCCTTTGCAGATTCTAGAAGAACAGCATTTCCAAACTGCTCAATGAAAAGAAAGTTTACCTCTGTGAGATGAATGTATGCATCACAAAGCCATTTCACAGAAAGCTTCTTTCTAGTTTTCATGTGAAGATATTTCCTTTTTCACCATAGGCTTCAATGCACTAACAAATATGTCTTTGCAGATTCTCCAAGAACAGAGTTTCCAAACTGCTCAAAGAAAAGAAACTTTTACACCTATGACCTGAATGCACACATGTCAAAGCAGTTTCTCGGAAATCTTCTCTCTAGTTTCTATGTGAAAAAGACTGTTTCAAAACTGCTCTGTTTAAAGAAAGTTTCAACTCTGTGAGATGAATGCACACATCACAAAGAAGTTTCTCCCAAAGCTTCTGTTTAGTTTTTATTTGAAGATATTTCCTTTTTCACCATAGGCCTCAAAGCACTCCAAATATACATTTGTAGATTCTACGAAAAGTTGGTATCCAAACTGCTCTTTCAAAAGAATGATTCAACACTCTGAGATGAATGCACACATCACAAATGTTTCTCAGAATGCTTCTGTCTACTTTTAATGTGAAGTTATTTATTTTTCACCATATGAATCACAATGCTCAGAAATATACCTTTGCCAATAATACAAAAAGACTGTTTGCAAACTGCTCAATGAAAAGAAAGACTCAACATTGTGAGATGAATACACACAACAAAAAAATTCTCAGAAAGCTTCTGTCTAGTTTTTATGAGAAGATAATTCCTTTTTCACCACAGTTCTCAAACTGCTCACAAATATACCTATGCAGAATCTACAAAAAGATTGTTTCCAAACAGCTCAATCAAAAAAAATCTTCAACACTGTGAGATGAATGCACACATCACAAAGAAGTTTCACAGAATGCTTTTGTCTAGTTTTTATGTGAAGATATTTGGTTTTTTACCATAGGCCAAAAATGGCTCACAAATATCACTATGCAGAATCTGCAAAAAGACTTCCAAACTGCTCAATCAAAAGAAAGCATCAAATCTGTGAGATGAATGCACACAAGACAAATAAGTTTCTCAGAAAGATTCTGACTTCTTTTTATGTGGAGATATTTACTTTCTCATCGCAGTCCTCAAACCACTCACAAATATCCCTCTGCAGATTCTAGAAAAAGACTGTTTCCAAACGCCTCAATCAACAGAAAGTTTCAACTCTGTAAGATGAAGGCACATATCAAAAAGTATCCAAACTGCTCAATCAAAAGAGAGGTTCAACTCTGTGACATGAATGCACACACCACAAGGAAGATTTTCAGAATGCTTCTGTCTAGTTTTCATGTGAAGATATTTCCTTTTCAGCTATAGGGCTCAAAGTGCTCCAAATATGCATTTGCAGATACTACACAAAGAGTGCTTCCAACTGTTCACTCAAAAGAAAGGTTCAAAACTGACAGTTAAGTGCACACATCACAAACAAGTTTCTGAGCATGCTTACATCTCGTATTTATGTGAAGATATTTCCTATTCATCTATAGGCCTCAAAGTGCTCCACATATCCATTTGCAGATAGAACATAAAGAGTTTTTTCCAAGCTGCTCAATCAAAAAAAGGTTCAACTCTGTGAATTGAATGCACACATCACGAAGAAGTACCTGGGAATGCTTCTGTCTGGGTTTTATGTGAAGATATTTCCTTTTCCACCAAAGGCCTCAAAGCCCTCCAAATATCCCCATGCAAATTCTACAAAAAGAGTTTTTCAAAACTGCTCAATCAAAAGAACGTTTCAGCTCTGTGAGATGAATGCTGTCATCATAAAGAAGTTTCTCAGAATGCTTCTGTTTAGTATTTATGTGAAATTATTTCCTTTTCTTCTATAGGCCTCAAAGCGCTCCACATATCCATTTTCAGATAGAACATAAAGAGTTTTTCCAAACTGCTCAATCAAAAGAAAGGTTCAACTCTGTGAATCGAATGTACACATCACAAGAAGTACCTGGGAATGCTTCTGTCTAGGTTTTATGTGAAGATATTTCTTCTTCCACCATAGGCCTCAAAGCCCTCCAAATATCCCCATGCAGATTCTACAAAAAGAGTATTTCAAATCAGCTCAATCAAAAGAAAGGTTCAACTCTGTGAGATGAATGAGCTCATCACCAAGAAGTTTCTCACAATACTTCTGTCTAGTTTTTATGTGAAGATATTTCCTTTTCAGCTTTAGGCATCATAGCACTCCAAACATCCACTTGCAGATTCTACAAAAAGAGTGTTTTCAAAGTGCTCAATCAAAAGAAAGTTTCAACTTTGTGGGTTGAATGCACACATCACAAAGAAGTTTCTCAGAATGCTTCTGTCTAGTTTTTTTGGGAAGATATTTGCCTTTTCACCATGAGCCTCAAAGCGCTCCAAATATCCACTTGCAGATTCTACAGAAAGAGTTTCTCAAAAATGCTCAAACAATAGAGAGGTTCAACTCTGTGAGATGAATGCACTCATCACAAAGAAGCTTCTGAGAATGCCTCTGTCTAGTTTTTATGTTAAGATACTTCCTTTTCAGCTATAGGTCTCAAAGCTCTCCACATATCCATTTGCACATACTTCAAAAAGAGTGTTTCCAAACTGCTTAATCAAAAGAAAGTTTCAATTCTGTGAGTTGAATGCACATATCACTAAGAAGTATCTGGGAATGCTTCTATCTAGGTTTTATGTGAAGATATTTCCTTTTCCACAATAGGCCTCAAAGAGCTCCCAATATCCCCTTGCAGACTCTACAAAAAGAATGTCTCAAAACTGCTCAATCAAAAGAAAGCTTCAACTCTGTGAGACGAATGCACTCATCCAAAGAAATTTCTCAGAATATGTCTGTCTAGCTTTTATGTGAAGACATTTTTTTTCAGCTATAGGACTCAAAGCTCACCAAATATCCACCTGCAGATTCTACAAATAGAGTGCATCAAAACTGCTCAATCAAAAGAAAGTTTCAACTCTGTGAGATGAATGCACACATCACAAAGAAGTTTCTGAGAATGCTTCTGTCTAGTTTTTACCTGAAGATATTTCCTTTTCCACCATAGGCCTCAAAGCACTGCAAATATCCACTAGCACATACTACAAAAAGAGTGTTTCCAAACTGCTCTATCAAAAGAAAGTTTAAACTCGTTGAGTAGAATGCACACATTACAAAGTAGTTTCTGAGAGTTCTTCTGTCTCTTTTTTATGTGAATATATTTCCTTTTCAGCTATAGGACGCAAAGCACTCCAAATATCCACTTGCAGATTCTACAAAAAGAGTGTTCAAAACTGCTCAATCAAAAGAAAATTTCAACTCTGTGAGATGAATGCACACATCACACAGCAGTTTCTCAGAATTTTTCTGTCTAGTTTTTATATGAAGATATTTCCTTTTCCACCATAAGCCTCAAAGCACTCCAAATATCCACTTGCAGATTCTACAAAAACAGTTTGTCAAAACAGCTCCATCAAAAGAAGGTTTCAACTCTGTGAGATGAATGCATTCATCACAAAGAAGTTTCTCAGAATACTTCTTTCTAGTTTTTGTGTGAAGATATTTCCTTATCAGCTATAGGCCTGAAAATGCTCCACATATCCATTTACAGTTACTACAAAAACAGTGTTTCCAAACTCCTCAATCAAAAGAAAGGTTCAACTCTGTGAGTTGAATGCACACATCACAAAGAAATATATGACAATGCTTCTGTCTAGGTTTTATTTGAAGGTATTTCCTTTTCCACAGTAGGCCTCAAAGTGCTCCAAATATCCAATTGCAGATTCTACAAAAAGAGTGTTTCAAAACTGCTCAATGAAAAGAAATGTTCAACTCTGTGAGATGAATGCACACATCACAAAGAAGTTTCTCAGAATGCTTCTGTCTAGTTTTTATGTGAAGATATTTCCTTTTCCAACATAGGCCTCAAAGCACTCCAAATATGCACATGCAGATACTACAAAAAGAGATTCTGGAAACTGCTCAATCAAAAGAAAGTTTCAAATCTGTCAGATGAATACACTCATCACAAAGAAGTTTCTCAGAATGCTTTTGTCTAGTTTTTATGTGAAGATATTTCCTTTTCAGCTGCAGGCATCAAAGCACTCCACATAACCATTTGCAGATACTACAAAAAGAGTGTTTCCAAACTGCTCAGTCAAAAGAATGGTTCATCTCTGTAAGCTGAATGCACACATCACATAGAAGTATCTGAGAATTCTTCTATCTAGGTTTTATGTGAAGATATTTCGTTTTCCACCATAGGCCTCAAAGTGCTCCAAATATGCACTTGCAGATCCTACAAAAGAGTGTTTCAAAACTGCTCAATCAATAGAAACTTTCAACTCCTTGAGATAAATGCACTCATCCTAAAAAAGTTTCTCAGAATGCTTCTGTCTAGTTTTTATGTGAAGATATTTCCTTTTCAGCTATAGGCCTCAAAGAGCTCCAAATATCCCCTTGCAGATTCTACAAAAAGAGTGTTTCAAAACTCCTCAATCAAAAGAAAGTTTCAACTCTGTGAGATGAACGCAGTCATCTCAAAGAAGTTTCTCAGAATGCTTCTGTCTATTTTTTATGTGAAGATATTTCCCTTTCAGCTATAGGACTTAAGGCACTCAAATATTCACTTGCAGATTTTACAAAAAGAGTGTTTCCAAACTGCTTAATCAAAAGAAAGGTTCAACTCTGTGAGTAGAATACACATATCTCAAAGAATGTTCTGAGAATGCCACTGTTTAGTTTTTATGTGAAGACATTTTCTTTTCCACCATAGGCCTCAAAGTGCTCAAAATATCCACTTGCAGATTCTACAAAAAGAGTGTTTCAAAACTGCTCCATCAAAAGAAAGGATTAACTCTGTGAGTAGAATGCAGATATTACAAAGAAGTTTCTGAGAATGTTTCTGTCTACTTTTTATGTGAAGATATTTCCTTTTCAGCTATACGCATCAAAGTGCTCCAAATATCCATTTGTAGATACTACAAAAAGTGTGTTTTCAAACTGCTCAATGAAAAGAAAGGTTCAACTTTCTGAGTTCAATGCACACATCACATAGAGGTATCTGAGAACTCTTCTGTCTGGTTTTTATGTGAAGATATTTCTTTTGCACCACAGGCCTCAATACGCTCCAAATATCCACTTGCAGATACTACAAAAATAGTGTTTCCAAACTGCTCAATCAAAAGAAAGGTTCAGCTGTGCGAGATGAATGAACTCATCACAAAGAAGTTTCTCAGAATGCTTCTGTCTAGTTTTTATGTGAAGATATTTCCCTTTCAGCTATAGGACTCAAAGAGCTCCAAATATGCACTTGCAGACACTACAAAAAGAATGTTTCAAAACTGCTCGATCAATAGAAAGGTTCAACTCTCTGAGTTGAATGAGCAGATCAAAAATAAGTTTCGGAGAATGCTTCGGTCTAGTTTTTATGTGAAGATATTTCCTTTTCCACCATAGGCCTCAAAGCGCTGCAAATATCCATTTGCAGACAGTACAAAAAGAGTGTTTTCAAATTGCTCTATCAAAAGAAAGTTTCAACCCTGTGAGTTGAATGCACACAACACAAAGAATTATCAGAGAATGCTTCTGTCTAGTTCTATGTGCATATATTTCCTTTTCCACTGTAGGACTCAAAGAGTACCAATTATTCACATGAAGATTCTACAAAAAGAGTGTCTCAAAACTGCTCAATCGAAGGAAATCTTCAACTCTGTGTGATGAATGTAGACATCACAAAGAAGTTTCTGAGAATGCTTCTGTCTGGGTTTTATGTGAAGATATTTCCTTATCCACCATAGGCCTCAAAGCGCTCCAAATATCCACTTGCAGATTCTACAAAAAGAGTGTCTCCAAACTGCTCAGTCAAAAGAAAGGATCAACTCTGTGAGATGAATGCACACAACACAAAGACGCATCTGAGATTGCTTCTGTCTGGGTTTTATGTGAAGATATTTTCTTTTCCACCATAGGACTCATAGCGCTCCAAATATCCACTTGCAGATTCTACAAAAAGAGTGTTTCAAAACTGCTCAATCAAAAGAAAGGTTCAACTCTGTGAGATGAATGCAGTAATCACAAAGAAGTTGCTCAGAATGCTTCTGCCTAGTTTTTATGGGAAGATATTTCCCTTTCAGCTATAGGACCCAAAACGCTTCAAATATCCACTTGCAGATTCTTCAAAAAGAATGTTTCGAAGCTGCTCAATCAAACGAAATGTTCAACTCTGTGAGTTGAATGCACACATCCCAAAGAAATTTCTGTGAATGCTTCAGTATAGTTTTTATATGAAGATATTTCCTTTCCCACCATAGGCGTCAAAGCGCTCCAAATATCCATTAGTAGATTTTACAAAAAGAGTGTTTCAATACTGCTCAATGAAAAGTTAGTTTCAACACTGTGAGTAGAATGCACACATTACAAAGAAGTTTCTGAGAATGCTTCTGTCTAGTGTTTATGAGAAGCGATTTCTTTTTCAGCTGTAGGCCTCAAAGTGCTCCAAATATCAATTTGCAGATACTACAAAAAGAATGGTTTCATAGTGCTCAATCAAAAGAAAGTTTCAACTCTGTGAGTTGAACGCACACTTCACCAAGAAGTATCAGAGAATGCTTCTGTCAAGCTTTTATGTGAAGATATTTCCTTTACAACCATAGACCTCACAGTGCTCCAAATATCCACTTGCAGATTCTACAAAAAGAGTGTTTCGTAAGTGCACAAAGTAAAGGTTCAACTCTGTGAGTAGAATGCACACATTACAAAGAAGTTTCTGAGAATGCTTCTTTCTAGATTTATGTGAAGATATTTCCTTTTCAGCTATAGGCCTCAAAGCGTTGCAAATATCCATTTGCAGATAGGACCAAAATAGTGTTTTCCAACTGCTCAATGAAAAGAAAAGCTCAACTCAGTGAGTTAAATGCACACATCACAAAGAAGTATCTGAGAATGCTTCTGTCTATTTTTATGTGAAGGTATTTGCTTTTCCAACATAGGCCTGAAAGCGCTCCAAATATCCATATTCAGATACTACAAAAGGAGTGTTTCAAATCTGCTCTATCAAAAGAAAGGTTCAACTCTGTGAGTTGAATGCACACATCACAAAGAAATTTCTGAGAATGCTTCTTCTAGTTTTTATGTGAAGATATTTCCTTTTCCACCATAAGCCTCAAAGGGCTCCAAATATCCATTTGTAGATTCTACAAAAAGAGTGTTTCAATACTGCTCAATGAAAAGAAATGTTCAAATTTGTGAGTTGAATGCACACATCACAAAGAAGTATCTGAGAATGCTTTTGTCTAGGTTTTATGGGAAGATATTTCCTTTTCCACCATAGGCATCAAAGTGCTCTAAATATCCACTTGCATATTCCACAAAAAAAGTGTTTCAAAACTGCTCTGTCAAAAGAAAGATTCAACTCCATGAGTTGAATGCACACGACACAAAGAAGTTTCAGAGAATGCTTCTGTCTAGTTTTTATGTGAAGATATTTCCTTTTACACCATAGGCCTCAAAGCGCTCCAAATATCCACTTGCAGACACTACAAAAAGAGTGTTTCAAAGCTGCTCAATCAAAAGAAACGTTCAACTCTGTGAGCTGAATACACACATCACAAAGAAGTATTTGAGAATGCTTATGTCTAATTTTTATGTGAAGATATTTGCTTTTTCACCATAGGCCTCAAAGCACTCGGAATATCCACATGCAGATACTACAAAAATAGTGTTTCAAAAATGCTCAACCAAAGGAAAGGTCCAACTCTGTGAGTAGAATGCACACATTATAAAGAAGTTTCTGAGAATGCTTCTTTCTAGATTTATGTGAAGATATTTTCTTTTCAATTACAGCCTCAAAGCATTCCAAATATCTATTTGCAGATAGGAACACAATAGTGTTTTCCAACTGCTCAATGAAAAGAAAAGTTCAAATCTGTGAGTTAAATGCACACATCACAAAGGAGTATCTGAGAATGCTTCCGTCTAGTTTTATGTGAAGGTATTTGCTTTTCCAACTTAGGTCTGAAGGCGCTCCAAATATCCACTCTCAGATTCTACAAAAAGAGTGTTTCAAATCTGCTCTATCAAAAGAAAGTTCAACCCTGTGAGTTGAACGCACACATCACAAATAAATTTCTGAGAATGCTTCAGTATAGTTTTTACATGAAGATATTTCCTTTTCTTCTATAGGTCTCAAAGTGCTCCAAATATCCATCTGTAGATTCCACAAAAAGAGTGTTTCAATACTGCCCAATGAAAACTGAGTTTCAACACTGTGAGTAGAATGCACATATTACAAAGAAGTTTCTGAGAAAGATTCTGTCTAGTGTTTATGAGAAGGTATTTACTTTTCAGCTATAGGCCTCAAAGCGCTCCAAATATCCATTTGCAGATACCACAAAAAGAGTGTCTTCTAACTGCTCAATCAAAAGAAAGGTTCAGCTCTGTGAGTTGAATGCACACATCACAAAGTAGTATCTGAGAATGCTTCTGTCAAGCTTTTATGTGAAGATATTTCCTTTACAACCATAGACTTCAAAGTGCTCCAAATATCCACTTGCAGATTCTACAAAAAGAGTGTTTCAAAACTGCTCAATCAAAAGAAAGGTTCAACTCTGTGAGATGAATGCACACATCACAAACAAGTTTCTCAGAATGCTTCCGTCTAGTTTTAAGGGAAGATATTTTCTTTTCCAACATAGGCCTCAAAGCGCTCCAAATATCCACTTGCAGATCCTACAAAAAGAGTTTCTCAAAACTGCTCAAAAGAAAGGTTCAACTCCGTGAGATGAATGCAATCATCACAAAGAAGTTTCTGAGAATGCTTCTATCTAGTTTTTATGTGAAGATATTTCCTTTTCAGCTGTAGGCCTCAAAGCACTCCACATATCCATTTGCAGATACTACAAACAGAATGTTTTCAAACTGCTCAATAAAAAGAACGCTTCAACTCTTTGAGTTGAATGCACACATCACAAAGAAGTATCTGAGAATGCTTCTGTCTAGGTTTTATGAGAAGATATTTCCTTTTCCACCATAGGCCCCAAAGTGCTCCAAATATCCCCTTGCAGATTCTACAAAAAAGAGTGTTTCAAAACTGCTCAATGAAAAGAAAGGTTCAACCTTGTTAGATGAATGCACACATCACAAAAATGTTTCTCAGAATGCTTCTGTCTAGTTTTTATGTGAAGATATTTCCTTTCCCACCATAAGACTCAAGGCGCTCCAAATATTCATTTGCAGATTCTAAAAAAAGAGTTTTTCAAAACTGCTCAAATAAAAGATAGATTCAACTCTGTGAGATGAATGCACTTATCACAAAGAAGTTTCTCAGAATGCTTCTTTCTGGTTTTTATGTGAAGATATTTCCTTTTCAGCTACAGGCCTCAAAGTGCTCCACATAAACATTTGCAGATACCACAAAAAGAGTATTTCCAAACTGCTCAATCAAAAGAAACGTTCAAATCTGTGAGTTGAATGCAGACATCACAAAGAAGAATCTGAGAATTCTTCTCTCTAGTTTTTATGGAAAGATACTTCCTTTTCCACCAAAGGCCTCAAAGCAGTACAAATATTCACAGGCAGATTATGCAAAAAAGAGTGTTTCAAAACTGCTCAATCAAAAGACAGGTTCAACTCTGTGAGTTGATTGCACACATCACAAAGGAGTTTCAGAGAATGTTTCTGTCTAGTTTTTATGTGAAAATATTTCTTTTTCCAACTTAGGCCTCAAACGGAACAAAATATCCTCTTGCAGATTATACAAAAAAGTGTTTCAAAACTGCTCTGTCAAAAGAAAAGTTCAACTCTGTGAGTTGAATGCACACATAACAAAGAAGTTTCTGAGAATGCTTCTGTCTAGTTTTTATGTGAAGATATTCCCATTTCCACCAAAGTCCTCAACGCGCTCCAAGTGTCCACTTGCAGATTCTACAAAAAGACTGTGTCAAAACTGCTCTATCAAAAGGAAGGTTCAACTCTGTGAGTTGAATGCACACATCACAAAGTGGTTTCTGAGAATGCTTCTGTCTAGTTTTTCTGTGAAGATATCCCGTTTCCACCATAGGCCTCAAAGCTCTCCAAATACCCACTTGCAGATTCTACAAAAAGAGTGTCTAAAAACTGCTCTATCAAAAGGAAGATTCGACTCTGTGAGTTGAATGCACACAACACAAAGAAGTTTCTGAGAATGCTTCTGTCTCGTTTCTTTGTGAGGATATTTCCTTTTCCACTACAGGCCTCAAAGCGCTCCAAATGTGCACTTGCAGATTCTACAAAAAGAGTGTTTCAAAACTGGTATATCGAAAGAAAGGTTCAACTTTGTGAGTTCAATGAACTCATCACAAAGAAGTTTCTGAGTATGCTTCTGTCTAGTTTTTATGTGATGATATTCCCATTTCCACTGAAGGCCTCAAAGCGGTCCAAGTATCTACTTGCAGATTCTGCAAAAAGAGTGTTTCAAAAATGCTCTATCAAAAGGAATGTTCAACACTGTGAGTTGAATGCAAACATCACAAAGTAGTTTCTGAGAATGCTGCTGTCTAGTTTTTATATGAAGAAATTTCCTTTTCTACCAGAGGCCTCAAAGCACTCCAAATAACCACTTGCAGATTCTACAAAAAGAATGTTTCAAAACTGCTCTATCAAAAAAAGGGTTCAACTCTGTGAGTTGAATGCAAACATCACAAAGTAGTTTCTGAGAATGTTTCTGTCTAGTTTTTATATGAAGATATTTCCTTTTCTATCATAGGCCTCAAAGCCCTCCAAATATCCACTTGCACATAATACAAAAATAGGGTTTCAAAGCTGCTCTATCAAAAGAAAGGTTCAACTCTGTGATTTGAATGCACACAACACAAAAAAGTGACGGTGAATGCTTCTGTCTAGTTTTTATGTGAAGACATTTCTTTTTCCAACATAGGCCTCAAAGCGCTCCCAATATCCACTTGCAGATTCTACGAAAAGAGTGTTTCAAAACTGCTCTATCAAAAGAAACGATCAACTTTGTAAGTTCAATGCACACTTCACAAAGAAGTTTCTGAGAATGCTTCTGTCTAGTTTTTATGTGAAGATATTTCATTTTCAAGCATAGGCCTCAAAGCGCTCCAAATATTCACATGCAGATTCTACAAAAAGAGTGTTTCAAAACTGCTCAGTCAAAAGAGTGGTTCAACTCTGTGAGATGAATGCACACATCACAAAGACACTTCTCAGAATGCCTCTGTCTAGTTTTTATGTGAAGATATTTCCTTTCCCACCATAAGACCCAAGGCGCTCCAAATATTCACTTGCAGATTCTAAAAAAAGAGTTTCTCAAAACTGCTCAAATAAAAGATAGATTCAACTCTGTGAGATGAATGCACTCATCCAAAGAAGTTTCTCAGAATGCTTCTTTCTGGTTTTTATGTGAAGACATTTCCTTTTCAGCTACAGGCCTCAAAGTGCTCCACATAAACATTTGCAGATACTACAAAAAGAGTATTTCCAAACTGCTCAGTCAAAAGAAACGTTCAAATCTGTGAGTTGAATGCAGACATCACAAAGAAGAATCTGAGAATTCTTCTCTCTAGTTTTTATGGAAAGATACTTCCTTTTCCACCAAAGGCCTCAAAGCAGTACAAATATCCACAGGCAGATTATGCAAAAAAGAGTGTTTCAAAACTGCTCAATCAAAAGACAGGTTCAACTCTGTGAGTTGATTGCACACATCACAAAGGAGTTTCGGATAATGTTTCTGTCTAGTTTTTATATGAAGATATTTCCTTTTCTATCATAGGCCTCAAAGCACTCCAAATATCCACTTGCACATTATACAAAAATAGGGTTTCAAAGCTGCTCTATCAAAAGAAAGGTTCAACTCTGTGATTTGAATGCACACAACACAAAGAAGTGATGGTGAATGCTTCTGTCTAGTTTTTATGTGATGATATTTCTTTTTCCAACATAGGCCTCAAAGCGCTCCCAATATCCACTTGCAGATTCTACGAACACAGTGTTTCAAAACTGCTCTATGAAAAGAAATGATCAACTTTGTGAGTTCAATGCACACATCACAAAGAAGTTTCTGAGAACGCTTCCGTCTAGTTTTTATGTGAAGGTATTTCCTTTTCCACCATAGGCCTTAAAGCGATCCAAATATCCACTTGCAGATTCTACAAAAAGAGTGTTTCAAAAATACTCTATCAAAAGAAAGTTTCATCTCTGTGAGTTGAATGCACAGAATACAAAGAAGTTTCTGCGAATGCTACTGTCTAGTGTTTATGTGAAGATATTTCATTTTCCAACATAGGCCTCAAAGGGAACTAAATATCCACTTGCAGATTCTACCAAAAGAGTGTTCCAAAACTGCTCAATCAAAAGAAACGTTCAAATCTGTGAGTTGAATGCACACACCACAAAGAAGTTATGGATAATGCTTCTGTCTGGGTTTTATGTGAATATATTTCCTTTTCCACCATAGGCCTCAAAGTGCTCCAATTACCAAATTGCAGATTGTAGAAAAAGAGTGTTTCAAAACTGCTCTCTCAAAAGAAAGGTTCAACTCTGTGAGATGAATGCACACATCTCAAAGAAATTTCTGAGAATCCTTCTGTCTAATTTTTATGTGAAGATATTTGCTTTTCCACCATAGGCCTCAAAGCCCTCCAAATATCCCCTTGCAAATGCTACAAAAGGAGTGTTTCAAAACTGCTCTATCCAAAGAAAGGTTCAACTGTATGAGTTGAATGCACACATCACAAAGTAGTTATGGAGAATGCTTCTGTCTAGTTGTTATGTGAAGATATTTCCTTATTCACCATAGGCCTCAAGGCCATCCAAATATCCACTTGCAGATTCCACAAAAAGAGTGTTTCAAAAATGCTCTATCAAAAGAAAGGTTCAGCTCTGTGAGTTTAATGCACACATCACAAAGAAGTTTCAGAGAATCCTTCTGTCTAGTTTTTCTGTGAAGATATTTGCTTTTCCACCATAGGCCTCAAAGCGCTCCAAATATCCACTTGCAGATTCTACAAAAACAGTGTTTCAAAATGGCTCTCTCAAAAGAAAGTATCAACTCTGTGAGTTGAATGCAAACATCTCAAAGAAGTTTCTGAGAGTGCTTCTGTCTAGTTTTTATGTGAAGATATTTCATTTCCCAACATAGGCCTCAAAGGGAACAAAACATCCACTTGCAGATTCTACAAAAAGAGGGTTTCAAAACTTCTCTGTCCAAAGAAAGTTTCAACTCTGTGTGTTCAATGCACACATCACAAAGAAGTTTCGGAAAATGCTTCTGTCTAGTTTTTATGTGAAGATATTTCCTTTTCCACCATAGGCCTCAATGCGCTCCAAATATCCACTTGCAGAATCTACAAAAAGAATGTTTCAAAACTTCTCTATCAAAAGAAAGGTTCAACTCTGAGTTGAATGCACACATCACAAAGAAGTTTTGGAGAAAGCTTCTGTCTAGTTTTAATGTGAAGATATTCCCATTTCTGCCATAGGCCTCAAAGCGCTCCAAATATCGACTTGCAGATACTACAAAAAGAGTGTTTCATAACTGCTCTGTCAAAAGGAGTGTTCAACTCTGTAAGTTGAATGCACACATCACAAAGAAGTTTCTGAGAATGCTTCAATCTAGTTTCTATGTGAAGATATTTCCTTTTCCACCACAGGCCTCAAAGTGCTCCAAATGTCCACTTGCAGATTCTACAAAAAAAGGGTTTCTCAACTGCCCTATCCAAAGAAAGGTTCAACTCTATGAGTTGAATACACACATCACAAAGAAGTTTCGGTGAATGCTTTGTCTAGTATTTATGTGAAGATATTTCATTTCCCAAAATAGGTCTCAAAGGGAACAAAATATCCACTTGCAGATTCTGTAAAAAGAGTGTTTCAAAATTGCTCTAGCAAAAGAAAGGGTCAACTCTGTGAGTTGAATGTACATACAACGAAGAAGTTTCTGAGAATGCTTCTGTCTTGTTTTTCTGTGAAGATATTGCGTTCTCCATCACAGGCCTCTAAGGGAACAACATATCCACTTGCAGATTCTACAAAAAGAGTGTTTCAAAACTGCTCTATCAAAAGAAAGGTTCAACTCTGTGAGTTGATTGCACACATCAAAAAGAAGTTTCAGAGAATGCTTCTGTCTGGTTTTTATGTGAAGATATTCCCTTTTCCACCATAGGCTTCAAAGCACTCATAATATCCACTTACAGATTCTACAAAAAGAGTGTTTCAAAACTGCTCTATTAAAAGAAAGCTTCAACCCTGTGAGCTGAATGTGCACATCACAAAGAAGTTTTGGAGAAAGCTTCTGTCTAGTTTTAATGTGAAGATATTCCCATTTCCGCCATAGGCCTCAAAGCGCTCCAAATATCGACTTGCAGATTCTACAAAAAAGAGTGTTTCATAACTGCTCTGTCAAAAGGAGTGTTCAACTCTGTAAGTTGAATGCACACATCACAAAGAAGTTTCTGAGAATGCTTCAATCTAGTTTCTATGTGAAGATATTTCCTTTTCCACCACAGGCCTCAAAGTGCTCCAAATGTCCACTTGCAGATTCTACAAAAAAAGGGTTTCTCAACTGCCCTATCCAAAGAAAGGTTCAACTCCGTGAATTGAATGCACACATCACAAACAAGTTTCGGTGACTGCTTCTGTCTAGTATTTATGTGAAGATATTTCATTTCCCAAAATAGGCCTCAAAGGGAACCAAATATCCACTTGCAGATTCTGTAAAAAGAGTGTTCCAGAATTGCTCTAGCAAAAGAAAGGGTCAACTCTATGAGTTGAATGTACATACAACAAAGTAGTTTCTGAGAATGCTTCTGCCTTGTTTTTCTGTGAAGATATTGTGTTCTCCAAGATAGGCCTCTAAGGGAACAACATATCCACTTGCAGATTCTACAAAAAGAGTGTTTCAAAACTGCTCTATCAAAAGAAAGCTTCAACCCTGTGAGTTGAATGCACACATCACAAAGTAGTTTCTGAGAATGCTTCTGTCTAGTTTTTAAGTGAAGATATTTTGTTTTCCAACGAAGGCCTCAAAGGAAACAAAATATCCACTTGCAGATTCTACAAAAAGAGTGTTACTAAACTGCTCTCTCAAAAGAAAGTTTCAACTCTGTGAGTTGCACACATCAGAAAGAAGTTTCAGAGAATGCTCCTGTCTAGTTTTTATGTGAAGATATTTCCTTTTCAACTATAGGCCTCAAAGCGCTCCAAATATCCACTTTCAGACTCTACAAAAAGAGTGTTTCAAAACTGCTCTATAAAAAGAAAGGTTCAGCTCGGTGTGTTGAATGCACACATCACAAAGAAGTTTCGGAGAATGCTTCTGTCTAGTTTCATGTGAAGATATTTCCTTTTCAACGACAGGCCTCAAAGAGCTCCAAATATCCAATTGCAGATTCTGCAAAAAGAGCGTTTCAAAACTGCTCCATCAAAAGAAAGGTTCAACCCTTTGAGTTGAATGCACACTACACAAAGAGGTTACAGAGAATGCTTCTGTGTAGTTTTTATGTGAAGATATATCCTTTTCCACCATACGCCTCAAAGCGCTCCAAATATTCACTTGCTGATTCTAGAAAAAGAGTGTTTCAAAACTGCTCTATCAAAAGAAAGGTTCAATTCTGTGAGTTGAATGCACACATAACAAAGAAGTTGATGAGAATCCCTCTGTCTACTTTTTAGGTGAAGATATTCCCGTTTCCACCGAAGGCCTCAAAGAGCTCCAAATATCCACTTGCAGATTCTATAAAAAAAGGTTTTCAAAACTGCTCTATCAAAAGGAAAGTTCATCTCTGTGAGTTGAATGCACACATTACAAAGAAGTTTCTGAAAATGCTTCTGTCTAGTTTTTATGTGAAGATATTCCCATTTCCACCAAAGGCCTCAACGCGCTCCAACTGTCCACTGGCAGATTCTACAAAAAGACTGTGTCAAAGCTGCTCTATCAAAAGGAAGGTTCAACTCTGTGAGGTGAATACACACATCACAAAGTAGTTTCTGAGAATGCTTCTTTCTACTTTTTATGTGAAGATATTCCCGTTTCCACCGTTGGCCTCAAAGCACTCCAAATTTCCACTTGCAGTTTCTACAAAAAGAGTGTTTCAAAACTGCTCTATCAAAAGGAAGGATCAAAACTGTGAGTTGAATACACAAATCACAAAGAAGTTTCTGAGAATGCTTCTGTCTAGTTTTTATTTGAAGATATTTCCTTTTCTACCAGAGGCCTCAAAGCCCTCTAAATATACACCTGCAAATTCTACAAAAAGAGTGTTTCAAAACTGCTGTATCAAAAGAAAAGTTAAATTCTGTGAGTTGAATGCACACATCACAAAGTAGTTTCTGAGAATGCTTCTGTGTAGTTCTTCTATGAAGATATTTCCTTTTCTACCGTAGACCCCAAAGAGCTCTAAATATCCACTTGCAAATTCTACAAAAAGAGTGTTTCAAAACTGCTCTATCAATAGGAAGCTTCAACTCGGTGAGTTGAGTGCAGACATCACAAAGTTGTTTCTGAGAATACTTCTGTCTACTTTTTATGTGAAGATACTCCCGTTTCCAAAGAACGCCTCAAAGCGCTCCAAATATGCACTTGCAAATTCTACCAAAAGAGTGTTTCAAAACTGCCCTATCAAAAGGAAGGTTCAACTCTGTGGGTTGAATGAACACATCACAAAGAAGTTTCTGAGAATTCTTCCGTCTAGTTTTATATGAAGAAATCCCATTTCCAACGAAGGCCTCAAAGAAGTCCAAATATCCACTTGCAGATTCTACAAAAAGAGTGTTTCAGAACTGCTATATCAAGAGGAATGTTCAACTCTGTGAGTTGAATGCAAACATCACAAAGTAGTTTCTGAGAATGCTTCCATCTAGTTTTTAATGTGAAGATATGTCCTTTTCTATAATAGACCTCAAAGCAATCTTAATATACACTTGCAAATTCTACAAAAAGAGTGTTTCAAAACTGCTCTATCAAAAGAAAGGTTAAACTCTGTGAGTTGAAATCACACATCCCATAGTAGTTTCTGAGAATGATTCTGTCTAGTTTTTATATTAAGTTATTTCCTTTTCTACCATAGGCCTCAAAGCGCTCTAAATATCCACTTGCAAATACTACAAAAAGAGTGTTTCAAAACTGCTCTATCAAAAGGCAGTTTCAACTCTGTGAGTTGAGTGCAGACATCACAAAGAAGTTTCTGAGAATACTTCTGTCTGCTTTTTATGTGAAGATACACCCGTTTCCAAAGAAGGCCTCTAAGCACTCCAAATATCCACTTGCAGCCTTTACAAACAGAATGTTTCAAAACTGCTCTATCAAATGAAAGGTTAAACTCTGTGAGTTGAGTCCAGATTTCACAAAGTAATTTCTGAGAATGCTTCTGTCTAGTTTTTCTGTGAAGATATTTCCTTTTCTATCATAGGGTTCAAAGCACTCTAAATATCCACTTGGAAATTCTGTAAAAGAGTGTTTCAAAACTGCTCTATCAAAAGGAAGATTTAACTCTGCGAGTTCAATGCACACATCAGAAAATGTTTCTGAGAATTCTTCGTTCAAATTTTTTTGTAAGGAAATTCCCGTTTTCAACGAAGGGCCCTAAGAGGTCCAAATATCCACTTGCAGATTTTACAAAAAGAGTGTTTCAAAACTGCTCTATCATAAGGAATGTTGAACTCTGTGATTTGAATCAAAATATCACAAAGTAGTTTCTGAGAATGCTTCTATCTAGTTTTTATGTGAAGATATTTACTTTTCTACCACAGGCCTCAAAACGCTGTAAATATACAATTGCAAATTCTACAAAAAGAGTGTTTCAAAACTGCTCTATCAAAAGAAAGGTTAAACTCGGTGAGTTGAACACACACATCACATAAAAGTTACTGAAAATGATTCTGTCTTGTTTTTATATAAAGATATTTCCTTTTCTACCATAGTCCACTAAGTTCTCTAAATATCCACTTGCACATTCTACAAAAAGAGTGTTTCAAAACTTCTCTATCAAAAGGAAGGTTCAACTGTTTCAGTGGAGTGCAGACATCACAAAGAAGTTTCTGAGAATACTTCTATGTGCTTTTAGAGGGAAGATATTCCCATTTCCAAAGAAGGCCTCAAAGCGCTCCAATTATCAACTTGCAGACTTTACAAACAGAGTTTTTCAGAAGTGCTCTATCAAAAGAAAGGTTTAACTCTGTGAGTTGAACGCACACATCACAAAGTAGTTTCTGAGAATGATTCTGTCTAGTTTTTATGTGAAGATATTTCCTTTTCTACCACAGGCTTCAAAGCGCTCTAAATATCCACTTGGAAATTCTACAAAAAGAGTGTTTCAAAACTGCTCTATCTAAAGGAATGTTCAACTCTGAGAGTTAAATGCACACATCACAAAAAGTTTCTGAGAATTATTTTGTCTAGTTTTTATGTGAAGAAATTCCCGTTTCTAACGAAGATCTCAAAGAGGTCCTAATATGCACTTGCAGATTTTTTAAAAAGAGTGTTTCAAAACTGCTGTATCAAAAGGAATGTTTAACTCTGTGAAGTGAATGCAAACATCACAAAGTAGTCTCTGAGAATGCTTCTGTCAAGTTTTTATGTTAAGATATTTCCTTTTCTACCATAGGCGTTAAAGTGCGCCAAATATCCACTTGCAGATATTACAAACAGAGTGTTTCAAAACTGCTCTATGAAAAGAAAGGTTAAACTCTGTGAGTTGAACGCAGACATCACAAAGTAGTTTCTGAGAATGATTCTGTCTAGTTTTTCTATGAAGATATTTCCTTTTCTACCATAGGCCTCCAAGCGCTCTAAATATTCACTTGGAAATTTTACAAAAAGAGTGTTTTCAAACTGCCCTATCGAAAGGAAGGTTCAACTCTGTGAGTTGAATGCACTCGTCAAAAAAAGTTTCTGCGAATTCTTCTTTCTGGTTTTTATTTCAAGAAATTCCCGTTTCCAACAAAGACATCAAAGAGGTCCAAATATAGACTTGCAGATTCTACAAAAAGAGTGTAACAAAACTGCTCTATCAAAAAGAATGTTTAACCCTATGAGTTGAATGCAAACCTCACAAACTAGTTTCACAGAATGCTTCTGTGTAGTTTTCTTATGAAGATATTTCCTTTTCTACCATAGGCCCCAAAGAGCTCTAAATATCCACTTGCAAATTCTACAAAAAGAGTGTTTCAAAACTGGTCTATAAAAAGGAAGTTACAACTCTGTGAGTTGAGTGCAGACATCACAAAGAAGTTCCTGAGAATACTTCTGTCTACTTTTTATGTGAAGATACTCCCGTTTCCAAAGAAGGCCTCGAAGCGCTCCATATATCCACTTGCAGACTTTACAAACAGAGTGTTTCAAAACTGCTCTATCAAAAGAAGATTAAACTCTGTGAGTTGAATGCACACATCACAAAGTAATTTCTGAGAATGATTCTGTCTACTTTTTATATGAAGATATTTACTTTTCTAAAATAGGCCACAAAGCGCTCTAAATATCCACCTGCAGATTCTACAAAGAGAGTGTTTCAAAACTGTTCTATCAAGAGAAAGGTTCAACTCTGTGAGTTTCGTGCAGACATCACAATGTAGGTTCTGAGAATACTTCTGTCTACTTTTTATGTGAAGATATTCCCGTTTCCAAAGAAGGCCTCAAATCGCTCCAAATATCCACTTGCAGACTTTACAAACAGAGTGTTTCAAAACTGCTCTATCAAAAGGAACGTTCAACTCTGTGAGTTAAATGGACACATCACAGAGAAGTTTCCGAGAACACTTCTGTCTACTTTTTATGTGAAGATACTCCTTTTTCCAAAGAAGGCCTCAAAGTGCTCCAGATATCCACTTGCAGACTTTACAGAGTGTTTCAAAACTACTGTATCAAAAGAAAGGATAAACTCTCTGAGTTGAACGTACACATCACAAAGTAGTTTCTGAGAATGATTTTGTCTAGTTTTTATATGAAGGTATTTCCTTTTCTACTATTGGCTTGAAAGCGCTCTAAATATTCAATAGGAAATTCTACAAAAAGAGTGTTTCAAAACTACTCTATCAAAAGGAAGGTTCAACTCTGTGAGTTTAATGCACACATCACAAAGAAGTTTCTGAGAATTCTTCCGTGTAGCTTTATAGGAAGAAATCCCGTTTCCAACGAAGGCCACAGAGAGGTCCAATTATCCACTTGAAGATTCTACAAAAAGAGTTTTCCAAAACTGCTCTATCCAGAGGAATGCTCAACTCTGTGAGTTGAATGCAAACATCACAAAGTAGTTTCTGAGAATGCTTCTGTGTAGTTTTTCTATGAAGATATTTCCTTTTCTACCAAAGCCCGCAAAGCACTCTAAATATCCACTTGCAAATTCTACAAAAAGAGTGTGTCAAAATTGCCCTATCAAAAAAAATTCAACTCTGTGAATCCAGTGCAGATATCACAAAGAAGTTTCTGAGAATACTTCTGTCAACATTTTATGTGAAGATACTACCATTTCCAAAGAAGACCACAAAACGCTCCAGATATCCACTTGCAGACTTTACAGAGTATTTCAAAATTGCTCTATGAAAAGAAAGGTTAAACTCTGTGAGTTGAACACACACAGCACAAATTAATTTCTGAGAATGAGTCTGTCTTGTTTTTATAGGAAGATATTTCCTTTTCTACAATAGGCCTCATAGCCCTCAAAATATTTACTTGGAAATTATACAAAAGGAGTGTTTCAAAACTGCTCTGTCGAAAGGAAGGTTCAACTCTGTGATTTGAATGCACACATCACAAAGAAGTTTCTGAGAATTCTTCTCTCTAGTTTTATATGAAGAAAACTCGTTTCCAAAGAAGTCCTCAAGGTGGTCCGAATATCCACTGGCAAATTTTCGAAAAGACTGTTTCAAAACAGCTCTATAAAGAGGAATGTTCAAGTCTGTGAGATGAATGCAAACATCACAAAGTAGTTTCTGAGAATGCTTCTGTCTAGTTTTTATGTGAAGATATTTCCTTTTCTACCATAGGCCTCAAAGCACCCTAAATATCCACTTGCAAGAACTACAAAAAGAGTGTTTCAAAACTGCTCTATCAAAGGAAAGGTTAAACTCTGTGAGTTGAACCCACACATCACAAAGTAGTTTCATAGAATAATTCTGTCTAGTTTTAATATGAAGATATTTCCTTTTCTACCATAGGCCTCAAAGCGCTCTAAATATCCACTTGAAAATTATACAAATTCCCCTTTCCAATGAAGGAATCAAAGATATCCAAATATCCACTTGCAGATTCTACAAAAAGAGTGTTACAAAACTGTTCTATCATAAGGAATGTTCAATTCTGTGAGTTGAATGCAAACATCACAATGTAGTTTCTGAGAATGCTTCTGTCTAGTTTTTATGTTAAGAAATTTCCTTTTATACAATAGGCCTCAAAGCGCTGTAAATATACACTTGCAAATTCTACCAAAAGAGCGTTTCAAAACTGCTCTATCAAAAGAAAGTTTAAACTCTGTGAATTGAATTCACACATCAAAAAATAGTTTCTGAGAATTCTTCTGTCTAGTTTCTATATGAAGATATTTCCTTTTCTGCCATCTGTCTCAAAGCTCTCTAAATATCCACTTGGAAATAGTACAAAAAGAGTGTTTCAAAGCTGCTCTATCGAAAGGAAGGTTCAACTCTGAGTTGAATGCACACATAACAAAGAAGTTTCTGAGAATTCTTCTGTCTTGTTTTTTTATGAAGAAATTCCCGTTTCCAACGAAGGCCTCAAAGAGGTCGAAATATCCACTTGCAGATTCTACAAAAAGAGTGTTACAAACCTGCTCTATCAAACGTAATGTTCAACTCTGTGAGTGGAATGCAAACATTACAAAGTAGTTTCTGAGAATGCTTCTGTCTAGTATTATATGAAGAAATTCCGTTTCAAACGAAGGCCTCAAAGCGCTCCAAATATCCACTTGCAGACTTTACAGAGTGTTTCAAAACTGCTGTCTCAAAAGAAAGGTTAAACTCTGTGAGTTGAACGCACACATCAAAAAGTAGTTTCTGAGACTGATTCTGTTTAGTTTTTATATGAAGATATTTTCTTTTCTACAATGGGCTTCAAAGCGCTCTAAATATCCACTTGGAAATTCTACAAAAAGAGTGTTTCAAAACTGCTGTATCAAAGGGAAGGTTCAACTCTGTGAGTTGAATGCACACATCACAAAACGTTTCTGAGAATTCTTCTGTCTAGTTTTTATGTGAAGGAATTCCCGTTTCCAGCAAAGGCCTCAAAGAGGTCCAAATATCTGCTTGCAGATTCTAAAAAAAGAGTGTTTCAAAACTGCTCTATCAAAAGGAATGTTGAACTCTGTGAGTTGAAAGGAATCTTCACAATGTAGTTTCTGAGAATGTTTCTGTGCAGTTTTTATGTGAAGATATTTACTTTTCTACCATAGGCCTCAAAGCCCTCTAAATACACACTTGCTAATTCTACAAAAAGAGTGTTTCAAAACTGCTCTATCAAAAGAAAGGTTAAGCTCGGTGAGTTGAATGCACACATCACAAAAATTTCTAAGAATTCTTCAGTCTGGTTTTTATGTGAAGAAATTCCCGTTTCCAATGAAGGCCTCAAAGAGGTCCAAATATCCTCTTGCAAATTCTGGAAAAAGAGTGTTTCAAGACTGCTCTATCAAAAGGAATGTTGAACACTGTGAGTTCAATGCAAACATCAGAAAGAAGTTTCTGAGAATGCTTCCTTCTAGTTTTTATGTGAAGTTATTTCATTTTCTACCATAGGCCTCAAAGCCCTCTAAATACACACATGCAAATTCTACAAAAAGAGTGTTTCAAAACTGCTCTACCAAAAGGCAGGTTCAACTCTGTGAGTTGAACGTAAACATCGCAAAGTAGTTTCTGAGAATGCTTCTGTCTAGTTTTTATATGAAGATATATCCTTTTCTACCTTAGTCCTCCAAGCGTTCTAAATATTCACTTGGAAATTCTACAAAAAGAGTATTTCAAATCTTCTCTATGGAAAGGAAAGTTCAACTCTGTGAGTTGAATGCAAACATTACAAAGAAGTTTTTGAGAATTTTTCTGTCTAGTATTTATATGAAGAAATTCCCGTTTCCAACGAAGGCCTCAAAGTGGTCCAAATATCCACTTGCAGATTCTACATAAAAAGTATTACAAAACTGCTCTATCAAGAGGAATGTTCAAAACTGTGAGTGGAATGCAAACACCACAAAGTAGTTTCTGAGAATGCTTCCATGTAGTTTTTCCATGAAGATATTTCCTTTTCTACCTTAGGACTTAAAGCTCTCTAAATATCCACTTGCAAATTCTACCAAAATAGTGCTTCAAAACTGCTCTATAAAAAGGAAGGTTCAACCCCTTGAGTTGAGTGCAGACATCACAAAGAAGTTTCTGAGAAAACTTCTTTTTACTTTTTAGAGGAAGATACTCCCTTTACCAAGGAAGGCCTCAAAGCGCTCCAAATATCCACTTGCAGACTTTGCAGAGTGATTCAAAACTGCTATATCAAAAGAAAGGCTAAACTCTCTGAGTTGAACTCACACATCACAAAGTAGTTTTTGAGAATGATTCTGTCTAGTTTTTATATGAAGATATAAATTTTTCTACCGTAGGCCACAAAGCGTTCTAAATATCCACTATAAAATTCGGCAAAAAGAGTGTTTCCAAACTGCACTATCAAAATGAAGGTTCAACTCTGTGAGTTGAATGCACACATCAAAATATTTTCATGGAATTCTTCTTTCTAGTTTTTATGTGAAGGAATTCCCATTTCCAACGAAAGCCTCAAAGAGGTCCAAATATCCAATTGCAGATTCTACCAAAAGAGTATTTCAAACTGCTCTATCAAAAAGAATTTTGAACTCTGTGAGTTGAATGCAAACATCACAAAGTAATTTCTGAGAATGCTTCTGTCTAGTTTTTATGTGAAGATATTTCCTTTTCTACCATGGGCCTCAAAGCCCTCTAAATACACACTTGCAAATTCTACACGAAAAGAGTTTCAAAACAGCTCTATCAAAAGAAAGGTTAAACTCTGTGAGTTGAATGGACACATCACAAAGTAGTTTCTGAGAATGATTCTGTCTAATTTTTCTATGAAGATATTTCCTTTTCTACCATAGGCCTCCAAGCACTCTAACTATTCACTTGGAAATTCTACCAAAGAGTGTTTCAAAACTGCTCTATTGAAAGGAAGGTTCAATTCTGTGAGTTGAATGCACACATTCCAAAGAAGTTTCTGAGAATTCTTCTGACTAGTTTTTGCATGAATAAATCCCATTTCCAACGAAGGCCTCAATGAGGTCCAAATATCCACTTGCAGACTTTACAGAGTTCTTCAAAACTGCTCTATCGAAAGGAAAGTTCAACTCTGTGAGTTGAATGCACACATCACAAAGAAGTTTCTGAGAATTCTTCTGTCTAGTTTTATATGAAGAAATCCAGTTTCCAACGAAGGCCTCAAAGTGGTCCAAATACCCACTTGCAGATTCTACAAAAAGAGTGTTTCAAAACTGCTCTATCAAGAGGAATCTTCAACTCTGTGATTTGAATGCAAACATCAAAAATAGCTTTTGAGAAGGCTACTGTCTAGTTTTTTTTGTGAAGGTATTTCCTTTTCTACCATAGGCCTCAAAGCCCTCTAAATATGCAATTGCAAATTCTACAAAAGGAGTGATTAAAAACTGCTCTATCAAAAGGAAGGTTCAACTCTGTGAGTTGAATGCACACATCACAAAATGTTTCTGAGAATTCTTCTGTCTAGTTTTTACGAGAAGAAATTCCCGTGTCCAACGAAGTCATCAAAGAGGTCCAAATATCCACTTGCAGTTTCTACAAAAAGAGTGATTCAAGACTGCTCTATCAAAAGGAATGTTGAACTCTGTGAGTTGAATGCCAACATCGCAAAGTAGTTTCTGAGAATGCTTCTGTCTAGTTTTTATGTGAAGATATTTCCTTTTCTACATACGCCTCAAAGCCCTCTAAATACACACTTGCAAATTCTACAAAGAGAGTTGTTCAAACTGCTCTATCAAAAGAAATGTTAAACTCTGTGAATTGAACGCACACATCACAAAGTAGTTTCTGAGAATTATTCTCTCTAGTTTTTATATGAAGATATTTCCTTTTCTAACACAGGCCTCCAAGCGCTCTAAATATTCAATTGGAAATTCCACAAAAAGAGGGTTTCAAAACTCCTCTATGGAAAGGAAGGTTCAACTCTGTGAGTTGAATGCACACATCACCAAGAAGTTTCTGAGAATTCTTCTGTCTACTTTTTATATGAAGATATTCCCGTTTCCAATAAAGGCATCAAAGAGGTCCGAATATCCCCTTGCAGATTCTACAAAAAGACTGTTACAAAACTCCTCTATCAAAAGGAATGTTCACCTCTGTAAGTTGAATGCAAACATCACAAAGTGGTTTCTGAGAATGCTTCTGTGTAGTTTTTCTGTGAAGATATTTCCTTTTCTACCACAGGCCCCAAATCGCTCTAAATATCCACTTGCAAATTCTACAAAAAGAGTGTTTCAAAGCTGCTCTACCAAAAGGAAGGTTCAACTCGGTGAGTTGAGTGCAGACATCACAAAGAAGTTTCTAAGAATACTTCTATCTACTTTTTATGTGAAGATATTCCCGTTTCCAAAGAATTCCTCAAAGTGCTCCAAATATCCACTTGCAGACTTTACAAACAGAATGTTTCCAAACTGGACTATCAAAAGAAAGGTTAAACTCTGTGAGTGGAACGCACACATCACAAAGTCGTTTCTGAGAATGATTCTGTCTAGTTTTTATATGAAGATATTTCGTTTTCTACTATTGGCCTCAAAGCGCTCTAAATATCCACTTGCAAAATCTACAAAAAGAGTGTTTCAAAACTGCTCTATCAAAAGGAAGGTTCAACTCTGTGAGTGGAATGCACACGTCACAAAAAGTTTCTGAGAATTCTTCTGTCTAGTTTTTACGTGAGGAAGTTCCTGTTTCAAACGAAGGCATCAAAGAGATCCAAATATCCATTTGCAGATTCTAAAAAAAGAATGTTTCAAAACTGATCTATCAAAAGAAATGTTGAACTGTGTGAGTTGAATGCAAACATCACAGAGTAGTTTCTGAGAATGCTTCTTTCTAGTTTTTATGTGAAGATATTTCCTTTTCTACCATAGGCCTCAAAGCCCTCTAAATACACCCTTGCAAATTCTACAAAAAAGGTGTTTCAAAACTGCTCTTTCAAAAGAAATGTTAAACTCTTTGAATTGAATGCACACATCACAAAATATTTTCTGAGAATGATTCTGTCTAGTTTTTTTTTGAAGATATTTCCTTTTCTACCATAGGCCTCAAAGCGCTCTAAATAATCACTGGAAAATTCTACAAAGATAGTGTTTCATAAATGTCCAATCGAAAGGAAGGTTCAACTTTGTGAGTTGAATGCTCACTTCACAAATAAGTTTCTGATAATTCCTCTGTCTAGTTTTATATGAAGAAATCCCATTTCCTAAGAAGGCCTCTACGAGGTCCAAATATCCATTTGCAGATTCTACAAAAAGAGTGTTTCTAAACTGCTCTATCAAGGGGAATGATCAACGCTGTGAGTTGAATGCAAACATCAAAAAGTAGTTTCTGAGAATACTTCTGTCTAGTTTTTATGTGAAGATATTTCCGTTTCTACCATAGGCCTCAAAGCGCTCTGAATATACATTGCAAATACTACAAAAACAGTGTTTCAAAACAGCTCTATCAAAGGAAAGGTTAAACGAGGTGAGTTGAATGCACACATCAAAAATTAGTTTCTGAGAATTATTCTGTCTAGTTTTTGTATGAAGATATCTCCTTTTCTACCATAGGCCTCCAAGCGCTCTTAATATTCACTTGGAAATCCTACAAAAAGAGTGTTACAAACTGCTCTATCAAAACAAAGGTTTAACTCTGTGAGTTGAATGCACATATCACAAAGAAGTTTCTGAGAATTCCTCTGTCTAGTTTTATATGAAGAAATCCCTTTTCCCACAAAGGCCTCAAAGAGGTCCAAATAGCCACTTGAAGATTCTATAAAAAGAGTGTTTCAAAACTGTTCTATCAACGGGAATGTTCAACTCTCTGTTGAATGCAAACATCATAAAGTAGTTTCTGAGAGTGCTTCTGTCTAGTTTTTATGTGAAGATATTTCCTTTTCTACCTTAGACCTCAAAGAGCTCTAAATATACACTTGCAATTTCTACAAACAGATTGTTTCAAAACTGCTCTATCAAAAGAAAGGATAAACTCAGTGAGTTGAATGCACACATCACAAAGTAGCTTCTGAGAAAGATTCTGTCTAGTTTTTATATGAAGATATTTCCTTTTCTAACTCAGGCTTCAAAGCGCTCTAAATATCCACTTGCAGATTCTACAAAAAGAGTGTTTCAAAACTGCTCTATCAAAAGGAAGGTTCAACTCTGTGACTTGAATGCACACATCACAGAAAGTTTCGGAGAATTCTTCTGTCTGGTTTTTATTAACGAAATTCTCGTTTACTATGAAGGCCTCAAAGAGGTCCAAATACCCACCTACAGATTTTACAAAAAGTGTGTTTCAAAACTGCTCTATCAAAAGGAATGTTGAACTCTGTGAGTTGAATGCAAACATCACAAAGTAGTTTCTCAGAATGCTTCCCTCTATTTTTTATATGAAGATATCTCCTCTTCTAACTCAGGCCACAAAGCGCTCTAAATATCCATTGCACATTCAACAAAAAGAGTGTTTCAAACTGCTCTACCAAAAGGAAGGCCTCAAGTCTACTAAATACACACTTGCAAATTCTTCAAAAAGAGATTTTCAAAACTGCTCTATCAAAAGAAAGGTTAAACTCTGTGAGTTGAGTGCAGACAGGACAAAGGTGTTTCTGAGAATACTTCTGTCTACATTGTATGTGAAGATACTCCCATTTCCAAAGAAGGCCTCAAATTGCTCCAAATATCCACTTGCAGACTTTACAGAGTGTTTCAAAACTGCTCTATCAAAAGAAAGGTTAAACTCTGTGATTTGAACGCACACATCCCAATGTAGTTTCTGAGAATGATTCGGTCTAGTTTTACATGAAGAAACTTCCTTTTCCACCAAGGGCTTCAAAGGGCCCTAAATATTCGCTTAGAAATTCTACAAAAAGAGTGTTTCAAAACTACTCTGTCGAAAAGAAGGTTCAACTCTCTGAGTTGAATGCACACATCGGAAAGAAGTTTCTGAGAATTCTTCTGTCTAGTTTTATATGAAGAATTCCTGTTTGTAACGAAGGCCTCCAAGAGGTCCAAATATCCGCTTACTGATTCTACAAAAATAGTGTTTCAAAACTGGTCTATGAAGAGGAATGTTCAACTCTGTGAGTTGAATGCAAACATCACAAAATAGTTTCTGAGAATGCTTCTGTCCAGTTTTTATGTGAAGATATTTCCTTTTCTACCATAGGCCTCAAAGCACTCTAAATATACACTTGAAGATTCTACAAAAAGAGTATTTCAAAACTGTTCTATCAAAAGAAAGGTTAAACTCTGTGAGGTAAATGCACACATCACAAAGTAGTTTCTGAGAATGATTCTGTGTAGTTTTTCCATGCAGATATTTCCTTTTCTAACATAGTCCCCAAAGCGCTCTAAATATCCACTTGCAAATTCTACAAAAAGAATGTTTCGAAACTGCTCTATCAAAAGGAATTTTCAACTCTGTGAGTTGAGTGCAGACATCACAAAGAAGTTTCTGAGAATACTTCTGTCTAATTTCTTTTGGAAGATACTCCCGTTTCCAAAGAGGGCCTCAAAGCGCTCCAAATATCCACTTGCAGAATTTACAAACAGATTGTTTCAAAACTGCTCTATCAAAACAAAGGTCAAACTCTATGAGTTGAACGCACACATCAGAAAGTAGTTTCTGAGAATGATTCCATCTAGTTTTTATATGAAGATATTTCCTTTTCTACCATAGGCCTCAAAGCGCTCTAAATATCTTCTTGCAAATTCTACAAAAAGAGTGTTTCAAAACTGCTGTATCAAAAGGGACACTCAACTCTGTGAGTTGAGTGCAGACATCAAAAAGAAGTTTCTGAGAATACTTCTGTCTACTTTTTATGTGAAGATATTCCCGTTTCCAAAGAAGGCCTCAAAGCTCTCCTACTATCCACTTGCAGACTTTACACAGTGTTCCAAAAGTGATCTGTCAAAAGAAAGGTTACACTCTGTGAGTTCAACGCACACATTAAAAAGTAGTTTCTGAGGATGATTCTGTCTAGTTTTTATATGAAGATATTTCCTTTTCTACCATAGGCTTCAAAGCGCTCTAAATATCCACTTGCAAATTCTACAAAAAGAATGTTTCAAAACTGCTTTATGAAAAGGAAGGTTGAAAACTGAGAGTTGAATGCACACATCACAAAAATTTCTGAGAATTCTTCTGTCTAGTTTTTATGTGAAGAAATTCCCGTTTACAAGGAAGGCTTCAAATAGGTCCAAATATCCACTTGCAGAGTCTGCAAAAAGAGTGTTTCAAAACTGCTTTATCAAAAGGAATGATGAAATCAGTGAGTTGAATGCAAACATCATAAAGTAGTTTCTGAGAATGATTCTGTCTAGTTTTTATGTGAAGATATTTCCTTTTCTACCATAGGCCTCAAAGCCCTCTAAATCCACACTGGCAAATTCTACAAAAAGAGTATTTCAAAACTGCTCTATCAAAAGGAAGGTTCAACTCTGTGAGTTGAGTGCAGACATCACAAAGAAGTTGTTGAGAATACTTCTCTCTAGTTTTATGTGAAGATACTCCAGTTTCCAAAGAAGGTCTCAAATCGCTTCAAATATCCACTTGCAGACTTTACAGAATGTTTGAAAACTGCTCTATCAGAAGAAAGGTTAAACTGTTTGAGTTGAACACACACATCACAAAGTAGTTTCTGAGAATGATTCTGTCTTGTTTTTATATGAAGATATTTCCTTTTCTACCATAGGCCTCAAAACGCTCTATATATCCACTTGGAAATTCTACAAAAAGAGAGTTTCAAAACTGCTCTGTCGAAAGGAAGGTTCAAATCTGTGAGTTGAATGCACACATCAAAAAAAAGTTTCTGAGAATTCTTCTGTCTAGTATTATGAAGAAATACCGTTTCCAACGAAGTCAACAAAGTGGTCCAAATATCCACTTGCATATTCTACAAAAAGAGTGTTTCAAACAACTCTACAAAGAGGAAAGTTCAACTCTCTGAGTTGAATGAATACATCCAAATTAGTTTCTGAGGATGCTTCTTTATAGATTTTATGTGAAGATATTTCCTTTTCTACCATAGACCTGAAAGCGCTCTAAATATACACTTGCAAATTCAAGAAAAAGTGTGTTTCAAAACTGTTTATCAAAAGAAAGGATAAACTCTGTGAGTTGAATGCACAAAACACAAAAAGTTTCTTAGAATGCTTCTGTCTGGTTTTTATGCGAAGAAATTCCTGTTTCCAACGAAGGTCTCAAAGAGGTCCAAATATACACTTGCAGATTCTACAAAAAGAGTGTTTCAAAACTGCTCTATCAAAAGGAATGTTCAACTCCGTGAGTTGAATGCAAACATCACAAAGTAGTCTCTGAGAATGCTTCTGTCTAGTTTTTATGTGAAGACATTTCCTTTTCTACCATAGGCCTCAAAGTGCTCTAAATATACGCTTGCAAATTCTACAAAATGAGTGTTTCAAAACTGCTCTATCAAAAGAATGGTTAAATTCTCTGAGTTGAATGCACACATCACAAAGTATTTTCTGAGAATGATTCTGTCTAGTTTTTATATGAAGATATTTCCTTTTCTATCATAGGCCTCAAAAAACTCTAAATAACCAATTGGAAATTCTACAAAGAGAGGGTTTCAAAACTTCTCTATCAAAAGGAAGGTTCAACTCTGTGAGTTGAGTGCAGCCCTCACAAAGAAGTCTCTGAGAATACTTCTATCTACTTTTCTTATGAAGAAACAATCTTCTCAAAAGAAGGCCTCAAAGCGATTTAAATATCCACTTGCAGACTTTACAAACATAGTGTTTCAAAACTGCTCTATTAAGAGGAAACTTCAACTCTGTGAGTTGAATGGAAACATCACAAAGTAGTTTTTGAGAATGTGTCTATCTACTTTCCAAGTGAAGATATTTCCTATTCTACCATAGGCCTCAAAGTGCCCTAAATAGATACTTGCAAATTCTACAAAAACAGGGTTTTAAAACTGCTCTATCAAAAGAAAGGTTAAACTCTGTGAGTTGAATACACACATCACAAAGTAATTTCTGAGAATGATTCTGTCTAATTTTTATATGAAGATGTTTCCTTTTCTACCATTGTCCTCAAAGTGCTCCAAATATCCACTTGTAAATTCTACAAAAAGAGTGTTTCAAAACCGCTCCATCAAAAGGAAAGTTCATCTCTGTGTGTTGAATGCACACATCACAAAGCAGTTTCTGAGAATTCTTCTGTCTAGTTTTTATATGAAGATATTCCCGTTTCCAACGAAGGGCTCAAAGAGGTCCAAATATCGACTTGCAGATTCTACATAAAGACTGTTACAAAAATGCCCCATCAACGGAAGTGTTCAACTCTGTGAGTTGAATGCAAACATCACAAGGTAGTTTTTGAGAATGCTTCTGTGTAGTTTTTCTATGAAGATATTTCCATTTCTACCAAAGGCCCCAAAGCGCTCTAACTTTCCACTTCCAAATTCTACAAAAAGAGTGTTTCAAAAATGCTCTATAGAAAGGAAGCTTCAACTCTGTGAGTTGACTGCAGACATCACAAAGAATTTTCTGAGAATACTTCTGTCTACTTTTTATATGAAGATACTCCCGCTTTGAAAGAAGGCCTCAAGCGCTCCAAATATCCACTTGCAGACTTTACAAACAGAGTGTTTCAAAACTGCTCTATGAAAAGAAAGGTTAAACTCTGTGAGTTGAACGAACACATCACAAAGTAGTTTCTGAGAATGATTCTGTCTAGTTTTTATAAGAAGATAATGCATTTTCTAACATAGGCCTCAATGCGCTCTAAATATCCACTTGCAAATCCTACAAAAAGAGTGTTTCAAAACTGCTGTATGAAAAGGAAGGTTCAACTCTGTGAGTTGAGTGCAGACATCACAAAGAATTTTCTGAGAATACTTCTGTCTACTTTTTATATGAAGATACTCCCGCTTCGAAAGAAGGCCTCAAGCGCTCCAAATATCCACTTGCAGACTTTACAGAGTATTTCAAAACTGCTCTATGAAAAGAAAGGTTAAACTCTGAGTTGAACGAACACATCACAAAGTAGTTTCTGAGAAAGATTCTGTCTAGTTTTTCTATGAAGATATTTCCTTCTCTACCGTAGACTTCAAAGCGCTCTAAATATACAATTGGAAATACTACAAAAAGAGTGTTTCAAAACTTCTCTATCAAAAAGGAGATACAATTCCGTGAGTTGAAAGCCCACATCACAAAATGTTTCTGAGAATTCTTCTGTCTACTTTTTCTATGAAGAAATTCCCGTTTCCAACGAAGGCCTCAAAGAGCTCCAAATATCCACTTGCAGATTCTACAAAAAGAGTGTTACAAAACTGCTCTTCGAAAGGAATGTTAAACTCTGTGAGTTGAATGCACACATCACAGGGAAGTTTCTGACAATTCCTCTGTCTTGTTTTTATGTGAAGATATTTCCTTTTCTATGATAGGCCTCATAGCGTGCTAAATATACACTAGCAAATTCTAAAAAGAGTGTGTTTCAAAACTGCTATATCAAAAGAAAGGATAAACTCTTTGAGTTGAACACACACCTCACAAAGTAGTTTCTCAGATGATTCTGTCTAGTTTTTATATGAAGATGTTTCCTTTTCTACTGTAGGCATCAAAGGACTCTAAATATCCACTGGAAATTCTACAAAAAGAGTGTTTCAAAACTGCTCTATCAAAAGGAAGGTTCAACTCTGTGAGTTGAATGCAAACATTACACAGAAGTTTCTGAGAATACTTCTGTCTAGTTTTATATGAAGAAAACCCTTTTCCAATGAAGGCCTAAAAGAGGTCAAAATATCCACGTGCAGATTCCACAAAAAGAGTGTTTCAAAACTGTCCTATCAAAAAATTTTAAACTCTGTGAGTTGAACGCACACATCACATAGTAGTTTCTGAGAAAGGTACTGTCCAGTTTTTATATGAAGATATTTCCTTTTCTATCATAGACCTCGAAGTGCTCTAAATATCCACTTGGAAATTCTACAAAAAGAGTGTTTCAAAATTGCTCTATCGAAGGGAACTTTCAACTCTCTGAGTTGAATGCACACATCACAGAGAAGATTCTGAGAATTCTTCTGTCTAGTTTTATGTGAAGAAATTCCCGTTTAAAACGAAGGCCTCAAAGAGGTCCAAATATCCACTTACAGATTGTACAAAAAGAGTGTTTCAAAACTGCTCTGGCAAGAGGAATTTTCAACTCTATGAGTTGAGTGCAAACATCACAAAGTAGTTTTTGAGAATAATTCTGGGTGGTTTTTCTATGAAGATATTTCCTTTTCTACCATAGGCCTCAAAGCGTTCTAAATATCCACTTGCAAATTCTACAAAAAGAGTGTTTCAAAACTGCTCTATCAACAGGAAGGTTCAAATCTGTGACTTGAGTGCAGACATCACAAAGAAGTTTCTGAGAATAATTCTGTCTACTTTTTATGTGAAGATATTCCCGTTTCCAAAGAAGGCATCAGAGCCCTCCAAATACCCACTTGCAGATTTTCAAAACTGCTCTATCAAAAGAAAGTTTAAGCTCTGTGAGTTGAATGCACACATCACAAAATGTTTCTGAGAATTATTCTGTCTAGTTTTTGTGTGAAGATACTTCATTTTCTACCATAGGCCTCAAAGCCCTCTAACTACACACTTGCAAATTCTTCAAAAAGTGTGTTTCTAAAATGCTCTATCAAAAGGAATATAGAAAACTGTGAGTTGAATGCAAACGTCACAAAGTATTTTCTAAGACTATTTCTGTCTAGTTTTTAGGTGAAGATATTTCCTTTTCTACCATAGGCCTCAAAGCCATCTAAATACACACACCCAAATTCTACAAAAAGAGTGTTTCAAAACTGCTCTATCAAAAGAAAGGTTAAAATCTGTGAGTTGAACCCACACATCACAAAGTAGTTTCTGAGAATTATTGTGTCTAGTTTTTCTATGAAGATGTTCCCTTTTTTACCATAGGCCTCAAAGCGCTCTAAATATTCACTTGGAAATTCTACAAAAGGAGTCTTTTGAAACTGCTCTGTCGAAAGGAAGGTTCAACTCTGTGACTTTAATGCACACATCACAAAGAAGTTTCTGAGAATACTTTTGTCTACTTTTTATGTGAAGAGATTCCCGTTTCCAAAGAAGGCCTCAAAGCGCTCTAAATATCCACTTGCAGATTGTACAAACAGAGTTTTTCAACACTGCTCTATCAAAAGAATGGTTAAACTCTGTGAGTTGAATGCCCACAACACAAAGTAGTTTCTGAGAATGTTTCTGTCTAGTTTTTCTGTAAAGATATTTCCTTTTCTACCATTGGCCTCAAAGCCCTCTAAATACACACTTGCAATATCTACCAAAAGAGCGTTTCAAACTGCTCTATCAAAAGAACGGTTAAACTCTGTGGGTTGAACACACACATCACAAAGTAGTTTCTGAGAATGATTCTGTCTATTTTTTCTATGAAGATATTTCCTTTTCTACCACAGGCCTCAAAGCGCTCTAAATAATAACTTAGAAATAGTACAAAAAAGGGTGTTTCAAAACTGCTCTAAGGAAAGGAAGATTCAACAAGGTTTGTTGAATACACTCATCACAAAGAAGTTTCTGAGAATTGTTCTGTCAAGTTTTAAATGAAGAAATCCCGTTTCCAATGAAGGTCTGAAAGAGTTCCAAATATCCACTTGCAGATTCTAAAAAAAGAGAGTTTCAAAACTGCTCTATCAAGAGTAATGTTCAACTCTGTGGGTTGAATGCAAACATCTAAATTAGTTTCTGAGAATGCTTCTGTCTACTTTTTATGTGAAGATATTTCCTTTTCTACCATAGGCTGCAAACCACTCTAAATATACAGTTGCAAATACTACAAAAAGAGTGTTTCAAAACTGCTCTACCAAAAGAAACGATAAGCTCTGTGAGTTGAATGCAAACATAACAAACTAGTTTCTGAGAATGATTCTGTCTAGTTTTTATATGAAGATATTTCCTTTTCTACATTAGGCCTCCAAGGGCTCTAAATATGCACTTGGAAATACTACAAAACGAGTTTTTCAAAACTGCTCTATCGAAAGGGACGTTCAACACTTTGAGTTGAATGCACACATCACAAAGAAGTTTCTGAGAATTCTTCTGTCTAGTTTAATATGCAGAAATCCCATTTTAATGAAGGCCTCAAAGAGGTCCAAATATCCACTTGCAGATACTACAAAAAGAGATTTTCAAAACTGCTCTATCAAAAGAAAGGTTAAACTCTGTGAGTTGAACCCAACATCACAAAGTAGTTTCTGAGAATGATTCTGTCTAGTTTTTATATGAAGATTTTTCCTTTTCTTCCATAGGCCTCAAAGCTCTCTAAATAACCACTTGGAAATTCTTCAAAAAGAGTGTTTCCAAACTGCTCTATCAAAAGGAAGGTTCAACTCTGTGAGTTAAATGAGCATATAACAAAAATTTCTGAGAATACTTCTGTCAAGTTTATAGGTGAAGAAATTCCTGTTTCCAACGAAGGCCTCATAGGGCTCTATATATAGACTTCCAAATCCTACAAAAAGAGTGTTTAAACTGCTCTATCAAAAGAAAGGTTAACCTCTGTGAGTTGAACGCACACATTACAAAGTAGTTTCTGAGAATGATTCTGTCTAGTTTTTAAGTGAAGATATTTCCTTTTCTACCATAGGCTTCAAAGTGTTCTAAATATCCACTTGGAAATTCTAGAAAAGGAATGTTTCAAAACTACTCTATCAAAAGGAAGGCTCAACACTGTGAGTTGAATGCACATATCACAAAAACTTTCTGAGAATTCTTCTGCTAGTTTTTATGTGAAGAAATTCCCGTTTCCAACGAAGACCTCAAAGAGGTCCAAATATCCACTTGCAGATTCTACAAAGAGTGTTTCAAAACAGCTCTATCAAGTGGAGTGTTCAACTCTGTGAATTGAATGCAAACATCACAAAGTTTCTTAGAAAGCTTCCGTCCTGTTTTCATTGGAAGTTATTTCCTTTTCTACAATAGGCCTCAAAGTTATGTAAATACACACTTACAAATTCTACAAAAAGAGTGTTTCAAACCTGCTCTATCAAAAGAAAGTTTAAATTTTGTGAGTTGAACACACACATCACAAATTAATTTCTGAGAATGAGTCTGTCTTGTTTTTATAGGAAGATATTTCCTTTTCTACAATAGGCCTCATAGCCCTCAAAATATTTACTTGGAAATTCTACAAAAAGAGTGTTTCAAAACTGCTCTATCGAAAGGAAGGTTCAACTCTGTGACTTGAATGCACACATCACAAAGAAGTTTCTGAGAATTCTTCTGTCTAGTTTTATATGAAGAAATCACTTTTCCAGAGAAGCCCTCAAAGAGATGTAAATAACCACTTGCAGATTCTACAAAAAGAGTGTTTCAAAACTGCTCTATTAAGAGGAATGTTCAACTCTGTGAGTTGATGCAAACATCACAAAGTAGTTTCTGAGAATGCTTCTGTCTAGTTTTTATGTGAAGATATTTCCTTTTCTTGCATAGGCCTCAAAGCGATCTAAATATACACTTGCAAATTCTACAAAAAGAGGGTTTCAAAACTGCTCTATCAAAAGAAAGGATAAACTCTGTGAGTTGAAAGCACACATCACAAAGTAGTTTCTGATAATGATTCTGTCTAGTTTTTATATGAGATATTTCCTTTTCTACCATAGGCCTCAAAGCACTCTAAATTTCCACTAGGAAATTCTACAAAAAGAATGTTTCGAAACTGCTCTATCGGAAGGAAGGCTCAACTCGTGAGTTGAATGCACACAGCGGAAAGAAGTTTCTGAGAATTCTTCTGTGTAGTTTTATATGAAGAAATCCCTTTTCCACCGAAGGCCTCAAAGAGGTCCAAATATCCACTTGCAGATTCTACAAAAAGAGTTTTTCAAAACTGCTCTATCAAGAGGAATGTTCAACTCTGTGAGTTGAATGCAAACATCCCATAGTAGTTTCTGAGAATGCTTCTGTCTAGTTTTTATGTGAAGATATTTCTTTTTCTACCAAAGGCCTCAAAGCGCTCTAAGTATAAACTTTCAAATCCTACATAAAGAGTGCTTCAAAACTGTTCTATCAAAAGAAAAGTTAAACTTTGTGAGTTGAACGCACACATCACAAAGTAGTTTCTGAGAATGATTCTGTCTTGTTTTATATGAAGATATTACCTTTTCTACCTTAGGCCTCAAAGCCCTCTAAATAGCCACTTGGAAATTCTACAAAAAGAGTGTTTCAAAACTGCTCTATTGAAAGGAAGGTTCAACTCTGTGAGTTGAATGCACACATCACAAAGAAGTTTCTGAGAATTCTTCTGTCTACTTATAAATGAAAAAATTGTCTCCAAAGAAGGCCTCAAAGAGGTCCAAATATCCACTTGCAGATTCTACAAAAAGACTGTTTCAAAACTGCCCTATCAAGAGGAATGTACAACTCTGTGAGTTGAATGAAACTTCACCAATTAATTTCTGAGAATGCTTCTGTCTAGTTTTTATGTGAAGATATTTCCTTTTTTACCGTAGGCCTCAAAGTGCTCTAATATCCACTTGCGAATTCTTCAAAAAGAGTGTTTCAAAACTGCTCTATCAAAAGGAAGGTTAAATACTGTGAGTTGAACGCACACATCACAAAGTAGTTTCGTAGAATGATTTTGTCTAGTTTTTATATGAAGATATTTCCTTTTCTACCATAGGCCACAAAGCACTCTAAATATCCACTTGCAAATTCAACAAAAAGAGAGTTTCAAAACTGCTCTATCGAAAGGAAGAATCAACTCTGTGAGTTGAATTCACACATCACAAAGAAGTTTCTGAGAATTATTCTGTCTAGTTTTTATATGAAGAAATTCCCGTTTCCAACGAAGCCCTCAAAGAGATCCTAATATCCACTTGCAGATTCTGCAAAAAGAGTGTTACAAATCTACTGTATCAAAAGAAATGTTCAACTCTGTGAGTTGAATGCAAACATCACAAAGTAGTTTCTGAGAATGCTTCTGTGTAGTTTTTCTATGAAGATATTTCCTTTTCTACCATAGGTCCCAAAGCGCTCTAAATATCCACTTGCAAATTCTACAAATAGAGTGTTTCAAAACTGCCCTATCAAAAGGAAGGTTCAAATCTGTGAGTTCAGCTCAGACATCACAAAGAAGTTTCTGAGAATACTTCTTCCTACTTTTTCTGTGAGGATACTCCCATTTCAAAAGAAGGCCTCAAATCGCTCCAGATACCCATTTGCAGACTTTAAAGAGTGTTTCAAAACTGCTCTATCAAAAGAAAGATTAAACTATGTGAGTTGAACACACACATCACAAAGTAGTTTCTGAGAATGATTCTGTCTAGTTTTTCTATGAAGATATTTCCTTTTCTAAAATAGGCCTCAAAGCGCTCTAAATATCCAATTGCAAATTCTACAAAAAGAGTGTTTCCAAACTGCTCTATCAAAAGGAAGGTTGAAATTTCTGAGTTGAGTGCAGACAACACAAGGAAATTTCTGAGAATACTTCTGTCTACTTTTTATGTGAACATACTGCCGTTTCGAAAGAACGCCTAAAAGATATCCAAATATCCACTTGCAGACGTTACAAACAGAGCGTTTCAAAACTGCTCTATCAAAAGAAAGGTTAAACTCTGTGATTTGAACGAACACATCACAAAGCAATTTCTGAGAATGATTCTGTCTAGTTTTTATATGAAGATATTTCCTTTTATACCTTCAAAGCGCTCTAAATATCCACTTAGAAATTCTTCAAAAAGAGTGTTTCAAAACTGCTCTATCAAAAGTTAGGTTCAACTCTGTGAGTCGAATGCACACATCCAAAAAGTTTCTGAGAATTCTTCTGTGTAGCTTTTACGTGAAGAAATTCCTGTTTCCAACGAAGGCGTCAAAGAGGTCTAAGTATCCTCTTGCAGATTCTACAAAAAGAGTGTTTCAAAACTCCTCTATCAAAAGGAATGTTCACCTCTGTGAGTTGAATGCAAACATCACAAAGTTGTTTCTGAGAATGCTTCTGTCTAGTTTTTGTGTGAAGATATTTCCTTTTCTACCATAGGCCTCAAAGCGCTATAAATATACACTTGCAAATTCTACAAAAAGAGTGTTTCAAAAGTGTTATATCAAAAGAAAGCTTAAACTCTGTGAGTTGAAGGCACACATCACAAACTAGTTTCTGAAAATGATACTGTCTAGTTTTTATATGAAAATATTTCCTTTTCTACCATAGGCCTCAAAGGGCTCTAAATATCCACTTGGAAATTCTACAAAAAGAGTGTTTCAAAGCTGCTCTATTGAAAGGCACTTTCAAATCTCTGAGTTGAATGCACACATCACAAAGAAGTTTCTGAGAATACTTCTGTCTACTTTTTATGTGAAGATATTCCCGTTTTCAAAGAAGGCCTCAAAGCGCTACAAATATCTACTTGCAGAATTTACAATCAGAGTGTTTCAAAACTGCCCTAACAAAAGAAAGTTTAAATGGTGTGTGTTGAACGCACACATAACAATGTAGTTTCTGAGAATGATTCTGTCTAGTTTTCATATGAAGATATTTCCTTTTCTAACATACGCTTCAAAGCGCTCTAAATATCCAATTGCAGATTCTACAAAAAGAGTGTTTCAAAACTGCTCTATCAAACGGAACGTTGAATTCTGTGAGTTGAATGCAAACATTTCAAGGTAGTTTCTGAGAGTGCTTCTGTCTAGTTTTTATGTGAAGATATTTCCTTTTCTACCAGAGGCCTAAAAGCCCTGTAAATACACACTTGCCAATTCGGTGAAAACAGTGTTTCAAAACTGCTCTATCAAGAGAAAGGTCTTTTGATTGAACGCACACATCACAAGGTAGTTTCTGAGAATGATTCTGTCTAGTTTTTTATGAAGATATTTTTTTTTCTACCATAGGCCTCATTACGCTCTACATTTTCACTTGGAAATTCTACAAGAAGAGTGTATTGAAATTGCTCTATCGAAAGGAAGGTTTAACTCTGTGAGTTGAAGGCACACATCAAAAAGAAGTTTCTGAGAATTCTTCTGTCTAGTTTTATATGAAGAAATCTCGTTTCCAACGAAGGCCTCTAAGAGGTCCAAATATCCACTTGCAACCTTTACAAAAAGAGTGTTTCAAAACTGCTCTATCAAAAGGAAGGTTAAACTCTGTGAGTTGAACGCACACATTGCATAGTAGTTTCTGAGAATGATTCTGTCTAGTTTTTCTATGAAGATATTTCCTTTTGTAACATACGCCACAAAACACTCTAAATATCCACTTGCAAATTCTACAAAAAGGGTGTTTCAAAACTGCTCTATCAAAAGGATGGTTCAAATCTGTGAGTTGAATGCAGACATCACAAAGAAGTTTCTGAGAATACTTCTGTCTACTTTTTATGTGAATATACTCCTGTTTCCAAGAATGCCTCAAAGTGCTCCAAATATCCACTTGCAGCCTTTACAAACAGAGTGTTTCAAAACTGCTATAGCAAAAGAAAGATTAAACTCCGCAAGTTGAACGCACACATCACAAAGTAGTTTCTGAGAAAGATTCTGTCTAGTTTTTAGATGAGGATATTAACTTTTCTACCATACGTTTCAAAGTGCTCTTTATATCCACTTGGAAATTCTACAAAAAGAGGGTTTCAAAGCTGTTCTATGAAAAGGAAGTTTCAACTCTGTGAGTTGAATGCACACATCAAAAACTTTCTGAGAATTCTTCTGTCTAGTTTTTATGTGAAGAAATTCCCGTTTCCAATGAAGGCCTAAAATAGTTCCAAATATCCACTTGCAGATGTTACAAAACGAGTGTTTGAAAACTGTTCTATCAGGAGGAATGTTCAACTCTGTGTGTTGAATGCAAACATCAGAAATTAGTGTCTGAGAATGCTTCCCTCTAGTTTTTTGTGAAATTTCCTTTTCTACCATAGGCCTCAAAACACTCTAAATATACACCTGCAAATTCTACAGAAAGGCTGTTTCAAAACTACTCTATCAAAAGAAAGGTTAAACTCTGTGAGTTGAACGCACACATCACGAAGTAGTTACTGAGAATGATTCTGTCTAGTTTTTCTATGAAGATATTTCCTTTTCTAGCATAGGCCTCAAAGCCCTCTAAAGATCCGCTTGGAAATTCTACAAAAAGGCTGTTTCAAAACTGCTCTATCAAAAGAAAAGTTAAACTCTGTGAGTTGAACACACACATCACAAAGTAGTTACTGAGAATGATTCTGTCTAGTTTTTCTATGAAGATATTTCCTTTTCTAACATAGGCTTCAAAGCGCTCTAAATATCCACTTGGAAATTCTACAAAAAGACTGTTTCAAAACTGCTCTATCGAAAGGAAGGTTCAACTCTGTGAGCTGAATGCAAACATCACAATAAGTTTCTCAGAATTCTTTGGTCTAGTTTTACATGAAGAAATCTCATTTCCAACGAAGGCCTCAAAAAAGTTGAAAATATCCCCTTTCAGATATTACAAAAAGAGTGTCTGAAAACTGCTCTATCAAGAGGAAAGGTCAACTCTGTAAGTTGAATGCAAACATCACCAAGTAGTTTCAGAGAAGGTTTCTGTCTAGTTTTTATGTGAAGATATTCCCTTATCTATCATAGGCCTCAAAGCGCTCTAAATATACACTTGCAAATTCCACAAAAAGAGCGTTTCAAAACTGCTCTATCAAAGGAAGGTTAAACTTTGAGAGTTGAACTCACACATCACAAAGTAGTTTCTGAGAATGATTCTGCCAAGTTTTTCTATGAAGATATTTCCTTTTCTACCATAGGTTTCAAACTGCTCTAAATATCCACTTGGAAATACTACAAAAAGAGTGTTTCAAATCTGCTCTATTGAAAGGAAGGTTCAACCCTGTGAGTTGAATGCAAACATCACAAAGAAGTTTCTGAGAATTCTTCTGTCTAGTTTTATACGAAGAAATCCCATTTCCAACGAAGGCCTCAAAAAGTTCCAAATATCCACTTGCAGATTCCACAAAAAGAGTGTTTCAAAACTGCTCTATCAAGAAGAATGTTCAACTCTGTGAGTTGAATGCAAACATCACAAAGTAGTTTCTGACAATGATTCTGTCTAGTTTTAATAGGAAGATATTTCCTTTTCTACCATTGGCCTCAAAGCGCTCTAAATATACACTCTCAAATTCAACAAAAAGAGTGTTTCAAAACTGCTGTATCAAAAGAAAAGTTAAACTATGAGAGTTAAACGCACACATCACAAAGTAGTTTCTGAGAATGATTCTGTCTAATTTTATATGAAGACATTTCCATTTCAACCATAGGCTTCAAAGCGCTCTAAATATCCACTTGCAAATTCTAGAAAAAGAGGGTTTCAAAACTGGTCTATCAGAAGGAAGTTTCGACTGTGTGCAGCCATCATGAAGAAGTTTCTGAGAATACTTCTGTCTACTTTTTATGTGAAGACATTCCCGTTTCCAAAGAAGGCCTCAAAGCGCTCCAAATATCCACTTCCAGACATTGCAAACAGAGTGTTTCAAAACTACTCTATCAAAAGAAAGGTTAAACTCTGTGAGTTGAAAGCACACATCACAAAGTAGTTTCTGAGAATGATTCTGTCTGTTTTTTATATGAAGATATTTACCTTTCTAACATAGGCTTCAAAGCAATCTAAATATTCACTTAGAAATATTACAAAAAGAGTGTTTCAAAACTGATCTATCAAAACAAATGTTGATCTCTGTGAGTTGAATGCAAACATCCCCAAGTAGTTTCTAAGAATGCTTCTGTCTAGTTTTTATGTGAAGATATTCCCTTTTCTACCGTAGGCCTCAAAGCCCTCTAAATACACACTTGCAAATACTACAAAAAGAGCGTTTCAAAACTGCTCTATCAAAAGCAAGGTTAAAGTCTGTGGGTTGAACGGACACATCACAAAGTAGTTTTTGAGAATGATTCTGTCTGGTTTTTCTGTGAAGATATTTCCTTTTCTACAATTGACCTCAAAGCGCTGTAAATATTCACTTGGAAATTCTAGAAAAAGAGTGTTTCAAACTGCTCTTACCAAAGGGGGGTTCAAATCTGTGAGTAGAATGCACACATCACAAAGAAGTTTCTGTGAATTCTTCTGTCTAGTTTTTATATGAAGAAATTTCTGTTTCCAACGAAGGCCTCAAAGAGGTCCAAATATCCACTTGCAGATACTACAAAAAGAGTATTTCAAAACTGCTCTATCAAGAGGATGTTCAACTCTGTGAGTTGAATGCAAACATCAAAAAGTAGTTTCTGACAATGCTTTTGTGTAGTTTTTATGTGAAGATATTTCATTTTCTACCATAGGCCTCAAAGCGCTCTAAATATACACTTGCAAATTCTACAAAAAGAGTGTTTCAAAACCTGCTCTATCAAAAGAAAGTTTAAACTCTGTGAGTTGAACGCACACATCATAAAGTAGTTTCTGAGAATGCTTCTGTGTAGTTTTTCTATGAACATATTTACTTTTCCACCATGGGCCCCGAAGCACTCTAAATATCCAATTGCAAACACTACAAAAAGTGTGCTTCAAAACTGCTCTATCAAAAGGAAGGTTAAAATCTGTGAGTTCAGTGCAGACATCACAAAGAAGTTTCTGAGAAAACTTCTGTCTACTTTTTATGTGAAGATATTCCCGTTTCCAAAGAAGGACTCAAAGGGCTCCAAATACCCACTTGCAGACTTACAAACAGATTGTTTCAAAACTACTCTATCAAAAGAAAAGTTAAACTCTGTGAGTTGAATGCCCACATCACAAAGTGGTTTCTGAGCATGATTCTGTCTAGTTTTCATATGAAGATATTTCCTTTTCTATCATAAGCTTGAAAGCGCTCTAAGTATACACTTGGAAATTCTACAAAAAGAGTTTTTCAAAACTGCTCATAGAAAGGAAGGTTCAACTCTGTGAGTTGAATGCCCATAATACAAAGATGTTTCTGAGAATTCTTCTGTCTAGTTTTATGTGAAGAAATCCCGTTTCAAACGAAGGCCACAAAAAGGTCCAATTATCCACATGTGAATTCTACAGAGTGCTTCCAACTTGCTCTATCAAGAGGAATGTTCAACTCTCTGAGTTGAATGCACACATCACAAAGAAGTTTCTGAGAATCCTTCTGTCTAGATTTATATGAAGAAATCCCGTTTTCAATGAAGGCCTGAAAATGATCAAAATATACACTTGCAGATACTACAAAAAGAGTGTCTCAAAACTGCTCTATCAAGAGGAATGTTCAACTCTGTGAGTTGAATGCAAACATCACAAAGTAGTTTCTGAGAATGCCTCTGTCTAGTTTTTGTGGAAAGGTATTTCCTTTTCTACCATAGGCCTCAAAGCGTTCTAAATATACATTTGCAAATTCTACAAAAAGAGTGTTTCAAAACTGCTCTATCAAAAGAAAGGTTAAACTCTGTGAGATGAATGCACACATCACGAAATAGTTTCTGAGATTGGGTCTGTGTAGTTTTTCTATGAACGTATTTACTTTTCCACCATAGGCCACAAAGAGGTCCAAATATACACTTGCAGATTCTACAAAAAGAGTGTATCAAAACTGCAGTATCAAAAGAAATGTTGAACTCTGCGTTGAATGCACACATCACAAAGTAGTTTCTGAGAATGCTTCTGTCTAGTTTTTATGTGAAGATATTTCCTTTTCTATCATAGGCCTCAAAGCCCTCTAAAAACACACATGCAAATTCTACAAAAAGAGCGTTTTCAAAACTGCTCTATCAAAAGAAAGGTTAAACTCTGTGAGTTGAACGCACACATCACAAATAGTTTCTGAGAATGATTCTGTCTAGTTTTTCTATGAAGATATTTCCTTTTCTAACACAGGCCTCCAAGTGCTCTAAATATTCACTTGGAAATTCTAAAAAAAGAGTGTTTCAAAACTGCTCTATCGAAAAGAAAGTTCAACTCTGTGAGTTGAATGCCCAAATCACAAATAAGTTTCTGAGAATTCTTCTGTCTAGTTTTATATGAAGAAATCCCGTTTCCAACGAAGGCCTCAAAGAGGCCCAAATATCCACTAGCAGATACTACAAAAAGAGTGTTTCAAAACTGCACTATCAAGAGGAATTTTCAACACTCTGAGTTGAATGCAAACATCACGAACTAGTTTCTGACAATGCTTCTGTCTAGTTTTTATGTGAAGGTATTACCTTTTCTACCATAGGCCTCAAAACGTTCTAAATATACACTTGCAAATTCCACAAAAAGAGTGTTTCAAAATTGCACTATCAAAAGAAAGGTTAAACTCTGTGAGATGAACGCACACATCACAAAGAAGTTTCTGAGAATTCTTCTGTGTAGTTTTTCTATGAACATATTTCCTTTTCCACCATAGGCCACAAAGCACTCTAAATATCCACTTGCAAATTCTGCAGAAAGAGTGTTTCAAAAATACTCTATCAAAAGGAAGTTTCAACTCTGTGAGTTGAATGCAGACATCACAAAGAAGTTTCTGAGAATACTTCTGTCTACTTTTTATGTGAAAATACTCCCGTTTCCAAAGAAGGCTTCAAAGCGCTCCAAAAGTCTGCTTGCAGACTTTTCAAATAGAGTATTTCAAAACTGCTCTATCAAAAGAAAGGTTACACTCTGCGTGTCGAACACACACATCACAAAGTAGTTTCTGAGAATGATTCTGTACAGTTTTTATATGAAGATATTCCCTTTTCTAACATAGGCCTCAAAGGGCTCTAAATATCCACTTGCAAATTCTACAAAAAGAGTGTTTCAAAACTGCTCTTTCAAAAGGAAGGTTGAACTCTGTGAGTTGAGTGCAGACATCACAAAGAAGTTTCTGAGAATGCTTCTGTCTAGTTTTTATGTGAAGACATTTCCCTTTCTACCATAGGCCTCCAAGCCCTCTAAATACACACTTGCAAATTCTACAAAGAGTGTTTCAAAAATGCTCTATCAAAAGGAAGGTTCAATTCTGTGAGTTGAGTGCAGACATCACCAAGAAGTTTCTGAGAATACTTCTGTCTAGTTTTACATGAAGAAATCCCTTTCCCAAAGAAGGCCTCAAAGAGGTCAAAATATCCACTTGCAGATTCTACAAAAAGAGTGTTTCAAAACTTCTCTAACCAGAGGTGTGTTCAACAGTGTGAGTTCAATGTGCACATCGCAGTGAAGTTTCTGGGAATTCTTCTGTCTAGTTTTATATGAAGAAAATCCCGTTTGCAAAGTAGACCTCAAAGAGGTCCAAATATCCACTTGCAGAATCAACAAAAAGAGTGTTTAAAAACTGCTCTATCAATAAAAATGTTCACCTTCATGAGTTGAGTGCAAACATCACAAAGTAGTTTCTGAGAATGCTTCTGTCTAGTTTTTATGTGAAGATATTTCCTTTTCTATCATAGGCCTCAAAGCGCTCTATATATCCACCTGCAGATTCTACAAAAACAGTGTTTCCAAACTTCTCTATTAAAACGAATGTTCAACCCTGTGAGTTGAATGCAAACATCAGAAAGAAGTTTCTGAGAATGCTTCTGCCTAGTTTTTATGTGAAGATATTTCCTTTTCTACCATAAGACTCAAAGCACTAAATATACATTTGCAAATTCTACAACAAGAGTGTTTCAAAACTGCACTATCAAAAGAAAGGTTAATCTCTGTGAGTTGAATGCACACATCACAAAATAGTTTCTGAGAATGGTTCTGTCTAGTTTTTCTATGAAGATATATCCTTTTCTACCATACGCATCAAAGCGCTATAAATATACCCTTGGAAATTCTACAAAAAGAGTGTTTCAAAACTGCTATATTGAAAAGAATTTTCAGCTCTGTGAGTTGAATGCACAACACAAAGAAGTTTCTCAGAATTCTTCTGACTAGCTTTTATGTAAAGAAATTCCCGTTCCAAAGAAGGCCTCAAAGAGGTCCAAATATCCACTTGCAGATTCTACTAAAAGAGTGTTTCAAAACTGTTCTACCAAGAGGAATGTTGAACTCTGTGGGTTGAATGCAAACATCACAAAGTAGTTTCTGAGAACGCTTCTGTCTAGTTTTTTTATTAACATACTTCCTTTTCCACCATAGGCCCATAAGAGATCTAAATATCCACTTGCAAATTCTACAAAAAGAGTGCTTCAAAACTGCTCTATCAAAAGAAAGGTTAAACTCTGTGAGATGAGTGCAGACATCACAATGAAGTTTCTGAGAATACTTCTGTATTCTTTTTATGTAAAGATACTACCGTTTCTGAAGAAGGTCTCAAAGAACTCCAAATATCCACTTACAGACTTTACAAACAGAGTTTTTCAAAATTGCTCTATCAAAAGAAAGTTTAAACTCTGTGAGTTGAACACACACATCACTAAGTAGTTTCTGAGAATGACTCTGTCTAGTTTTTATATGAAGACATTTCCTTTTCTAACACAGACCTCCAAGCGCTCTAAATATTCACTTGGAAATTCTACAAAAAGTGTGTTTCAAAACTGCTCTATCGAAGGGTAGGTTCAACTCTGTGAGTGGAATGCGGACATGAAAAAGAAGTTTCTGAGAATTCTGTCTAGTTTATATGAAGAAATCCCATCTCCAACGAAGGCCTCAAAGAGGTCCAAATATCAACTTGCAGATTCCACAAAAAGAGTGTTTCAAAACTGCTCTATCAAAAGGAAGGTTCAACTCTATGAGTTGAGTGCAGACATCACGAAGTTTCTGAGAATATTTCTGTCTACTTTTTATGTAAAGATATTCCCTTTTCCAAAGAAGGCCTCAAAGCAGTACAAATATCTACTTGCAGATATTACAAACAGAGTGTTTCAAAACTGCTCTACCAAATGAAAGGTTAAACTCTGTGAGTTGAACGCACTCATCACAAAGTAGTTTCTGAGAATGATTCTGTCTACTATTAATATGAGGATATTTCCTTTTCTACCATAGGCTTCAAAGAGCTCTAGTTATCCACTTGGAGATTCTACAAAAACTGTGTTTCAAAACTGCTCTATCAACAGGAAATTTCAACTCTCTGAGTTAAATGTACATATTACAAAAAGTTTCTGAGAAAAGTTCTTCTGTTAAGTTTTTATGTGAAGAAATTCACGTTTCCAACGAAGGACTCAAAGAGGTGCAAATATCCACTTGCATATTCTACAAAAAGACTGTTTCAAAACTGCTCTATCAAAAGAAATGTTGAACTCTGTGAGATAAATGCAAACATCACAAAGTAGTTTCTGATAATGTTTCTGTCTAGTTTTTTTATGAGCATATATTCTTTTCCACCATAGGTCTCAAAGCACTCCAAATATCCACTTGCAGACTTAATAAACAGTGTTTCAAAACTGCTCTATCAAAAGAAAGGTTAAACTCTGTGAGTTGAACGCACACATCACAAAGTAGTTTCTGAGAATTCTTCTGTCTTGTTTATATGAAGAATTTCCATTTCCTACAAAGGCCTCAAAGAGGCCCAAATATGCACTTGCAGATTCTACTAAAAGACGGTTTCAAAAACTGCTCAATCAAAAGGAATGTTAAACTCTGTGTTGAATGCAAACATCACAAATTAGTTTCTGAGAATGCTTCTGTCTAGCTTTTACATAAAGATACTTCCTTTTCGACCATCTGTCTCAAAGCCCTCTAAATGCACAATTGCAAATTCTACAAAAAGAAGATTTCAAAATTGCTCTATCAAAAGAAAGGTTAAATTGTGTGAGTTGAATGCACACATCACAGTGTAGCTTCTGAGAATGATTCTGTCTAGTTTTTCTATGAAGATATTTCCTTTTCTACCGCAGGCCTCCAAGCGCCCTAAATATTCAGTTGGAAAGTATATAAAAAGTGTGTTTCACAACTGCTCTATCTAAAGGAAGGTTCAACTCTGTGAGTTCAATGCACACATCACAAAGAAGTTTCTGAGAATTCTTCTGTCTAGTTTTATATGAATTAATCCCGTTTGCAACGTAGGCCTCAAAGAGGTCCAAATATCCTCTTGCAGATTCTACAAAAAGAGTGTTTCAAAACTGCTCTATCAAGAGGAATGTTCAACTCCGTGAGTTGAATGCAAACATCACAAAGTAGTTTCTGACAATGCTTCTGTCTAGTTATTTAGTGAACATATTTCATTTTCTACCATAGGCCTCAAAGCGCTCTAAATATACACTTGCAAATCCTACAAAAAGAGTGTTCCATAACGGCTCTACCGAAAGAAAGGTTCAACTCTGTGAGTGAGTGCAGACATCTTAAAGAAGTTTCTGCGAATACTTCTGTCTACTTTTTATGTGAAGATACTCCCCTTTCCAAAGAAGGGCTCTAAGCGCTCTAAATATCTACTTCCAGACTTTAAAATCAGAGTGTTTCAAAACTGCTCTCTCAAAAGAAAGGTTAAATTCTGTGAGTTGAACTCATACATCACAAAGTAGTTTCTGAGAATTCTTCTGTCTTGTTTTATATGAAGCAATCCCGTTTCCAACGAAGGCCTCAAAGCGCTCCAAATATCCATTTGCAGATCCTACAAAAAGAGTGTTTCAAAACTGCTCTACCAAGAGGAATGTTGAACTCTGTGAGTTGAATGCAAACATCACAAAGAAGTTTCTGAGAATGCTTCCGTCTAGTTTTTACATGAAGATATTTCCTTTTCTACCATAGGCCTCAAAGCACTCTAAATATACACTTGCAAATTCTACGAAAAGAGTGTTTCTAAACTGTTCTATCAAAAGAAATTTAAATTCTGTGAGTTGAACGCACACATCACAAAGTAGTTTCTGAGAATGCTTCCGTCTAATTTTTACATGAAGATATTTCCGTTTCTACCATAGGCCTCAAAGCACTCTAAATATACACTTGCAAATTCTACAAAAAGAGTGTTTCAAAACTGTTCTATCAAAAGAAATTTAAATTCTGTGAGTTGAACGCACACATCACAAAGCAGTTTCTGAGAATGATTCTGTCTAGTTTTTCTATGAAGATATTTTCTTTTCTACAACAGACCTCAAAAAGCTCAAAATATCCACTGAGAAATTCTACAAAAAGAGTGTTTCAAAACTGCTCTATCAAAAGGAACGTTCAAATCTCTGAGTTCAATGCAAACATCACATAGAAATTTCAGAAAATTCTTCTGTCTAGTTTTTATATGAAGAAACTCCCTTTTCCAACGAAGGCCTCAAAGAGGTCCATATATCCACTTACAGATTCTATAAAAAGAGTGTTTCAAAACTGCTTTATCAAGAGGAATGTTCAACTCTGTGAGTTGAATGCAAACATAACAAAGTAGGTTCTGAGAACGCTTCTGTCTAGTTGTTATGACAGGATATATCCTTTTCTACCATAGGCCTCAAAGCACTCTAAATATACAGTTGCAAATACGACCAAAAGAGTGTTCCAAAGCTGCTCTATCAAAAGAAAGGTTACACTCTGTGAGTTGAACGCACACATCACAAGATAATTTCTGAGAATGATTCTGTCATTTTTCTATGAAGATATTACCTTTTATAACATTTGCCTCAAAGCGCTCTAAATATCCACTTGTAAATTCTAGAAAAATAGTGTTAGAAAACTGCTCTATCCAAAGGAAGTTTCAACTCCGTGAGTTGAATGCACACATCACAAAGAAGTTTCTGAGAATTCTTCTGTTTTGTTTTAGCTGAAGAAATTCCCGTTTCCAACGAAGGCCTCAAAGAGGTCCATATATCCACTTACAGATTCTCTAAAAAGAGTGTTTCAAAACTGATCTATCAAGAGGAATGTTCATTTCTGTGAGCTGAATGCAAACATCACTAAGTAGGTTCTGAGAATGCTTCTGTCTAGTTGTTTGACAAGATACTTCCTTTTCTACCATAGGCCTCAAAGCCCTCCAAATATACACTTGGAAATTCTACAAAAAGAGTGTTTCAAAACTGCTCTATCAAAAAGAAGGTTAAACCATGTGAGTTGAAGGCACACGTCACAGAGTAGTTTCTGAGACTGATTCTGCCTCGTTTTTATATGAAGATATTTACTTTTCTAACATAGGCCTCCAAGCGCTCTAAATATTCAATTGGAAATTCTACAAAAAGAGTGTTTCAAAACTGCTCTATGAAAAGGAAGTTTCAACTCTGTGAATTGAATGCACACATCACAAAACGTTTCTGAGAATTCTTCGGTCTAGTTTTTATGTGTAGAAATTCGTTTCCAACGAAGGCCTCAAAGAGGTGCAAATATCCACTTGCAGATTCTACAAAAGAGTGTTTCAACACTGCTCCATCAAAAGGAATGTTAAACTCTGTGAGTTGAATGCAAACATCTCAAAGTAGCTTCTGATAATGCTTCACTCTAGTTTTTATGTGAACATATTTCCTTTTCTACCATAGGCCGCAAAGCCCTCTAAATACACACTGGCACAAAAAAAGCATTTCAAAACTGCTCTACAGAAGAAAGGTCAAACTCTGTGAGTTTAATGCACACATCACAAAGTAGTTTCTGAGAATGATTCTGTCCAGTTTTTCTAGAAGATATTTCCTTTTCTACGGTAGGCCTCCAAGTGATCTAAATATTCACTTGGAAATACTACAAAAAGAGTGTTTCAAAACTGCCCTATCGGAAGTAGGTTCAACACTGTGAGTTGAATGCACACGTCACAAAGAAGTTTCTGAGAATTCTTCTGTCTAGTTTTATATGAAGAAATCACGTTTCCAACGAAGGCCTGAAAGAGGTTCAAATATTCACTTGCAAATTCTGCAAAAAGAGTGTTTCAGAACTGCTCTATCAAGAGCAATATTCAACTCTGTGAGTTGAATGCAAACATCACAAAGTAGGTTCTGAGAATGCTTCCGTCTAGTTTTTGTATGAAAATATTCCCTTTTCTACCGTAGGCCTCAAAGCGCTCTATATATACACTTGCAAATTCTACAGAAAGAGTGTTTCAAAACTAGTCTATCAAAAGGAAGGTTAACCACGTGAGTTAAACGCACACATCACAGAGTACTTTCTGAGAATGATTCTGCCTTGTTTTTATATGAAGATATTTACATTTCTATCATAGGCCTCCAAGTGCTCTTAATATTCTCTTGGAAATTCTACAAAAAGAGTGTTTCAAAACTGCTCTATCAAAAGAAAGGTTAAACTCTGAAAGTGAAACGAACACATCACCATGAAGTTTCTGTTAATGCTTCTGTCTAGTTTTATAAGAAGAAATCCCCTTTCCAACGAAGGCCTCAAAGAGTTCCAAATATGCACTTGCAGCTTCTACAAAAAGAGTGTTTCAAAACTGCTCTATCAAAGGAAAGTTTAAACTCTGTGAGCTGAACGCACACATCACAAAGTAGTTTCTGAGAATGATTCTGTCTAGTTTTTATATGAAGATATTTCCTTTTCTAACATAGGTCTCAAAGTGCTCTAAATATCCACTTCAAATTCTACAAAAAGAGTTTTTCAAAACTGCTCTGTCAAAAGGAATGTTCAACTCTGTGAGTTGAGTGCAGACATCACAAAGAAGTTTCTGAGAATACTTCTGCCTACTTTTTATGTGAAGATATTCCTGTTTCCAAAGAAGGCCTCAAAGCGTTCCAAATATTCACTTGCAGACATTACAAACAGAGTGTTTCGACACTGCTCTATCAAAGGAAAGGTTAAACTCTGTGAGTTGAACGCACACATCACAGAGTAGTTTCTGAGAATGATTCTGTCTAGATTTTATATGAAGATATTTCTACCATAGGCTTCAAAGCGCTCTAAATATTCACTTGGAAATTCTAAAAAAAAGAGTGTTTCAAAACTGCTCTATCGAAAGGGAGATTCAACTCTCTGAGTTGAATGCACACATCACAAAGAAATTTCTGAGAAATCTTTTGTCTAGATTTATATGAAAAAATCCCGTTCCTAATGAAGGCCTCAAAGAGGTCTAAATATCCAGTTGTAGATTCTTCAAAAAGATTGTTTCAAAACTGCTCTCTCAATAGGAATGTTCAACTCTGTGAGTTGAATGCAAACATTACAAAGTAGTTTCTGAGAATTCTTCCATCTTGTTTATATATGAAGATATTTCCTTTTATACCATAGGCTTCCAAGAACTCTAAATATACACTTGCAAACTCTACAAAAAGAGTGTTTCAAAACTGCTCTATAAAAGAAAGGTTAAACTCTGTGAGTTGAATGCACACATCACAAAATAATTTCTGAGAATGATTCTGTGTAGTTTTTCTATGAACTTATTTCCTTTTCTACCATAGGCCTCCAAGCGCTCTAAATATCCACTTGGAAATTCTACAAAAAGAGAGTATCAAACTACTCTATCGAAAGGAAGTTTCAACTCTGTGAATTGAATGCACACAACACAAAGAAGTTTCTGAGAATTCTTCTGTCTAGATTTATATGAAGAAATGCCCATTTCCAACTAAGGCCTCAAAGACGTCAATATATCCAGTTGCAGATACTTCAAAAAGAGTGTTTCAAAACTCCTCTATCAATAGGAATTTTCAATTCTGTGAGTTGAATGCAAACGTCACAATGTAGTTTTTGAGAATGCTTCTGTCTAGTTTTTATGTGAAGATATTTCCTTTTCTACCATAGGCCTCAAAGCGCTCTAAATATAACCTTGCAAATTCTACATAAAGTGTGTTTCAAAACTGCTCTATCAAAAGAAAGCTTAAACTCTGTGAGTTGAACGCACACTTCACAAAATAGTTTCTGAGAATGATTCTGTGTAGTTTTTATATGAAGATATTACTTTTTCAACCGTAGGCTTCCAAGCGCTCTAAATATTCACTTGGAAATTCTACCAAAAGAGTGTTTTGAAACTGCTGTATCGAAATGCAGGTTCAATTCTGTGAGTTGAAAGCACACAGCACAAAGAAGTTTCTGAGAATTCTTCTGTCTACTTTTATATGAAGAAATCCCGTTTTCAATGAAGTCCTCAAAGAGATCAAAATATCCACTTGCAGATTACACAAAAAGAGTGTTTCAGAACTTCTCTATCTGGAGAAATATTCAACTCTGTGAGGTGAATGCAAACATCAAAAAGTAGTTCCTGAGAATGCTTCTGTCTAATTTTTATATGAAGATATTTCCTTTTCTACAGTAGTCCTCAAAGCACTCTAAATATACACATGCCAATTCTACAAAAAGAGTGTTAAAAGACTGTGCTATCAAAAGAAAGGTTAAGCTCTGTGAGTTGAAGGCACACATCACAAAGTAGTTTCTGAGCATGATTCTGTCTCGTTTTTATATGAAGATATATTCTTTTATAGCTTAGGTCTCAAAGCACTCTAAATACCCACTTGGAAATTCTACGAAAAGAATGTTTCAAAACGGCTCTATCGAAAGAAACGTTCAGCTCTCTGAGTTGAATGCACACATCACAAAGAATTTTCTGAGAATTTTTCTGTATAGTTTTTATATGAAGAAATTCACGTTTCCAAGGAAGGTCTCAAAGAGGTCCAAATATACACTTGCAGATTCTACAAAAAGAGTGTTACAAAACTGCTCTATCAAAAGGAATGTTCAACTATGTGAGTTGAATGCAAACATCAGAAAGTATTTTCTCAGAATGATTCTGCGTAGTTTTTCTATGAAGATATTTCCTTTTCTACCATAGGCCCAGAAGCGCTGTAAATATCCACTTGCAAATTCTACAAAAAGAGTGTTTCAAATCTGCTCTATCAAAAGGAAGGTTAAATTCTGTGAGTTGAGTGCAGACATCACAAAGAAGTTTCTCAGAATTCTTCTGTCTACTTTTTATGTGAAGATACTTCCGCTTCCAAAGAAGGCCTCAAAGCACACCAAATATCCACTTTCAGACTTTACAAGCAGAGTGTTTCAAAACTGCTCTATTAAAAGAAAGGTTAAACTCTGTGAGTTGGACGCACACATCACAAGGCAGTTTCAGAGAATGATTCTGTCTAGTTTTTCTGTGAAGATATTTCCTTTTCTACCATAGGCTTCAAAGTGCCCTAAATATCCTTTTGGAAATTCTACACAAAGAGTGTTCCAAAACTGCTCTATCAAAAGGAAGGTTCAAACTGCGAGTTGAATGCACACATCACAAAAAGTTTCTGAGGATTCTTCCGTCTAGTTTTTATGTGAAGAAATTCCCGTTTCCAAGGATGGCCTCAAAGTGGTCCAAATATCCACTTGCAGATTATTCAAAAAGAGTGTTTCAAAGCTGCTTTATCAACAGGAATGTTCAAATCTGGGAGTTCAATGGAAACATCACAAAGTAGTTTCTGAGAATGCTTCCATCTAGTTTTTATATGAAGATATTTCGTTTTCTACCATAGGCCTCCAAGCACTCTAAATATACAACAGCAAACTATAGAAAAAGAGTGTTTCAAAACTGCTCTATCAAAAGAAAGGTTAAACTGTGAGTTGAAGACACACATCACAAAGTAGTTTCTGAGAATGATTCCGTGTAGTTTTTCTATGAAGATATTTCCTTTTCTACCATAGGCCTCCAAGTGCTCTAGTTATCCACTTGGAAATTCTACAAAAAGAGTGTATCAAAACTGCTCTATCGAAAGGAAGAGTCAACTCTGTGAGTTGAATGCACACATCACAAAGAAGTTTCTGAGATTCTTCTTTCTAGTTTTATATGAAGAAATCCCATTTCCAGCGAAGTCCTCAAAGAGGTCCAAGTATCCAATTGAAGATTCTACAAAAAGAGTGTTTCAAAACAGTTCTATCAAGAGGAATGTTCAACTCTGTGAGTTGAAAGCAAACATCAAAAACTAGTTTCTGAGAATGCTTCTGTATAGTTTTTATGTGAAGATATTTCCTTTTCTACCATAGGCCTCAAAGCGCTCTAAATATAATATTGCAAATTCTAGAAAAAGAGTGTTTCAAAACTGTTCTAAGAAATGTTAAACTCTGTGAGTTGAACGCACACATCACAAAGCAGTTTCTGGGAATGATTCTGTCTATTTTTTCTATGAAGATATTTCCTTTTCTACCAAAGGCTTCAAACCGCTCTAAAAATCCACTTTGAAATCCCACATAAAGATTTTTTCAAAACTGCTCTATCAAAAGGAAGGTTCAACTCTGTGAGTTGAATGCACACATCAGAAAAAGTTTCTGATAATTCTTCTGTCTAGTTTTTATGTGAAGAAATTCCCGTTTCCAACGAAGGCCTCTAAGAGATCCAAATATCCACTTGCAGATTATACAAAAATAGTGTTTCAAAACTGCTCTATCAAAAGGAATGTTGAACTCTGTGAGTTGAATGCAAACATCACAAAGTAGTATCTGAGAATGCGTCTGTCTAGTTTTTATGTGAAGATACTTCCTTTTCTACCATAGGCGTCAAAGCCGCCTAATTACACTCTTGCAAATTCCACAAAAACAGCGTTTCAAAACTGCTCTATCAAAAGAGAGTTTAAACTATGTGAGTTGAACGCACACATCACAAAGTAGTTCCTGAGAATGATTCTGTATAGTTTTTATATGAAGATATTTCCTTTTCTACCATAGGACTCAAAGCGCTCTAAATATCCACTTGGAAATTCTACAAAAAGGGTGTTTCAAATCTGCTCTATCAAAAGGAAATTTCAACTCTGTGAGTTGAGTGCAGACATCACAAAGTAGTTCCTGAGAATACTTCTGTCTACTTTTATGTGAAGATACTCCCTTTTCCAAAGAAGGCCCCAAAACGCTCCAAATATACACTTGAAGACTTTACAAAAAGAGAGTTTCAAACCTGCTCTATCTAAAGAATGGTTAATCTCTGTGAGTAAAATGCACACATCACAAAGTACTTTCTGTGAATGACTCTGTGTAGTTTTCCTATGAAGATGTTTCCTTTTCTACCATAGCCCTCAAAGGGCTCTAAATACATACTTGCTAATTCTACAAAAAGAGTGTTTCAAAACTGCTCAATCAAAAGAAAGGTTAAACTCTGTGACTTGAACGCACACATCACAAAGTAGTTTCTGATAATGATTCTGTCTAGTTTTTCTACGAAGATATTTCCTTTTCTGCCATAGGCCTCAAAGTGCTCTAAATATCCACTTGGAAATTCAACGAATTGAGTGTTTCAAAACGGCCCTATCGAAAGGAATGTTCCACTCTGTGAGTTGAATGCACATATCACAAAGAAGTTTCTGAGAATTCTTCTGTCTAGTTTTTATATGAAGAAATTCCCGTTTCCAACGAATGCCTCAAAGAGGTCCAAATATACACTGGCAGATTCTGCAAAAAGAGAGTTACAAAACTTCCCTATCAAAAAGAATGTTCAACTCTGTGAGTTGAATACAAACATTAAAAAGAAGTTTTTCAGAATGCTTCTGTATAGTTTTGCTACGAAGATATTTCCTTTTCTACCACAGGCCCCAAAGTGCTCTAATTATCCACTTGCATATTCTACAAAAAGAGTATTTCAAAACTGCTTTATCAAAAGGAAGGTTCAGCTCTGTGAGTTGAGTGCAGACATCACAGTGAAGTTTCTCAGAATACTTCTGTCTACTTTTTATGTGAAGATACTCCCGTTTCAAAAGAAGGCCTCAAAAAGCTCCAAATATCCACTTGCAGACTTTACAAACAGAGTGTTTCAAAACTACTCTATCAAAAGAAAGGTTAAACTCTGTGAGTTGAATGCACATATCACAAAGTAGTTTCTGAGAATGATTCTGTCCAGTTTTTATATGAAGATATTTCCTTTTCTACCATAGGCCTCAAAGCGCTCTAAATATCCCCTTGCAAATTCTACAAAGAGAGTGTTTCAAAACTGCTCTATCAAAAGGATAGCCCATTGCAGTGAGCCGAGATTGCGCCACTGCAGTCCGCAGTCCGGCCTGGGCGACAGAGCGAGACTCCGTCTCAAAAAAAAAAAAAAAAAAAAAAAAAAAAAAAAGGATAGCTCAATTCTGTGTGTTGAGTGCAGACATGACAAAGAAGTTTCTGAGAATACCTCTGTCTACTTTTTATGTGAAGATATTCCCGTTTCCAATGAAGGCTTCAAAGTGCTCCAAATATCCACTTGCAGACTTTACAAACAGAGTGTTACCGAACTTCTACATAAAAAGAAAGGTTATACTCTGTGAGATGAACGCACACATCACAAAGTAGTTTCTGAGAATGATTCTGTCTAGTTTTCTACGAAGATATTTTCTTTTCTACCATAAGAATCAAAGTGCTCTAAATATCCACTTGGAAATTCTTCAAAAAGAGTGTTTCAAAACTGCCCTCTCAAAAGGAATGTTGAACGCTGTGAGTTGAATGCAAACATCACAAAGTAGTTTCTGAGAATATTTCTGTCTAGTTTTTATGTGAACATATTTCCTTTCTACCATAGGCCTCAAAGCCCTATAAATACACACTTGCAAATTCTACAAAAAGAGTGTTTAAAAACTATTCTATCAAAAGAAAGGATAAACTCTGTGCATTGAGCACACACTTCACAAAGTAGTTTATGAGAAAGATTCTGTCTAGTTTTTCTATGAAGATATTTCCTTTTCTACTATAGGCCTCAAAGAGCTCTAAATATCCAATTGGAAATTCTACAAAAAGAGTGTTTCCAAAGTGCTCTATCAAAAGGAAGGTTCAACTCTGTGAGTTGAATGCACACATTACAAAAAGTTTCTGAGAAATCTTCTGTCTAGTTTATATGTGAAGAAATTCCCGTTTCCAATGAAGGCCTCAAAGAGGTCCAAATAGACACTTGCAGATTCTTCAAAAAGAGTGTTACAAAACTGCTCTATCAAAAGAAATGTTAAACTCTGTGAGTGTAACGCACACATCACAAAGTCGTTTCTGAGAATGATTCTGTCTAATTTTTCTATGAAGATATTTCCTTTTTTACCATAGGCCTCAAAGTGCCCAAAATATTCACTTGGAAATTCTACAAAAAGAGTGTTTCAAAACTGCTCTATCAAAAGGAAGTTTCAACTCTGTGAGTTGAATGCACACATCACAAAGAAGTTTCTGAGAATTCTTCTGTCTAGTTTTATATGAAGAAATCCCATTTCCAACGAAGGCCTCAAAGAGTTCCAAATATCCACTTGCAGATTCTACAAAAACAGTGTTTCAAAACTGCTCTATCAAGAGGAATGTTCAACTCTCTGAGTTGAATGTAAACATCACAAAGTAGTTTCTGACAATGCTTCTGTCTAGTTTTTATGTGAAGATATTTCCTTTTCTACCATAGGTCTCAATGCGCTCTAAATATACACCTGCAAATTCTACAAAAAGAGTGTTTCAAACCTGTTCTATCAAAAGAAAGGTTAAACTCTGTGAGTTGAATGCACACATCACGAAGTAGTTCCTGAGAATGAGTCTGTCTAGTTTTTATATGAAGATATTTCCTTTTCTACCATAGGCTTCAATGCGCTCTAATTATCTACTTGGAAATTCTACAAAAAGAGGGTTTTGGAACTGCTCTAATGAAAGGAAGGTTCAACTCTATGAGTTGAATCCACACATCACAAAGAAGTTTCTGAAAATTCTTCTGTCTAGTTGTATATGAAGAAATCCCGTTTCCAACGAAGGCCTCAAAGAGATCCAAATATCGACTTGCAGATACTACAAAAAGAGTGTTTCAAAACTATTCTATCAAATGAAAGATTAAACTCTGTGACTTGAACACACACATCACTTAGTAGTTTCTGAGAATGATTCTGTCTAGTTTTTATATGAAGATATTTCCTTTTTTGCCGTAGGCCTCTAAGCGCTCTAAATATCCACTTGGAAATTCAACAAAGAGAGTGTTTCAAAACTGCTCTATCGAACGGAATGTTCCACTCTCTGAGTTGAATGCACATATCACAAAGAAGTTTCTGAGAATTCTTCTGTCTTGTTTTTATATGAAGAAATTCTGGTTTCCAACGAAAGCCTCAAAGAAGTCCAAATATACACTTGCAGATTCTACAAAAACAGTGTTACAAAACTGCTCTATCAAAAGGAATGTTCAACTCTGTGAATAGAATGGAAACATCACAAAGTAGGTTATCAGAATGCTTCGGTCTAGTTTTGCTATGAAGATATTTCCTTTTCTACCATAGGCCCCAAAGCGCTCTAAATATCCACTTGTAAATTCTACAAAAAGAGTGTTTCAAAACTGCTTTACCAAAAGGAAGGTTCAACTTGTGAGCTGAGTGCAGACATCACAGAGAAATTTCTGAGAATACTTCTGTCTACTTTTTATGTGAAGATACTCCCGTTTCAAAAGAAGGCCTCAAAGCGCTCCAAATATCCACTTGCAGACTTTACAAACAGAGTGTTTGAAAACTGCTCTATTAAAAGAAAGGTTAAACTCTATGAGTTGAACACACACATCACAAAGTAGTTTCTGAGAATGATTCTGTCCAGTTTTTATATGAAGATATACCCTTTTCTACCATAGGCCTCATAGCGCTCTAAATATTCACTTGGAAATTCTACCAAAAGTGTGTTTCAAAACTGCTCTATCAAAAGGGAAGTTCAACTCCGTGAGTTGAATGCACACATCACAAAGAAGTTTTTGAGAATTCTTCTGTCTAGTTTTTACATGAAGAAATTCCTGTTTCCAACGAAGGTCTCGAAGAGGTCCAAATATCCACTTGCAGATTCTACAAAAAGAGTGTTACAAAACTGCTCTATCAAAAGGAATGTTCAACTCTGTGAGTTGAATGCAAACATCACAAAGTAGTTTCTCAGAATTCTTCTGTGTAGTTTTTATGTGAAGATATTTCCTTTGCTACCATAGACCTCAAATCACTCTAAATATCCACTGGAAGTTCTACAAAAAGAGTGTTTCAAAATTGCTCTATCAAAATAAAGGTTGAACTTTGTCAGTTGAATGCACACATCACAAATTATCTTCTGAGAATGCTTCTGTCTAGTTTTTCTATGAAGATATTTCCTTTTCCACCATTGGCCTCAAAGCGCTCTAAATATCCACTTGGATATTGTACAAAAAGAGTGTTTCAAAACTGCTCTATTGAAAGAAACGTTCAACTCTGTGAGGTTAATGCACAAATCACAAAGAATTTTCTGAGAATTATTTTGTCTAGTTTTTATAGAAGAAATTACCGTTTCCAAAGAAGGCCTCAAAGAGGTCCAAATATCCATATGCAGATGCTACAAAAAGAGTGTTACAAAACTGCTGTATCAAAAGGAATGTTCAGCACTGTGAGTTGAATACAAGCATCACAAAGTAGTTTCTGAGAATGCTTCTGTGTAGTTTTTCTATGAAGATATTTGCTTTTCTACCATAGGCCCCAAAGCACTCTAAATATCCACTTGCAAATTCTACAAAAAGAGTGTTTCAAAACTGTTCTATCAAAAGGAAGTTTCAATTCTGTGAGTTCAGTGCAGAAATCACAAAGATGTTTCTAAGAATACTTCTGTCTACATTTTATTGGAAGTTACTCCCGTTTCCGAAGAAGGCCTCAAAGCACTCCAAATATCCACTTGCAGACTTCACAAACAGGGTGCTTCAAAATTGCTCAATCAAAAGAAAAGTTAAACTCTGTGAGTTGAACGCACACATCACAAAGTTGTTTCTGAGAATGATTCTGTCTAGTTTTTATAGGAAGAAATTTCCTTTCGTACCATAGGCCTCAAACTGCTCTAAATATCCACTTGCAGATTCTACTAAAAGAGTGTTTCAACAAAGCCCTCTGAATACACACTTGCAAATTCCACAAAAAGAGTATTTCAAAACTGCTCTATCAAGAGGAATATTCAACACTGTGAGTTGAATGCAAACATCACAAAGTAGTTTCTGAGAAAGATTCTGTCTACATTATATATGAAGATGTTTCCTTTTCTACCATAGGCCTCCAAGCGCTCTAAATATTCAATTGGAAATTCTACAAAAAGGGTGTTTCAAAACCGCTCTATTGATAAGAAAGTTCAACTCTGTTAGTTGAATTGACACATCACAAAGAAGTTTCTGAGAATTCTTCTGTCTAGTTTTATGTGAAGAAAACCCGTTTCCAATGAAGGCCTCAAAGAGGTCTAAATATCCACTTGCAGATTCTACAAAAAGAGTGTTTGAAAACTGCTCTATCAAGAGGAATGTTCAACTCTGTGAGTTGAGTGCAAACACCACAAAGTAGTTTCTGAAAATGCTTCTGTCTAGTTTTTATATGAAGATATTTCCTTTTCTGCCATAGGCCTCAAAGCGCTCTAAATATACACTTGCAAATTCTACAAATAGTGTTTCAAAACTGCTCTGTCAAAAAAAGATTAAACTCTGTGAGTTGAACGCACACATCACAAAATAGTTTCTGAGAATGATTCTGCCTAGTTTTTATATGAAGATATTTCCTTTTCCACCATAGGCCTCAAAGAACTCTAAATTTCCACTTGGAAATTCTACAAAAAGAGTGTTTCAAAACTGCTCTATAGAAAGAAATGTTCAACTCTGTGAGGTTAATGCACACATCACAAAGTAGTTTCTGAGAATTACTCTGTCTAGTTTCTCTATGAAGATATTTCCTTTTCTGCCATAGGCCTCAAAGCGCTCTAAATATCTACTTGGTAATTCTACAAAAAGAGTCTTTCAGAACTGCTCTATCGAAAGGAAAGTTCAACTGTGTGAGTTGAATGCACACATCACAAAGATGTTTCTGAGAATTCTTCTGTCTAGTTTTTACATGAAGAAATGCCCGTTTTCATCGAAGGCCTCAAAGAAGTCCAAATATCCACTTGCAGATTCTACAAAAAGAGTGTTACAAAACTGCTCTATCAAAACGAATGTTCAACTCTGTGAGTTGAATGCAAACATTACAAAGTAGTTTCTGAGAATGCTTCTGTCTAGTTTTTCTATGAAGATATTCCTTTTTCTACCATAGGCCCCAAAGCTGTCTAAATATCCACTTGCAAATTCTACATAAAGAGTGTTTCAAAACTTCTCTATCAAAACGAAGGTTCAAATCTGTGAGGTGAGTGCAGACATCACAAAGAAGTTTCTGAGAATACTTCTGTCTATTTTTTATGTGAAGATAATTCCGTTTCCAAATAAGGCCTCACAGCGCTACAAATGTCCACTTGCAGACTTTTCAAACAGAGTCTTTCAGAACTGCTCTATCAAAAGAAAGTTTAAACACTGTGACTTGAACACACACATCAGAAAGTAGTTTCTGAGAATGATTCTGTCTAGGTTTTACATGAAGTGATATCCTTTTCTACCATAGGCCTCAAAGCGCTCAAAATATCCACTTGCAAATTCTACAAAAATAATGTTTCAAAACTGCTCTAACAAAAGGAAGGTTCAACTCTGTAAGTTGAGTGCAGACATAACTAAGAAGTTTCTGAGAATACTTCTATCTAATTTTTATGTGAAGATATTCCCGTTTCCAAGGAAGGCCTCAAAGCGCTCCAAAAATCCACTTGCAGACTTTACAAACAGGGTGTTTCAAAACTGCTCTATCAAAAGAAAGGTTAAATTCTGTGAGTTCAATGCACACATCACAATGTAGTTTCTGAGAATGATTCTGTCTAGTTTTTATATGAAGATATTTCGTTTTCTACCATAGGGTTCAAAGCCCGCTAAATACACACTTGCAAATTCTACAAAAAGAGTGTTTCAAAACTGCTCTATAAAAAGAAAGCTTAAACACTGTCAGTTGAACGCACACATTACAAAGTAGTTTCTGAGAAAGATTCTGTCTAGTTTTTATATGAAGATATTTCCTTTTCTACCATAGACCTCCAAGCTCTCTAAATATTCACTTGGAAATTCTACAAAAAGAGTGTCTCAAAACTGCTCTATCGAAAGGAAGGTTCAAATCTGTGAGTTCAATGCACACACCACAAAGAAGTTTCTGGGAATTCTTCTGTCTAGTTTTATATGAAGAAATCCTGTTTCCAATGAAGTCCTAAAAGTGGTCCAAAAATTCACTTGCAGATTCTTCAAAAAGAGTGTTTCAAAACTGCTCTATCAAGAGCAATGTTCAAATCTGTGAGTTGGATTGAAACATCACAAAGTAGTTTCTGAGAATGCTTCTGTCTAGTATTTATGTGAAGATATTTCCTTTTCTACCATAGGCCTCAAAGCGCTCTAAATATACACTTGCAAATTGTATAAAAAGAGTGTTTCAAAGCTGCTCTATCAAATAAAGTTTAAACTCTGTGAGTTGAATGCATACATCACAAAGTAGTTTCTGAGAATGATTCTGTCTAGTTTTTATATGAATAGATTTCCTTTTCTGCCATAGGCCTCAAAGCGCTCTACATATGCACTTGTAAATTCTACAAAAAGAGTGTTTCAAAACTGCTCTATCAAAAGGAAGGTTCAATTGTGTGAGTTGAGTGCAGACATCATAAGGAAGTTTCTGAGAATACTTCTGTCTACTTTTTATGTGAAGATATTCCCGTTTCCATATAAGGCCTCAAAGCCCTCCAAATATCCACTTGCAGAATTTACAAACAGAGTGTTTCAAAACTGCTCTATCAAAAGAAAGATTAAACTCTGTAAGATGAACGCACACACCCCAAAAAGTTTCGGAGAATTCTTCGGTCTACTTTTCATGTGAAAAAATTACCGTTTCCAAAGAAGGCCCCAAAGAGGTCCAAATATCCACTTGCAGATTCAACAAAAAGAGTGTTTCATACGTGCTCTATCAAAAGGAATGTTGAACTCTCTCAGTTGAATGCAAACATCACAAAGTAGTTTCTGAGAACATTTCTGTCTAGTTTTTATGTGAATATATTTCCTTTTATACCAGAGGCCTCAAAACCCTCTAAATACACACTTGCAAATTCTACAAAAAGAGTGTTTCAAAACTGCTCTATCAGAACAACAGTTAAACTCAGTGAGTTTAATGCACACATCACAAAGTAGTTTCTGAGAATGACTCTGTCTAGTTTTTATATGAAAATATTTCCTTTTCTACCATATGCCTCCAAGCACTCTACACATTCACTTGGAAATTCTACAAAAAGAGTTTTTCAAAACTGCTCTATCGAAAGGTAGGTTCAGCTCTGTTAGTTGAATGCACACATCACAAAGAAATTTCTGAGAATTCTTCTGTCTAGTTTTATATGAAGAATTCCCGTTTCCAACAAAGGCCTCAAGGAGGTCCAAATATCCACTTGGAGATTCTACAAAAAAAGTGTTTCAAAACTGCTCTATCAAGAGCAATGTTCAACTCTGTGAGTTTAATCAAACATCAAAAAGTAGTTTCTGAGAATGCTTCTGTCTAGCTTTTATGTGAAGATATTTCCTTTTATGCCATAGGCCTCAAAGTGCTCTAAATATCCACTTGCAAATTCTACAAAAAGAGTGTTTCAAAACTGCTCTATCAAAAGAAATGTTAAACTCTGTGAGTTGAACGCACACATCACGAAGTAGTTACTGAGAATTATTCTCTCTAGTTTTTATATGAAGATATTTCATTTTCTACCATAAGCCACAAATCGCTCTAAATTTCCACTTGGAAATTGTACAAAAAGAGTGTTTCAAAACTCGTGTATCGAAAGGAAGGTTCATCACCCTGAGTTCAATGCACACATCACAAAGAAGTTTCTGAGAAGTCCTCTGTCTCGTTTTTATAGAAGAAATTCCCGTTTCCAAAGAAGTCCTCAAAGAGGTCCACATATCCACATACAGATGCTACAAAAGGAGTGTTATAAAACTGCTCTATCAAAAGGAATGCTCAACTCTGTGAGTTGAATGCAAACATCACAAAGTAGTTTCCGAGAATGATTCTGTGTAGTTTTTCTATGAAGATATTTCCTTTTCTACCATAGGCCCCATAGCGCTCTAAATATCCACTTGCAAATTCTACAAAAAGAGTGTATCAAAACAGCTCTATAAAAAGGAAGGTTCAACTCTGTGAGTTGAATGCAGACATCCCAAAGAAGTTTCTGAGAATACTTCTGTCTAATTTTTATGTGAAGATATTCCCGTTTCCAAAGAAGGCCTCAAAGCGCTCCAAATATCCACTTGCAGAGAATACAAACACAGTGTTTCAAAGCTGTTCTATCAAAAGAAAAGTTAAACTCTGTGAGCTGAAAGCACACATTACAAAGTAGTTTCTGAGAATGATTCCGTCTAGTTTTTCTGTGAAGAAATTTCCTTTTCTACCTTAGGCCTCAAAGTCCTCTAAAAACACACCAGCAAATTCTACAAAAAGAGCGTTTCAAAACTGGTCTATCAAAACAAATGTTAAACTCTGTGAGTTAAACTCACACATCACAAAGTAGTTTCTGAGAATGATTCTTTCTAGTTTTTCTATGATGATATTTCTTTTTATGCCGCAGGCCTCCAGGCGCTCCAAATATTCACTTGGAAATTCTATAAAAAGAGGGTTTCAAAACTGCTCTATCAAAAGGAAGGCTCAAATCTGTGAGTTGAATGAACACATCACAAAGTAATTTCTGAGAATTCTTCTGTCTAGTTTATTTGTAAAGAATTTCCCCTTTCCAACGAAGGCCTCAAAGAGGTCCAAATATACTCTTGCAGTTTCTACAAAAAGAGTGTTTCAAAAACTGCTCTATCAAAGCGAATGTTGAACTCTGTGAGTTGAATGCAAATATTACAAAGTAGTTTCTGACAGTGCTTCTGTCTAGTTTTTATGTGAAGATATTGCCTTTTCCACCATATGCCTCAAAGCGCTCTAAATATACACTTGCAAATTCTACAAAAAGAATGTTTCAAAACTGCTCTAATAAAAGCAAGGTTCAACTCTATGAGTTGAATGCACACATCACAAAAAGTTTCTGAGAATTCTTCTGTCTAGTTTTTACGTGAAGAAATTCCCCTTTCCAATGAAGGCCTCAAAGAAGTCCAAGTGTCAACTTGCAGATTCTACAAAAAGAGTGTTTCAAAACTGCTTTATCAAAGGGAATGTTGAACTCTGTGAGTTGAATGCAAACATCACAAAGTACTTTTTGAGAATGCTTTTGTCTAGTTTTTATGTGAAGATATTGCCCTTTCTACCATAGGCCTTCAAGCGCTCTAAATATACACCTGCAAATTCTACAAAAAGAGTGTTTCAAAACTCCTCTATCAAAAGAAAGCTTAAACTCTGTGAGTTGAAAACATACAACACTAAGCAGTTTTTGAGAATGATTCTGTCTAGTTTTTATATGAAGCTATTTCCTTTTCTTCCATAGGCCACAGAGTGCTCTAAATGTCCACTTGGAAATTCTACAAAAAGAGTGTTTCAAAACTGCTCTATCAAAAGGAAGGATCAACTCTCTGAGTTGAATGCAGGCATCACAAAGAAGTTTCTGAGAATACTTCTGTCTACCTTTTATGTAAAGATATTACCGTTTCCAAAGAAAGCCTCAAAGCTTTCCAAAAATCCACTTGCAGACTTTACAAACAGAGTGTTTCAAAACTGCTCTAGCAAAAGAAAGGTTAAACTCTGTGAGTTGAATGCACACGTCACAAAGTAGTTTCTGAGAAAGATTCTGTCTAGTTTTTATATGAAGATATTTCCTTTTCTACCATTGGCTTCAAATCGCTCTAAATATACATTTGGAAATTCTACAAAAAGAGTTTTTCAAAACTGCTCTATCAAAAGGAAGGTTCAACTCTGTGAGTTGAATGCACACATCGCAAAAAGTTTTGGAGAATTCTTCTGTCTAGTTTTTATGTGAAAATTTCCCGTTTCCAACGAAGGCCTCAAAGAGGTCCAAATATCCACTTGCAGATTCTACAAAAAGAGTATTTCAAACGTGCTCTATCAAAAGGAATGTTGAACTCTGTGAGTTGAATGCAAACATCAAAAAGTAGTTTCTGAGAATGCTTCTGTCTAGTTTTCATATGATCATATTTCCTTTTCTACCATAGGCCTCAAAGCCCTCTAAATACACAATTGCAAATTCTAAAAAAATAGTGTTTCAAAACTGCTCTACCAAAGGAATGGTTAAACACTGTGAGTTGAACGCACACATCACAAAGTAGTTTCTGAGAATGATTCTGTCTAGTTTTTATACGAAGATATTTCCTTTTCTACCACAGGCCTCCAAGAGCTCTAAATATTCACTTGGAAATTCTACAAGAAGAGGGATTCAAAACTGCTCTATCGAAAGGAAGTTTCAACCCTGTGAGTTCAATACACACATTACAAAGAAGTATCTGAGAATTCTTCTCTCTAGTTTTATATGAAGAAATCCCGTTTCCAAAGAAGGCCTCAAAAAGGTCCAAATATCCACTTGCTGATTCTACAAAAAGAGTGTTTTAAAAATGCTCTATCAAGAGGAATGTTCAACTCTGTGAGTTGAATGCAAACATCAAAAGTAGTTTGTCAGAATACTTCTGTATATTTTTTCTGTGAAGATATTTCCTTTTCTACCATAGGCCTCAAAACACTCTAAATATACACTTGCAAATACTACAAAAAGAGTGTTTCAAAACTGCTCTTTTAAAAGAAAGGATAAACTCTGTGAGTTGAACTCACACATCATAACGTAGTTTCTGAGAATTATTCTGTCTAGTTTTTATATGAAAGTATTTCAATTTCTACCATAGGCCTCAAAGCGCTTGAAATATCCACTTGCAAATTCTAGAAAAAGAGTGTTTCAAAACTGCTCTATCAAAAAGAAGGTTCAACTCTGTGAGTTGAGTGTAGACATCACGAAGAACTTTCTGAGAATACTTCTGTCTTTTTTTTATGTGAAGATACCCCCGTTTCCACAGAAGGTCTCAAAGCGCTCCACATATCCACTTGCAGACTACACAAAAAGAGTGTTTCCAAACTGCTCTATCAAAAGAAATGTTAAACTCTATGCGTTGAACGCACACATCACAAAGTAGTTTCTGAGAATGATTCTGACTATTTTTTATATGAAGATATTTCCTTTTTTACCATACACTTCAAAGCGCTCTAAATATCCACTCGGAAATTCTACAAAAAGAGTGTTTCCAAACTGCTCTATCAAAAGGAAGGTTCAACTCGATGACTTGAATGCACACATCTCAAAATGTTTCTGCGAATTCTTCTGTCTAGTTTTTATGTGAAGATATTTCCGATTCCTTCTAATGCCTCAAAGAGATCCAAATATCCACTTGCAGATTCTACAAAAAGAGTGCTTCAAAACTGCTCTATCAAAAGGAAAGTTGAACTCTGTGAGTTGAATGCAAACATCACAAAGTAGTTTCTGAGAATGATTTTGTCTAGTTTTTATATGAAGATATTTCCTTTTCTACCGTAGGCCTCCAAGTGCTCTAAACGTTCACTTGGAAATTCTTCAAAAAGAGTGTTTCAAAACTGCTCTATTGAAAGGAAGGTTCAACTTTGTTAGCTGAATGCACACATCACAGAGAAGTTTCTGAGAATACTTCTGTCTAGTTTTATATGAGGAATCCTCTTTCCAACGAAGGACTCAAAGAGGTCCAAATATCCACTTTCAGATTCTACAAAAAGATTTTTTCAAAACGGCTCTATCAAGAGGAATGTTCAACTCTGTGAGTTCAATGCAAACATCACAAAGTAGTTTCCGAGAATGCTTCTGTCTAGTTTTTATGTGAAGATATTTCCTTTTCTATCATAGGCCTCAAAGCCCTCTAAATACACACTAGCAAATTCTACAAAAAGAGTGTTTCAAAACTTCTCTATCAAAAGAAAGGTTAAACTCTGTGAGTTGAACGCACACATCACAAAGTAGTTTCTGAGAATGATTCTGTCTAGTTTTTATATGAAGATATTTCCTTTTCTACCATTGGCCTCAAAGCGCTCTAAATTTCCACTTGGAAATTGTACAAAAAGAGTGTCTGAAAACTCCTTTATCGAAAGGAAGGTACAACTTTCTGAGTTCAATGCACACATCACAAAGAAGTTTCTGAGAATTCTTCTGTCTAGTTTTTATAGAAGAAATTCCCGTTTCCAAAGAAGGCCTCAAAGAGGTCCAAATATCCACATGCAGTTGCTACGAAAAGAGTGTTACATAACTGCTCTATCAAAAGGAATGTTAAACCCTGTGAGTTGAATGCAAACATCACAAAGTAGTTTCTGAGAATGATTCTGTGTAGTTTTTCTATGAAGATATTTCCTTTTCTACCATAGGCCCCAAAGCCCTCTAAATATCCACTTGCAAATTCTACAAAAAGAGTGTTTCAAAACTGCACTATCAAAAGGAAGGTTCAACTCTCTGTGTTCAGTGCAGACATCACAAAGAAGTTTCTAAGAATACTTCTGTCTACATTTTATATGAAGGTACTCCCATTTCCAAAGAAGGCCTCAAAGTGCTCCAAATATTCACTTGCAGACTTTACAGAGTGCTTCAAAACTGCTCAATCAACAGAAAGTTTAAACTCTGTGATTTGAACGCACACATCACAAAGTAGTTTCTGAGAATGATTCTGTCTAGTTTTTATAGGAAGAAATTTCCTTTCCTACCATAGGCCTCAAAGCACTCTAAATATCCACTTGCAAATACTACAAAAAGAGTGTTTCAAAACTGATCTATCAAAAGGAAGGTTCAACTCTGTGAGTTGAGTGCAGACATCGCAAAGAAGTTTCTGAGAATACTTCTGTCTGCTTTTTATGTGAAGATATTCCCGTTTCCCAAGAACCCTCAAAGCGCTCGAAATATCTACTTGCAGAGTTTACAAACAGTGTATCAATACTGTTCTATCAAAAGAAAGGTTAAACTCTGTGAGCTGAAAGCGCACATCACAAAGTAGTTTCTGAGAATGATTCAGTCTAGTTTCTCTGTGAAGAAATTTCCTTTTCTACCATAGACCTCAAAGCCCTCTAAATACACACTAGCAAATTCTACAAAAAGAGTGTTTTGAAACTGCTCTATCAAAAGGAAGGTTCAACTCTGTGAGTTGAGTGCAGACATCACAAATAAGTTTCTGAGAATACTTCTGTCTACTTTTTATGTGAAGATATTCCTGTTTCCCAAAAAGACCTCAAAGCGCTCAAAATATCCACTTGCAGACTTTTAAAAAGAGTGTTTCAAAACTGCTCTAACCAAAGGAAGGTTCAACTCTGTGAGTTGAATGCACACATCACAAAGAAGTATCTGAGAATATTTCCTTCCAGTTTTTATGTGAAGATAATTCCTTTTCCAACATAGGCCTCAGAGGGAGTCAAATATCTACTTGCATATTCTACAAAAAGAGTGTTTCAAAACTGCTCTGTCAAAGGTAAATTTCAACTCTGTGAGTTGAATGCACACAACGCAAAGAAGTTTCTGAGAATTCTTCTGTCTGGTTTTTATGTGAAGGTATTTCTGTTTCCAACGAAGGCCTCAAAACTTTCCAAATATCCACATGCAGATTCCACCAAAAGTGTGTTTCAAAACTGTTCTATCAAGAGGAATGTTCAACTCTGTGAGTTGAATGCAAACATCACAAAGAAGTTTCTCAGAATGCTTCTGTCTAGTTTTTATACGAAGATATTTCCTTTTCTACCATAGGACTCAAAGAGCTCCAAATATCCACTTGAAGATTCTACAAAAATAGTGTTTCAAAACTGCTCTATCAAAACGAAGGTTCCACTCTGTGAGTTGAGTGCAGACATCGCAAAGGAGTTTCTGAGAATACTTCTGTCTACTTTTTATGTGAACATATTCCCGTTTCCAAAGAGGCCTCAAAGCGCTCCAAATAATCACTTGCAGACTTTACAAACAGAGTGTTTCAAAGCTACTCTATCAAAAGGAAGGTTCAACTCTGTGAGTTGAATGCACAAATGACAAAGAAGTTTCTGAGAATGTTTCTTTCTAGTTTTTATATGAAGATAATTCCTTTTCCAACATTGGCCTCAAAAGGAATCTAATATCCACTTGCTGATTCCACAAAAAGAGTGTTTGAAAACTGCTCTATCAAAAGGAAGTTTCAACTCTGCGAGTTGAAAGCACACATCAAAAGAAGTTTCTGAGAATATTTCTTTCTCGTTTTTATTTGAAGATATTTCCTTTTCCGACATAGGTCTCAAAGGGAGCCATATATCAACTTATGGATTCTACAAAAAGAGTGTTTCAAAACTGCTCTATGAATAGAAAGTTTCAAGTCTGTGAGACGAATGCACACCTCACAAAGAAGTTTCTGAGAATGCTTCTGTCTGGTTTTTATAGGAAGATATTCTCGTTTCCAACAAAGGCTTCAAAGCGGTCCAAATATCTTCTTGTAGATTCCACAAAAAGAGTGTTTCAAAACTACTCTATCAAAAGAAAAGTTCAACTCGGTGCGTTGAATGCACACATCGCAATGAAGTTTCTGAGAATGCTTCTGTTTGCTTTTTATGTGAGGATATTCTCCTTTCAACAAAGGCCTCAAATCGGTCCAAATATCCAATTGCAGATTCCACAAAAAGAATGTTTCAAAACTGCCCTATCAAAAGGAGTGTCCAACTCTGTGAGTTGAATGCAAACATAACAAAGAAGTTTCTTAGAATTCTTCTGTCTACTTGTTATATGTAGATATTTCCTTTTCTACCATAGGCCCCAAAGCGCTCCAAATATCCACTTGAAGATTCTACAAAAAGTGTGTTTCAAAACTGCTCTATCAAAATGAAGGTTCAACTGTGTGAGTTGAATGCATATATCACAAAGAAGTTTCTGAGAATGTTTCTTTCTAGATTTTATGTGAAGATATTTCTTTTTCCAATAAAGGCCTCAAAGGGAACAAAATATCCACTTGCAGATTCCTCAAAAAGAGTGTTTCAAAACTGCTCTATCAAAAGGAATGTTCAAATCTGTGAGTTGAGTGCAGACATCACAAAGAAGTTTCAGAGAATACTTCTGTCTACTTTCTATTTGAAGATATTTCCGTTTCCAAAGAAGGCCTCAAAGTGCTCCAAATATCCACTTGCAGATTCAACAAAAAGAATGTTTCAAAACAGCTCTATGAAAAGGAAGGTTGAACTCTGTGAGTAGAAAGCACATATCAAAAAGCAGTTTCTGAGAATAATTCTTTCTAGTTTTTATGTGAAGATATTTCCTTTTCCAACATACGCCTCAAAGGGAGCCACCTATCCACTTGCAGATTCTAAAAAAGAGTGTTTCAAAACTGCTCTATCAAAAGAAAAGTTCAACTATTTAAATTGAATGCACACATCATAAAGAAGTTTCTGTGAATGCTTCTGTCTACTTTTTATTTGAAGATATTCCCTTTTCCACCGAAGGCTTCAAAGCGGTCCAAATATCCACTTGCATATTCTACAGAAAGTGTGTTTCAAAACTGCTCTATCAAAGGAAAGGTTCAACTCTGTGAGTAGAACACAAACATCACAAAGTAGTTTCTGAGAATCATTCTGTCTAATTTTTATATGAAGATATTTCCTTTTCCACCATAGGCCTCAAAGCGCTCTAAATATCCACTTGCAAATTCTAGAAAAAGAGTGTTTCAAAACTGCTCTTTCCAAAGGAAGGTTGAACTCTGTGAGTTGAGTGCACACATCAAAAGGAGTTTCTGAGACTTCATCTGTCTAGTTTTAATTTGAATAAATTCCCATTTCCCACGAAGGCCTCCATGCGGTCCAAATATACACTTGCAGATTCTACAAAAAGTGTTACAAAACTGCTCTATCAAAAGGAATGTTCAACTCTGTGAGGTGAACGCACACATCACATAGTAGTTTCTGAGAATCATTCTACCTAGTTTTTATATGAGGATATTTCCTTTTCTACCACAGGCCTCAAAGCGTTCCAAATATCCACATGCAAATTCTACAAAAAGAGTGTTTCAAAACTGCTCTATGTAAAGAAAGGTTAAACTCTGTGAGTTGAACGCACACATCACAAAGTAGTTTCTGAGAATGATTCTGTCTAGTTTTTCTATCAAGATATTTCCTTTTCTACCATAGGCATCAAAGTGCTCTAAATATCCACTTGGAAATTCTACAAAAAGAGTCTTTCAAAACTGCTCAATCAAAAGGAAGGTTCACCTCTGTGAGTTGAATGCAGACATCACAAAGAAGTTTCTGAGACTACCTCTGTCTATCTTTTATGTGAAGATATTCTCGTTTCCAAAGAAGGTCTCAAGGCGCACCAAATATCCACTTGCAGACTTTACAACAGAGTGTTTCAAAACTGCTGTATCAAAAGAAGTTTCAACTCTGTCAGTTGAATGCACACATCACAAAGAAATTTCTGAGAATGTTTCTTTCTAGTTTTTACGTGAAGATAATTCTTTTTCCAACTTAGGCCTCAAAGGGAATCAAATATCCACTAGCAGATTGTACAAAAATAGTGTTTCAAAACTGCCCTATCAAAAGAAAAGTTAAACTCTGTGAATTGAATGCACACATTGCAAAGAGGTTTCTGAGAATGCTTCTGTCTGGTTTTTAGGTGAGGATATTCCCGTTTCCAACGAAAGCCTCAAAGCGGTCCAAATATCCACTTGCAGATTCCACAAAAAGAGAGTTACAAAACTATTCTATCAAAAGGAATGTTCAACTCTGTGAGATGAATGCAAACATCACAAAGAAGTTTCTCAGAATGCTTCTGTCTACTTTTTATATGAAGATATTTCCTCTTCTTCCACAGGCCTCCAAGCGCTCCAAATTCCCACTTGAAGATTCTACAAAAAGAGTGTTTCAAAACTGCTCTATCAAAAGGAAGGTTCAACTCTGTAAGCTGAAAGCACCCATCAAAAATAAGTTTCTGAGAATGATTCTTTCTAGTGTTTATGTGAAGATATTTCCTTTTCCAACATAGTCTTCAAAGGGAGCCACATATCCACTTGCAGATTCTACAAAAAGAGTGTTTCAAAACTGCTGTATCAAAAGAAAGGTTCAATTCTGTGAGCTGAATACACGCATCACAAAGAAGTTTCTGAGAATGTTTCTTTCTAGTTTTTATCTGAAGATAATTCCTTTTCCAACATAGGCTTCAAAAGGAAAGAAATGTCCACTTGCAGATTCTACAAAAAGAGTGTCTCAAAACTGCTCTATAAAAAGGAAGGTTCAACTCTGTGAGTTGAATGCACACATCACAAAGAAGTCTCTGAGAATGGTTCTATCTACTTTTTATATGAAGATAATTCCCTTTTTACCATTGACATCAAAGCGCTCCATGTATCCACTTGCACATTCTAAAAAAAGTGTGTTTCAAAACTTCTCTATCAAAAGAAAGGTTCTACTCTGTGAGTTGAATGCACACATCACAAAGGATTTTCTCAGAATGTTTATTTCAAGTTTTTATGTGAAATTATTTCTGTTTCCAATGAAAGCCTCAAAGCGGTCCAATTATGCACTGGCAGATTCCACAAAAAGAGTGTTACAAACCTGTTCTATCAAAAGGAATGTTCAGCTGTGTGAGTTGAATGCAAACTTCACAGAGTAGTTTCTGAGAATGCTTCTGTCTAGTTTTTATATTAAGATATTTCCTATTCTAAAATAGACCAAAAAACGCTCTAAATATCCACTTGCAAATACTACAAAAAGAGTGTTTCTAAACTGCTCTATCAAAAGGAAGGTTCAAATCTGTGAGTTGAATGCAGACATCACAAAGAAGTTTCTGAGAATATCTCTGTCTAATTTTTATGTGAAGATATTCCCGTTTCCAATGAAGGCCACAAAGCGGTCCAAATATTCACTTTCACATTCCAAAAAAAGAGTGTTTCAAAACTGCTCTATCAAAAGGAATGTTCAACTCTGTGAGTTGAATGCAAACATCACAAAGAAGTTTCTGAGAATGCTTCTGTCTAGTTTTCATATGAAGAAATTACATTTTCTTCTGTAGGCCTCAAAGCGCTCCAAATATCCACTTTAAGATTCTACAAAAAGTGTGTTTCAAAACTGCTCTATCAAAAGAAAAGTTCAACTGTGTGAGCTAAATGCGCAAATAGCAAAGAAGTTTCTGAGAATGTTTCTTTCTAGTTTTTACATGAAGATATTTCCTTTTGCAACATAGGCCTCAAAGAGAACAATATATCCACTTGCAGATTCCACAAAAAGAGGGTTCCAAAACTGCTCTATCAAAAGAAATGTTCAGTTCTGTGAGTTGAATGCAAACATCACAATGTAGTTTCTGAGAATGCTTCTGTCTACTTTTTATATGAAGACACTTTCTATTCTACCATAGGCCTCAAAGCGCTCTAAATATCCACTTGCAATTCTACAAAAGAGTGTTTCAAAACTGCTCTATCAAAAGGAAGGTTCAACTCTGTGAGTTGAGTGCAGACATCACAAAGAAGTTTCTAAGAATACTTCTGTCTGCTTTTTATGTGAAGATATTGCCGTTTCCAAAGAAGGCCTCAAAGCGCTCCAAATATCCACTTGCAGATTCTACAAAAAGAGTGATTCAAAACTGTTCTATCAAAAGGAATATTCAACTCTGTGAGTTGAAAGCATACATCAAAAAGCAGTTTCTGAGAATGATTCTTTCTAGTTTTTATGTGAAGACATTTCCTTTTCCAACATAGGTCTCAAAGGGAGCCATATATACACTTGCAGATTCTACAAAAAGCGTGTTTCAAAACTGCTCTATGAATAGAAAGGTTCAAAACTGTGAGTTGAATCCACACCTCACAAGAAATTTCTGAGAATGCTTCTGTCTGGTTTTTATGTGAAGATATACCCATTTCCAATGAAGGCTTCAAAGTGGTCCAAATATCCCCTTGTAGAATCCACAAAAAGAGTGTTTCAAAACTGCTCTATTAAAAGGAATATTCAACTCTGTGAGTTGAATTCAAATATCACAAAGAAGTTTCTGAGAATGCTTCTGTCTAGTCTTTATACGAAGATGTTTCCTCTTCTACCATAGGCGTCAAAGCACTCCAAATATCCACTTGCAGATTCTACAAAAAGAGTGTTTCAAAACTGCCCTGTCAAAAGGAAGTTTCAACTCTGTGAATTGAATGCACATATCACAAAGAAGTTTCTGAGAATGTTTCTTTCTAGTTTTTACGTGAAGATATTTCCTTTTCCAACGTAGGCCTCAAAGAACTCCAAATATCCACTTGCAGATTCTACAAAAAGAGTGTTGCAAAACTGCTCTATCAAAAGAAAAGTTCAACTCTGTTAGTTGAATGCACACATCACAAAGAAGTCTCTGAGAATAAGTCTGTCTGATTTTTATATGAAGACAATTCCCTTTTTACCATTGGCATGAAAACACTCCAAGTATCCACTTGCAGATTATACGAAAAGTGTGTTTCAAAACTGCTGTATCAAAAGAAAGATTCGGGGGGGGGGAGCCACGATGGCTGAATAGGAACAGCTCTAGTCTACAGCTCCCAGCGTGAGCGATGCAGAAGAAGGGTGATTTCTGCAGTTCCATCCGAGGTACCGGGATCATCTCACTAGGGGGTGCCAGACAGTGGGCGCAGGTCAGTGGGTGTGTGCACCATGCGCGAGCTGAAGCAGGGCGAGACATTGCCTCACTTGGGAAGTGCAAGGGGTCAGGGAGTTCCCTTTCCGAGTCAAAGAAAGGGGTGACGGACGCACCTGGAAAATCGGGTCACTCCCACCCGAATACTGAGCTTTTCTGACCGGCTTAAAAAACGGCACACCACAAGATTATATCCCGCACCTGGCTGGGAGGGTCCTATGCCCACAGAGTTTCGCTGATTGCTAGCACAGCAGTCTGAGATCAAACTGCAAGGTGGCAGCGAGGCAGGGGGAGGGGCGCCCGCCATTGCCCAGGCTTGCTTAGGTAAACAAAGCAGCCGGGAAGCTCTAACTGGGTGAAGCCCACCACAGCTCAAGGAGGCCTGCCTGTCTCTGTAGGCTCCACCTCTGGGGTAGGGCACAGACAAACAAAAAGACAGCAGTAACCTCTGCAGACTTAAATGTCCCTGTCTGATAGCTTTGGAGAGAGCAGTGGTTCTCCCAGCATGCAGCTGGAGATCTGAGAACAGGCAGACTGCCTCCTCAAGTGGGTCCCTGACCCCTGAACTCCGAGCAGCCTAACTGGGAGGCACCCCCAGCAGGGGCACACTGACACCTCACATGGCAGGGTATTACAACAGACCTGCAGCTGAGGGTCCTGTCTGTTAGAAGGAAAACTAACAAAGAGAAAGGACATCCACACCAAAAACCCATCTGTACATCACCATCATCAAAGACCAAAAGTAGATAAAACCACAAAGATGGGGAAAAAACAGAACAGAAAAACTGGAAACTCTAAAAAGCAGAGCGCCTCTCCTCCTCCAAAGGAACGCAGTTCCTCAGTAGCAACGGAACAAAGCTGGATGGAGAATGACTTTGACGAGCTGAGAGAAGAAGGCTTCAGATGATCAAACTACTCTGAGCTACAGGAGGACATTCAGACCAAAGGCAAAGAAGTTGAAAACTTTGAAAAACATTTAGAAGAATATATAACTAGAATAACCAATACAGAGAAGTGCTTAAAGGAGCTGATGGAGCTGAAAACCAAGGCTAAAGAACTATGTGAAGAATGCAGAAGTCTCAGGAGATGATGCCATCAACTGGAAGAAAGGGTATCAGCAATGGAAGATGAAACGACTGAAATGAAGTGAGAAGGGAAGTTTAGAGAAAAAAGAATAAAAAGAAATGAGCAAAGCCTCCAAGAATATGGGACTATGTGAAAAGACCATATCTATGTCTGATTGGTGTACCTGAAAGTGATGTGGAGAATGGAACCAAGTTGGAAAACACTCTACAGGATATTATCCAGGAGAACTTCCCCAATCTAGCAAGGCAGGCCAACATTCAGATTCAGGAAATACAGAGAAAACCACAAAGATACTCCTCGAGAAGAGCAACTCCAAGACACATAATTGTCAGATTCACTAAAGTAGAAATGAAGGAAAAAATGTTAAGGGCAGCCAGAGAGAAAGGTCGGGTTACCCTCAAAGGGAAGCCCATCAGACTAACAGCAGATCTCTCAGCAGAAACTCTACAAGCCAGAAGAGAGTGGGGGCCAATATTCAACATTCTTAAAGAAAAGAATTTTCAACCCAGAATTTCATATCCAGCCAAACTAAGCTTCATAAGTGAAGGAGAAATAAAATACTTTACAGACAAGCAAATGCTGAGAGATTTGTCAACACCAGGCCTGTCCTAAAAGAGCTCCTGAAGGAAGCGCTAAACATGGAAAGGAACAACCGGTACCAGCCGCTGCAAAATCATGCCAAAATGTAAAGACCATCAAGACTAGGAAGAAACTGCATCAACTAACGAGCAAAATAACCAGCTAACATCATAATGACAGGATCAGATTCACACATAACAATGTTAACTTTAAATGTCAATGGACTAAATTCTCCAATTAAAAGACACAGAGTGGCAAATTGGATAAAGAGTCAAGACCCATCAGTGTGCTGTATTCAGGAAACCCATCTCACGTGCAGAGACACACATAGGCTCAAAATAAAAGGATGGAGGAAGATCTACCAAGCAAATGGAAAACAAAAAAAGGCAGGGGTTGCAATCCTAGTCTCTGATGAAACAGACTTTATACCAACAAAGATCAAAAGAGACAAAGAAGGCCATGACATAATTGTAAAGGGATCAATTCAACAACAAGAGCTAACTATTCTAAATATATACGCACCCAATACAGGAGCACCGAGATTCATAAAGCTAGTCCTGAGAGACCTACGAAGAGACTTAGACTCCCACACATTAATAATGGGAGACTTTAACACCCCAAAGTCAACATTAGACAGATCAACGAGACAGAAAGTCAACAGGGATACCCAGGAATTCAACTCAGCTCTGCACCAAGCGGACCTAATAGACATCTACAGAACTCTCCACCCCAAATCAACAGAATATACATTCTTTTCAGCACCACACCACACCTATTCCAAAATTGACCACATACTTGGAAGTAAAGCTCTCCTCAGCAAATGTAAAAGAACAGAAATTATAACAAACTATCTCTCAGACCACAGTGCAATCAAACTAGAACTCAGGATTAAGAATCTCACTCAAAACTGCTCAACTACAAGGAAACTGAGCAACCTGCTCCTGAATGACTACTGGGTACATAACGAAATGAAGGCAGAAATAAAGATGTTCTTTGAAACCAACGAGAACAAAGACATAACATACCATAATCTCTGGGACACATTCAAAGCATTGTGTTGAGGGAAATTTATAGCACTAAATGCCCACAAGAGAAAGCAGGAAAGATCCACAATTGACACCCTAACATCACAATTAAAAGAACCAGAAAAGCAAGAGCAAACACATTCAAAAGCTAGCAGAAGGCAAGAAATAACTAAAATCAGAGCAGAACTGAAGGAAATAGAGACACAAAAAAACCCTTCAAAAAATTAATGAATCCAGAAGCTGGTTTTTTGAAAGGATCAACAAGATTGATAGACTGCTAGCAAGACTAATAAAGAAATGATAAAGGGGATATCACCACCGATCCCACAGAAATACAAACTACCATCAGAGAATACTACAAACACCTCTACACAAATAAACTAGAAAATCTAGAAGAAAAGGATAAATTCCTCAACACATACACTCTCCCAAGAGTAAACCAGGAAGAAGTTGAATCTCTGAATAGACCAATAACAGGATCTGAAATTGTGGCAATAATCAATAGCTTACCACCCAAAAAGAGTCCAGGACCAGACGGATTCACAGCCGAATACTGCCAGAGGTACAAGGAGGAACTGGTACCATTCCTTCTGAAACTATTCCAATCAATAGAAAAAGAGGGAATCATCCCTAACTCATTTTATGAGGCCAGCATCATTCTGATACCAAAGCCAGGCAGAGACACAACCAAAAAAGAGAATTTTAGACCAATATCCTTGATGAACATTGATGTAAAAATCATCAATTAAATACTGGCAAAACGAATCCAGCAGCACATCAAAAAGCTTATCCACCATGATCAAGTGGGCTTCATCCCTGCGATGCAAGGCTGGTTCAATGTATGCAAATCAATAAATATAATCCATCATATAAACAGAATCAAAGACAAAAACCACATGATTATCTCAATAGATGCAGAAAAGGCCTTTGACAAAATTCAACAACACTTCATGCTGAAAACTCTCAATAAATTAGGTATTGACGGGACGTATTTCAAAATAATAAGAGCTATCTATGACAAACCAACAGCCAGTATCATACTGAATGGGCAAAAACTGGAAGCATTCCCTTTGAAAACTGGCACAAGACAGGGATGCCCTCTCTCACCACTCCTAGTCAACATAGTGTTGGAAGTTCTGGCCAGGGCAATTAGGCAGGAGAAGGAAATAACGGGTATTCAATTAGGAAAAGAGGAAGTCAAATTGTCCCTGTTTGCAGATGACATGATTGTATAGCTAGAGAACCCCATTGTCTTGGCCCAAAATCTCCTTAAGCTGATAAGCAACATAAGCAGCAAAGTCTCAGGATACAAAATCAATGTACAAAAATCACAAGCATTCTTATACACCAATAACAGACAAACAGAGAGCCAAATCATGAGTGAATTCCCATTCACAATTGCTTCAAAGAGAATAAAATACCTAGGAATCCAACTTACAGGGATGTGAAGGACCTCTTCAAGGAGAACTACAAACCACTGCTCAAGGAAATAAAAGAGGATACAAACAAATGGAAGAACATTCCATGCTCATGGGTAGGAAGAATCAATATCGTGAAAATGGCCATACTTCCCAAGGTAATTTACAGATTCAATGCCATCCCCATCAAGCTACCAATGACTTTCTTCACAGAATTGGAAAAAACTACTTTAAATTCATATGGAACCAAAAAAGAGCCCGCATCACCAAGTCAATCCTAAGCCAAAAGAACAAAGCTGGAGGCATCACACTACCTGATTTCAAACTATACTACAAGGTTACAGTAACCAAAACAGCATGGTACTGGTACCAAAACAGAGATATAGATCAGTGGAACAGAACAGAGCCCTCAGAAATAATGCTGCATATCTACAACTATCTGATCTTTGACAAACCTGAGAAAAACAAGCAATGGGGAAAGGATTCCCTATTTAATAAATGGTGCTGGGAAAACTGGCTAGCCATATGTAGAAAGCTGAAACTGGATCCCTTCCTTACACCTTATACAAAAATCAATTCAAGATGGATTAAAGACTTAAACGTTAGACCTAAAACCATAAAAACCCTACAAGAAAACCTAGACATCACCATTCAGGACATAGGCATGGTCAAGGACTTCATGTCTAAAACACCAAAAGCAATGGCAACAAAAGACAAAATTGACAAATGCGATCTAACTAAACTAAAGAGCTTCTGCACAGCAAAAGAAACTACCATCAGAGTGAACAGGCAACCTACAAAATGGGAGAAAATTTTCACAACCTACTCATCTGACAAAGGGCTAATATCCAGAATCTACAATGAACTCAAACAAATTTACAAGAAAAAAACAAACAACCCCATCAAAAAGTGGGCGAAGGACATGAACAGACACTTCTCAAAAGAAAACATTTATGCAGCCAAAAAACACATGAATAAATGCTCACCATCACTGGCCATCAGAGAAATGCAAATCAAAACCACAATGAGATACCATCTCACACCAGTTAGAATGGCAATCATTAAAAAGTCAGGAAACAACAGGTGCTGGAGAGGATGTGGAGAAATAGAACACTTTCACACCGTTGGTGGGACTGTAAACTAGTTCAACCATTGTGGAAGTCAGTGTGGCGATTCCTCAGGGATCTAGAACTAGAAATACCATTTGACCCAGCCATCCCATTCCTGGGTATATACCCAAAGGACTATAAATCATGCTGCTATAAAGACACATGCACACGTATGTTTATTGCGACATTATTCACAATAGCAAAGACTTGGAACCAACCCAAATGTCCAACAATGATAGACTGGATTAAGAAAATGTGGCACATACACACCATGGAATACTATGCAGCTATAAAAAATGATGAGTTCAGGTCCTTTGTAGGGACATGGATGAAATTGGAAAGCATCATTCTCAGTAAACTATCGCAAGAACAAAAAACCAAACACCACATGTTCTCACTCACAGGTGGGAATTGAACAATGAGATCACATGGACACAGGAAGGGGAATATCACACTCTGGGGATTGTGGTGGGGTGGGGGGAGGGGGGAGTGATAGCATTGGGAGATACACCTAATGCTAGATGATGAGTTAGTGGGTGCAGCACACCAGCATGGCACTTGTATACATATGAAACCAACCTGCACAATGTGCACATGTACCCTAAAACTTAAAGTATAATAAAAAAAAAAGAAAAAAAAAAGAAAGATTCAAGTCTGTGAATTGAATGCACACATCTCAAAGGAGTTCCTGAGAATGCTTATTCCTAGTTTTTATGTGAAGATATTCCCGTTTCCGACGAAAGCCTCAAAGCGGTCCAAATATCCACTTTCTGATTTGACAAAAAGAGTGTTTCAAAACTTCTCTATCAAAAGGAATCTTTAACTCTGTTAGTTGAATGCACACATCAGAAAGAACTTTCTGAGAATGTTTCAGTCTAGTTTTTATGTGAAGATATTTCCTTTTCTACAATAGAACTCAAAGGGCTCCAAATATCCACTGGCAGATTCTACCAAAAGAGTGTTTCCAAACTTCTCTATCAAAAGGAAGATTCAACTCTGTGAGTTGAATGCACACATCACAATGAGGTTTCTGAAAATTCTTCTGTCTACTTTTCATATGAAGATAATTCCTTTCTTACCATTGGCCTCAAAGCACTGCAAATATCCACCTGCAGATTCTACAAAAAGAGTGTTTCAAAACTGCTCTTTCAAAATAAAAGGTTCAATTTTGTGAGTTGAATGCACACATCACAAAGAACTTTCTGTGAATGCTTTTGTCTAGTTTTTATGTGAAGATATTTCCTTTACCCCATAGGCCTCAAAGCACTCCAAATATCCACTTGCAGATTCTACAAAATAGTGTTTCAAAACTGCTCTATGAAAAGAAAGATTCAACACTTGAGGTCGAATGCACACATCAAAAAAATTTTCTGAGAGTGCTTCTGTCTAGTTTTTATGTGAAGATATATCATTTTCCACCATAGGCCCCAAAGCGCTCCTAATATCCAATTGCATTTTCTGCAAAAAGAGTGTTTCAAAACTGCTTCATGAAAAGAATTGTTCAACACTTGGAGTTGAATGCACACATCACAAAGAAGTGTCTGAGAATGCTTCTGTCTAGTTCTTATGTGAACATACTTCCTTTTCCACCATATGCTGCAAATCACTCCAAATATCCACTTGCATTTTCTACAAAAAGAGTTTCAAAACGGGTCTATCAAAAGAATGGTTCAACTCTGTGAGTTGAATGCACACATCACAAAGAAGTTTCTGAGAGTGCTTCTGTCTAGTTTTTATGGGAAGATATTTCCTTTATCGCCCTAGGCCTCCAATCTCTCCAAATATTCATTGCAGAATCTAGAAAAAGAGTGTTTCAAAACTGCTCAATCAAAAGAAAGGTTCAACACTGTGAGTTGAATGCACAAATCCCAAATAAGTTTCTGACAATGCTTCCATCTAGTTTTTATGTGAAGATATTTCCTTTTCCACCATAGTGCTCAAAGCGCTCCAAATATTCACTTGCAGATTATACAAACAGACTGTTTCAAAACTACTCTATCAAAACAAGGTTCAACTCTGTGATTTGAGTGCACATAACACAGAGAAGTTTCTCAAAATGCATCTCTTTAGTTTTTATATGGAGATATTTCCTTTTCCACCACAGCACTCAATCAGTTTGAAATATCCACTAGCAGATACTACAAAAGTAGTGTTCCAAACCGCTGAATCAAAGAAAGTTTCAATTCTGTGAGTTGAATGCACATATCACAAAGAATTTTCTGAGAAAGTTTCTGTATACTTTTTATGTGAAGATATTTCCTTTTCCACCATAGTGCTCATAGCGCTCAAAATATTCACTTGCAGATTATACAAAAAGATTGTTTCAAAACTGCTCCATCAAAAGAAAGGTTCAACACTGAGATTTGAATTCACACATCACAAAGAAGTTACTGAGAATGCTTTTGTCTGGTTTTTATGTGAAGATATTTCCTTTTCCACCACAGGCCTCAAAACGTTCCAAATATCCACTTGCATTCTTTACAAAAAGAGAGTTTCAAAACTCCTCTAACAAAAGTATGGTTCAACTCTGTGAGTTGAATGCACACATCACAAAGAAGTTTCTGACAATGATTCTGTCTAGATTTTATGTGAAGATATTTCCTTTTCCACAGTAGGCCTCAAATCGCTGTAAATATCCATTTGCAGATTCTAAAAAAAAAGAGTGTTTCTAAACTGCTCTATCAAAAGAAAGATTCAAAACTGTGAGTGGGATGCACACATCCCAAAGAAGTTTCTGAGAATGCTTTTATCTAGTTTTTATGTGAAGATATTTCCTTTTCCACCACAGGCCTCAAAGAGCTCCAAATATCCACTTGTAGATTCTACAAAAAGAGTGTTTTAAAACTGCTCTCTCAAAAGAAAGGTTGAACTTTGTGAGTTTAATACACACATCACAAAGAAGTTTCGGAGAATGCTTCTGTCCAGTTTTTATTTGAAGATATTTCCTTTTCCACCACAGGCCTCAAAGCGCTCCAAATATCCACTTGCATTCTCTACAAAAAGAGAGTTTCAAAACTGCTCTATCAAAAGAATGGTTCAACTCTGTGAGTTGAATGCACACATCACAAAGAAGTTTCTGACAATGCTTCTGTTTAGTTTTTATGTGAAGATATTTCCTTTTCCACAATAGGCCTCAAATTGCTCCAAATATCCACTTGCAGATTCTCAAAAAAAAAGAGTGTTTCTAAACTGCTCTATCAAAAGAAACGTTCAACACCATGAGTGGGATGCACACATCCCAAAGAAATTTCTGAGAATGCTTTTTTCTAGTTTTTATGTGAAGATACTTCCTTTTCCACAATAGGCCTCAAATCGCTGCAAATATCCTCTTGCAGATTCTAAAAAAAAGAGTGTTTCTAAGCTGCTCTATCAAAAGAAAGGTTGAACTCTGTGAGTTGAATGTACACATCACAAAGAAGTTTCAGAGAATGCTTCTGTCTAGTTTTTATGTGAAGATATTTCCATTTCCAACATAGGCCTCAAAGTGCTCCAAATATCCACTTGCAGATACTACAAAAAGAGTGTTTCAAAACTGCTCAATCAAAAGAAATGTTTAACTCTGTGAGTTGAATGCACACATCACAAAGAAGTTTGGGAGAATGTTTCTGTCTAGTTATTATGTGAAGATATTTCCTTTTCCACAATAGGCCTCAGATCGCTCCAAATATCCACTTGCAGATTCTACAAAATGGGTTTTTCAAAACTGGTCTGTCAAATGAAATGTTGAACTCTGTGAGTTGAGTGCACATATCCCAAAGAAGTTTCTGAGAATGCTTTTGTCTAGTGTCTATATGAAGATATTTCCTTATCTACCATAGGCCTCAAAGTGCTCCAAATATCCACTTGCAGATTCTACAGAAAGAGTGTTTCAAAACTGCTCTTTCAAAAGAAAGGTTCAACTCTGTGAGTTGAACGCACACATCACAAAGAACTTTCTATGAAAGCTTTTGTCTAGTTTTTATGTGAAGATATTTCGTTTTCCGTCATAGGCCTCAAAGCGCTCCAAATATCCACTTGCAGTTTCTACAAAGGAGTGTTTCAAAACGGCTCTAAGAAAAGAAAGTTTCAACACTTGGAGTTGAATGCACACATCACAAAAAGTTTCTGAGAGTGCTTCTGTCTAGATTTTATATGAAGATATTTCCTTTTCCACCATAGGCCTGAAAGCCCTCCAAATATCCACTTGCATTTTCTACAAAAAGAGTGTTTCAAAACTGTTCTATGAAAAGAATTGTTCAACACTTGGAGTTGAATGCACACATCACAAAGTAGTGTCTGAGAATGCTTCTGTCTAGTTCTTATGTGAAGACAGTTCCTTTTCCAACGTATGCCTCAAATCGATCTGAATATCCACTTGCATTTTCTACAAAAAGAGAGCTTCAAAGCTGCTCTATCAAAAGAATGGTTCAACTCTGTGAGTTGAATGCAGACATCAGAAAGAAGTTTCTGAGAGTGCTTCTGTTTAGTTTTTATGTGAAGATATTTCCTTTTCTGCCATAGGCCTCAAATCAGTCCAAATATTCATTGCAGAATCTACAAAAAGAGTGTTTCAAAACTGCTCTATCAAAAGAAAGATTCAACACTGTGAGTTGAATACATAAATCTCAAAGAAGATTCTGAGAATGCTTCCATTGAGTTTTTATGTGAAGATATTTCCTTTTCCAACACAGGATTCAAAGTGCTCCAAATATGTGGAAACACTTGCAGATTCTACAAAAAGAGTATTTCAATCAGCTCAATCAAAAGAAAGATTCAAGTCTATGAGTTGAATGCTACCATCTCGTAGACCTCAAAGCGCTCCAAATATCCACTTGCAGATTCTACAAAAAGAGTGTTTCGAAACTGCTCTATCAAAAGAATGGTTCTACCCTGTGAGTTGAATGCACACATCACAAATAAGTTTCCGGGAAAGCTTTTGTCTTATCTCTATGTGAAAATATTTCCTTTCGCACCATAGGACACAAAGCACTCCAAATATCCACTTGCAGATTGTACAAAAAGAGAGTTTCAAAACTGCTCTGTCAAAAGAGAGGTTTAACTCTGTGAGTTGAATGCACACATCACAGAAAAGTTTCTGAGAATGCTTCTGTCTAGTTTTTATGTGAATATATTTCCTTTTCCACCATAGGCCTCAAAGCGCTCCAAGTATCCACTTGCAGACACTACAAAAAGAGTCTTTCAAAGCTGCTCGACCAAAAGAAACGTTCAGCTCTGTGAGATGAATGCACTCATCACAAAGAAGGTTCTCAGAATGCTTCTGTCTAGTTTTCATGTGAAGATATTTCCTGTTCAGCCAAAGGTCTCAAAACGCTCCAAATATCCATTTGCAGATACTACAAAAAGAGTGCTCCGAAACTGCTAGTCTAAAGAAAGTTTCAACTCTGTGAGTTGAATGCACACATCACAAAAACTTTCTCAGAATGCTTCTGCCTAGTTTGTATGTGAAGATATTTCCTTTTCCACCATAGGCATCAAAGTGCTCCAAATATCCACTTGCTGATTCTACAAAAACAGTGTTTCAAAACTGCTCAATGAAATGAAAGGTTCAACTCTGTGAGATGAATGTACACATCACAAAGTGGTTTCTCAGAATGCTTCTCTCTAGTTTTTATGTGAAGATATTTTCTTTTCAGGTATAGGTCCCAAAGCGCTGAAAATATCCATATGCAGATACTACAAAAAGAGTGTTTCCAAACTGCTCAATCAAAAGAAAGTTTCAACTCTGTGAGATGAATGTGCACATCACAAAGAAGTTTCTCAGAATGCTTCTGTCTGTTTTTTATGTGAAGATATTTCCTTTTCAGCTGTAGGCCTCAAAGCACTCCAAATATCCATTTGCAGATACTATAAAAAGAGTGTTTCCAAACTGCTCAATCAAAAGAACTGTTCAACTCTGTGAGTTGGAGGGCCATATCACAAAGAAGTTTCTGTGAATGCTTCTGTCTAGCTTTTATGTAAAGTTATTTCCTTATCCACCATAGGCTGCAAAGCACTCCAAATATGCACTTGCAGATTCTACAAAAAGAGTGTTTCAAAACTGCTCAATCAAAAGAAACGTTCAACTCTGTGAGATGAATGCACACATCACAAAGAAGTTTCTCAGAATTCTTCTGTCTAGTTTTTATGTGAAGATATTTCCTTTTCAGCTGTAGGCTTCAAAGCACTCCAAATATTCATTTGCAGATACTACAAAAAGAGTGTTTCCAAACTGCTCAATCAAAAGAAAGGCTCATGTGACAGCGCCAAGATGGTTGAATAGGAACTGCTCCAGTCTACATCTCCCAGCGTGAGCTATGCAGAGACGGGTGATTTCTGCATTTCCACCTGAGGTACCAGGTTCATAGCACTAGGGAGTGCCAGACAGTGGGTTCAGTACTGTGGGTGCAGTGCACCATGCATGATCCAGAGCAGGGTGAGGCATTGCCTCACTCAGGAAGTGCAAGGGGTCAGGGAGTTCCCTTTCCTAGTCAAAGAAAGGGGTGACAGACAGCACCTGGAAAACTGGGTCACTTCGACCCCAACACTGCACTTTTCTGAAGGGCTTAAAAAACGGTGCACCAGGAGATTATATCCTGCACATGGCTCAGAGGATCCTAAGTCCATGGAGTCTCACTGATTGCTGACACAGCAGTCTGAGATCAAACTGCAAGGCGGCAGCAAGGCTGGGGGAGTGGGGTCTGCCATTGCCAAGGATTGCTTTGGTAAATAAAGTAGCCAGGAAGCTCAAACTGGGTGGAACCCACCACAGCTCAAGGAGGCCTGCCTGCCTCTTAGGCTCCACCTCTGGAGGCAGGGCACAGACAAGCAAAAAGACAACAGAAACCTCTGTAGACTTAAATGTCCCTTTCTGACAGCTTTGAAGAGAACAGTGGTTCTCCAGCACACAGCTGGAGATCTGAGAATGGGCAGACTGCCTCCTGAAGTGAGTCCCTGACTAATGACCACAGAGCAGCCTAACAGGGAGGCACCCCCCTGAAGGGGCAGAATGACACCTCACACGGCTGGGTACTCCTCTGAGACAAAACGTCCAGAGGAACGATTAGACAGCAGTGTTCACTGTTCATGAAAATCCGCTGTTCTGTAGCCACTGCTGCTGGTACCCAGGCAAACAGGGTCTGGAGTGGACCTCTAGCAAACTCCAACAGACCTGCAGCTGGGTGTCCTGTCTGTTAGAAGGAAAACTAACAACAGAAAGGACATCTACACCAAAAACCCATCAGTACACCACCATCATCAAAGACCAAAAATAGATAAAACCACAAAGATGGGGAAAAAACAGAGCAGAAAAACTGGAAACTCTAAAAAGCAGAGTGCCTCTCCTCCACCAAAGGAATGCAGTTCCTCACCAGCAACAAAACAAAGCTGGATGGAGAATGACTTTGATGTGTTGAGGGAAAAAGACTTCAGATGATCAAACTACTCTGAGCTACAGGAGGAAATTCAAACCAAAGGCAAAGAAGTTGAAAACTTTGAAAAAAAATTAGACAAATGTATAACTAGAATAACCAATACAGAGAAGTGCTTAAAAGAGCTGATGGAGCTGAAAGCCAAGGCTTGAGAACTACATGAAGAATGCAGAAGCCTCAGGAGCTGATTCCATCAACTGGAAGAAAGGGTATCAGTGATGGAAGGTGAAATGAATGAAATGAAGTGAGAAGGGAAGTTTAGAGAAAAAAGAATAAGAAGAAATGAACAAAGCCTCCAAGAAATATGGGACTATGGGAAAAGACCAAATCTACGTCTGATTGGTGTACCTGAAAGTGACGGCGAGAATGGAACCAAGTTGGAAAACACTCTGCAGGATATTATCCGGGAGAACTTCCCCAATCCAGCAAGGCAGGCCAACATTCAGATTCAGGAAATACAGAGAACACCACAAAGATACTCCTTGAGAAGAGCAACTCCAAGACACATAATTGTCAGATTCACCAAAGTTGAAATGAAGGAAAAAATGATAAGGGCAGCCAGATAGAAAGGTCGTGTTACCCACAAAGGGAAGCCCATCAGACTAACAGGGGATCTCTCGGCAGAAACTCTACAAGCCAGAAGAGAGTGGGGGCCAATATTCAACATTCTTAAAGAAAAGAATTTTCAACCCAGAATTTCATATCCACCCACACTAAGCTTCATAAGTGAAGGAGAAATAAAATACTTTACAAACAAGCAAATGCTGAGAGATTTTGTTACCACCAGGCCTGCCCTAAAAGAACTCCTGAAGGAAACACTAAACATGGAAAGGAACAACCAGAACCAGCCACTGCAAAATCATGCCAAGTTGTAAAGATCATTGAGGCTAGGAAGAAAGTGCATCAACTAATGAGCAAAATAACCAGCTAACATCATAATGACAGGAAAAAATACACACATAACAATATTAACTTTAAAAGTAAATGGACTAAATGCTCCAATTAAAAGACACAGAGTGGCAAATTGGATAAAGAGTCAAGACCCATCAGTGTGCTGTATTCAGGAAACCCATCTCACGTGCAGAGACACACATAGACTCAAAATAAAAGGATGGAGGAAGATCTACCAAGCAAATGGAAAACAAAAAAAGGCAGGGGTTGTAATCCCAGTCTCTGATAAAACAGACTTTATACCAACAAAGATCAAAAGAGACAAAGAAGGCCATGACATAATGGTAAAGGGATCAGTTCAACAAGAAGAGCTAACTAACCTAAATATATATGCACCCAATACAGGAGCACCCAGATTCATATAGCAAGTCCTGAGTTACCTACAAAGAGAGTTAGACTCCCACACAATAATCATGGGAGACTTTAACACCCCAATGTCAACATTTGACAGATCAACGAGACAGAAAGTCAACAAGGATACCCAGGAATTCAACTCAGCTCTGCACCAAGCGGACCTAATAGACATCTACAGAACTCTCCACCCCAAATCAACAGAATATACATTTTTTTCAGCACCACACCACACCTATTCCAAAATTGACCACATACTTGGAAGTAAAGCTCTCCTCAGCAAATGTAAAAGAACAGAAATTATAACAAACTATCTCTCAGACCACAGTGCAAACAAACTAGAACTCAGGATTAAGAATCTCACTCAAAACTGCTCAACTACAAGGAAACTGAGCAACCTGCTCCTGAATGACTACTGGGTACATAACGAAATGAAGGCAGAAATAAAGATGTTCTTTGAAACCAACGAGAACAAAGACATAACATACCATAATCTCTGGGACACATTCAAAGCATTGTGTTGAGGGAAATTTATAGCACTAAATGCCCACAAGAGAAAGCAGGAAAGATCCACAATTGACACCCTAACATCACAATTAAAAGAACCAGAAAAGCAAGAGCAAACACATTCAAAAGCTAGCAGAAGGCAAGAAATAACTAAAATCAGAGCAGAACTGAAGGAAATAGAGACACAAAAAAACCCTTCAAAAAATTAATGAATCCAGAAGCTGGTTTTTTGAAAGGATCAACAAGATTGATAGACTGCTAGCAAGACTAATAAAGAAATGATAAAGGGGATATCACCACCGATCCCACAGAAATACAAACTACCATCAGAGAATACTACAAACACCTCTACACAAATAAACTAGAAAATCTAGAAGAAATGGATAAATTCCTCGACACATACACCCTCCCAAGACTAAACCAGGAAGAAGTTGAATCTCTGAATAGACCAATAACAGGATCTGAAATTGTGGCAATAATCAATAGCTTACCAACCAAAAAGAGTCCAGGACCAGATGGATTCACAGCCGAATTCTACCAGAGGTACAAGGAGGAATTGGTACCATCCCTTCTGAAACTATTCCAATCAACAGACAAAGAGGGAATCCTCCCTAACTCATTTTATGAGGTCAGCATCATCCTGATACCAAAGCCGGGCAGAGACACAACCAAAAAAGAGAATTTTAGACCAATATCCTTGATGAACATTGATGCAAAAATCCTCAATAAAATACTGGCAAACCAAATCCAGCAGCACATCAAAAAGCTTATCCACCATGATCAAGTGGGCTTCATCCCTGGGATGCAAGGCTGGTTCAATATACACAAATCAATAAATGTAATCCAGCATATAAACCAAACCAAAGACAAAAACCACATGATTATCTCAATAGATGCAGAAAAGGCCTTTGACAAAATTCAACAACCCTTCATGCTAAAAACTCTCAATAAATTAGGTATTAACGGGACGTATTTAAAAAAAAATAAGAGATATCTATGACAAACCCACAGCCAATATCATACTGAATGGACAAAAACTGGAAGGATTCCCTTTGAAAACTGGCACCAGGCAGGGATGCCCTCTCTCACCGCTCCTATTCAACATAGTGTTGGAAGTTCTGGCCAGGGCAATTAGGCAGGAGAAGGGAATAAAGGGTATTCAATTAGGAAAAGAGGAAGTCAAATTGTCCCTGTTTGCAGATGACATGATTGTATATCTAGAAAACAGCATTGTCTCAGCCCAAAATCTCCTTAAGCTGATAAGCAACTTCAGCAAAGTCTCAGGATAGAAAATCAATGTACAAAAATCAAAAGCCTTCTTATACACCAACAACAGACATACAGAGAGCAAAATCATGAGTGAATTCCTATTCACAATTGCTTCAAAGAGAATAAAATACCTAGGAATCCAACTTTCAAGGGTCGTGAAGGACCTCTTCAAGAACTACAAACAACTGCTCAATGAAATAAAACAGGGTACAAACAAATGGAACAACATTCCATGTTCATGGGTAAGAAGAATCAATATCATGAAAATGGCCATACTGCCCAAGGTAATTTATAGATCCAATGCCATCCCCATCAAGCTACCAATGACTTTCTTCACAGAATTGAAAAAAAACTACTTTAAAGTTCATATGGAACCAAAAAAGAGCCCACATCAGAAGTCAATCCTAAGCCAAAAGAACAAAGTCAGAGACATCACGCTACCTGACTACAAACTACACTACAAGGCTACAGTAACCAAAACAGCGTAGTACTGGTACCAAAACAGAGATATAGATCAACGGAACAGAACAGAGACCTCAGAAATAATGCCACATATTTACAACTATCTGATCTTTGACAAACCTGAGAAAAACAAGCAATGGGGAAAAGATTCCCTATTTCATAAATGGTGCTGGGAAAACTGGTTAGCCATATGTAGAAAGCTGAAACTGGGTCTCTTCATTAAACCTTATACAAAAATTAATTCAAGATGGATAAAAAAGACTTAAAGGTGAGACCTAAAACCATAAAAACCCTAGAAGAAAACCTAAGCATTACCATTCAGGACATAGGCTTAGGCAAGGACTTCATGTCTAAAACATGAAGAGCAATGGCAACAAAAGCCAAAATTGACAAATGGGATCCAATTAAACTAAAGAGCTTCTGCACAGCAAAAGAAACTACCATCAGAGTGAACAGGCAACCTACAGAATGGGAGAAAATTTTTGCAACCTGCTCATCGGACAAAGGACTAATATCCAGAATCTACAATGAACTCAAAAAATTTACAAGAAAAAAAAACCCCATCAAAAAGTGGACGAAGGACATGAACAGACACTTCTCAAAAGAAGACATTTATGCAGCCAAAAAACACATGAAAAAATGCCACCATCACTGACCATCAGAGTAATGCAAATCAAAACCACAATGAGATAACATCTCACACCAGTTAGAATGGCAATCATTAATAAGTCAGGAAACAACAGGTGCTGGAGAGGATGTAGAGAAATAGGAACATTTTGATACTGTTGGTGGGACTGTAAACTAGTTCAACCTTTGTGGAAGTCAGTGTGGAGATTCCTAAGGGATCTAGAACTAGAAATACCATTAGACCCAGCCATCCAATCACTGGGTATATACCCAAAGGACTATAAATCATGCTGCTATAAAGACACATGTACATGTATGTTTATGGTGGCACTATTCACAGTAACAAAGACTTGGAACAAACACACATATCCAACAATGATAGACTGGATTAAGAAAATGTGGCACATACACTCCATGGAATATTATGCAGCCATAAAAAATGATGAGTTCATGTCATTTGTAGGGGCATGGATGAAATTGGAAATCATCATTCTCAGTTAAGTATCACAAGAACAAAAAAACAAACACCACATATTCTCACTCATAGGTAGGAATTGAACAATGAGAACACATGTACACAGGAAAGGGAACATCACACTCAGGGGACTGCTGTGGGGTTGGGGTAGGGGGGACGGATAGCTTTAGGAGATATACCTAATGCTAAAGGACGAGTTAATGGATGCAGCACAGAAGCATGGCACCTGTATACATATATAACTAACCCACACATTGTGCACATGTACCCTAAAACTTAAAATATAGTAATAATAAAATAAAATTTAAAAAAAAAAAGAAATGTTCAACTCTGTGAGTTGAATGCACACATCACAAAGAAGTTTCTGAGAATGCTACTGTCTGGTTTTTATGTGAAGATATTTCATTTTCCATCACAGGACTCAAAGCACACCAAATATTCATTTGCAAATTCTACAAAAAGAGTGTTTCGAAACTGCTCAATCAAAAGAAAGTTTCAACACTGTGAGATGAATGCACACATCACAAATTAGTTTCTCAGAATGCTTCTGTCTAATTTTTATGTGAAGATATTTCCTTTTCAGCTATAGGAAACAAAGCGCTCCAAATATCCAACTGGAAATTCTACAAAAAGAGTGTTTCCAAACTGCTCAATCAAAAGAAACGTTCAACTCTGTGAGTTGAAGGCACAAAACACAAAAAAGTTTCTGAAATGCTTCTGTCTAGTTTTTATGTGAAGGTATTTCCTTTTCCAACATAGGCCTCAAAGCGCCCCAAATATCCTTTTGCAGATTCTACAAAAAGAGTGTTTCAAAACTGCTCAATCAAAAGAAAGGTTCAACTCTGTGAGATGAATGCATACATCACAAAGAAGTTTCTCAGAATGCTTCTATCTACTTTTTATGTGAAGATATTACCATTTCAGGTATAGGCCTCAAAGTGCTCCAAATATCCATCTGCAGATATTACAAAAAGAGTGTTTCCAAACTGCTCAATCAAAAGAAATGTTCGACTCTGTGAGTTGAATGCACACACCTCAAAGAAGTTGCTGAGAATGAAGCATGTCTAGTTTTTATGTGAGGATGTTTCCTTTTACAACATAGGCCTCAAGGTGCTCCAAATATCCACTTGCAGATTCTACAAAAAGAGTGTTTCAAAACTGCTCAATCAAAAGAAAGGTACAACTCTACAAGATGAATGCACACATCACAAAGAAGTTTCTGAGAATGCTTCTGTCTAGTTTTTATGTGAAGATATTTCCTTTTTAGCTATAGGTCTCAAAGGGCTCCAAATATCCATTTGCAGATATTACAAAAAGAGTGTTTCCAAGCTGCTCAATCAAAAGAAAAGTTCAACTCCGTGTGTTGAGTGCATACATCACAAAAAAGTTTCTGATAATGCTTTTGTCTTGTTTTTATATGAAGATATATACTTTTCCACAATAAGCCTCAAAGCACTCCAAACATCCACTTACGGATACTACAAAGAGAGTGTTTCAAAACTGCTCAATCAAAAGAAAGGTTCAACTCTGAGAGATGAATGCACGCATCACAGAGAGGATTCTCAATATTTTTCTCTCTAGTTTTTATATGAAGATACTTCCTTTTCAGCTATAGGCCTCAAAGAGCTCCAAATATCCTTTTGCACATACTACAAAAAGAGTATTTCCAAACTGCTCTATCAAAGGAAAGGTTCAACTCTGTAAGTTGAATGCACACATCACAAAGTAGTTTCTGAGAATGCTTCTGTCTAGTTTTCATGTGAAGATATTTCCTTAACCACCACAAAACTTAAACCACTCCAAATATCCACTTCCAGATTCTACAAAAAAGGTGTTTGAAAACTGCTCAATCAAAAGAAAAGTTCAACTCTCTGAGATGAATGCACACATCACAAAGAAGTTTCTCAGAGTGCTTCCATCTAATTTTAATGTGAAGATATTTCCTTTTCCATTACAGAACTCAAAGCGCTCCCAATTTCCACTTATGGATTCTACAAAAAGAGTGTTTCAAAACTGCTCAACCAAAAGAAAGATTCAACTCTCTGAGATGAATGCACGCATCACAAAGAAGATTCTCAGAATTCTTCTGTCTAGTTTTTATATGAAGATATTTCCTTTTCAGCTATAGGTCTCAAAGAGCTCCAAATGTGTTTTTGCAGGTACTACCAAAAGGGTGTTTTAAAACAGCTCTATCGAAAGAAAGGTTCAACTCTGTGAGTTGATTGCACACATCACAAAAAAGTTTCTGAGAATGCTTCTGTCTAGTTTTTATGTGAAGATATTTCCTTTTCCACCATAGGCCTCATAGTTTTCCAAATATCCACTTGCAGACTCTACAAAAAGAGTGTTTCAAAACTGCTCAATCAAAAGAAACGTTCAACTCTGTGAGATGAATGCAAACATCACAAAGAAGTTTCTCTGAATGCTTCTGTCTAGTTTTTATGTGAAGATATTTCCTTTGTAGCTATAGGCCTCAAAGTGCTCCAAATATCCATTTGCAGATACTACAAAAGAGTGTTTCCAAACTGCTCAATCAAAAGAAAATTTCAAAACTGTGAGTTGAATGCATACATCACAAAAAAGTTTCTGAGAATGCTTCTGTCTAGTTTTTCTGCGAAGATATTTCCTTTTCAGCTATAGGCCTCAAAGCACTCCAAATATCCATTTGCAGATATTACAAAAAGAGTGTTTCAAAATGGCTCTCTCAAAAGAAAGTATCAACTCTGTGAGTTGAATGCAAACATCTCAAAGAAGTTTCTGAGAGTGCTTCTGTCTAGTTTTTATGTGAAGATATTTTATGTGAAGATATTTTCACTGCTCAATGAAAAGAAAGGTTCAACTCTGTGAGATGAATGCACACATCACAAAAAAGTTTCAGAGAATGCTTCTGTCTAGTTTTTATATTAAGATATATCCTTTTCCACCATAGGCCTCAAAGCACCCCAAATATCCACTTACAGATGCTACAAAAAGAGTGTTTCAGAAATGCTCAATCAAAAGAAAGGTTAATATCTGTGAGATGAATGCTTACGTCACAAAGAAGTTTCTCAGAATGTTTCTGTCTAGGTTTTATGTGAAGATATTTCCTTTTCACCTCTAGGCCTCAAAGTGCCCCAAATATCAATTTACAGATATAACAAGAAGACAGTTTCTAAACTGTTCAATCAAAAGAAATGTTAACCTCTGTGAGTTGGATGCACACATCAGAAAGAAGTTTCTTAGAATGCTTTTGTCTACTTTTTATATGAATATATTTCCTTTTCCACCATAGGCTTAAATCTGTGAGATGAATGCAAACATCTCAAATTGGTTTACTCAGATAGTTTCCCTGTAGTTTTTATCCTGGGATATACACTTTTACTCCACTGGCCTCAATGAACTCCCAAATGTGCATTCACAGAAGGGGCATGAACAATGTTTCCAAACAGTTGAACCAAAAGAAAGTCTTAACTCTGTGAGATGAAAGCACACATCCAAAGCAGTTTCTCAGAAAGCTTCTCTCTAGTTTTTATCTGAAGATATTTTCTTTTTCACCATAGGTCTCAATGCACTCCCAAATTTCCCTTTGCAGAATAGACAAAAAGAGGGCTTCCCAACTGTTGAATGAAAAGTAATATTAAACTCTGTGGGATGAAACCACACATCACAAAGGAGTTTCTCGGAAAGCTTCTTTCTAGTTTTTATCTGAAGATATTTTCTTTTTCACCATAGGCCTCAATTTGCTCTGAAATATCCCTTCACAGATTCTACAATAACAGTGTTTCAAATCTGTTGAATCAAAAGGAAGGATTAACTCTGTGAGATGAATGCACACATCACACAGCAGTTTCTCCAAAAGATTCTTTCTAGTTTTTATAGGAAGATATATACCTGTTCACCAAAAGACTAAATGGGCTCCAAAATATCCCTCTGTAGATGTTACAAAAACTGTTTCCAAAGTGCTGAGTGAAAAGAAAGTTTTAACTCTGTGAGGTGAATGCAGACATCACATAGGAGTTTCTTACATAGCTTCCTTGAAGTTTTTATCTTGGGATATTCACTTTTTCTCCTTTGCCTCAATGATCATAATGGCCATTGGCAGAATGGACAAAAACAGTGTTCCCAAACTGTTGAAACTAAAGGAACTTCTAAGTCTGTGTGATGAAAGCATACATCACAAAGCAGTTTCTCAGAAAGCTTCTCTCTAGTTTTTATTTGAAGATATTTTCATTTTCACCTTAGGCCTCAATGTGCTCCTAAATATCCCTTTGCAGATTCTACAAAAACAGTGTTTCCAAACTGCTGAATGAAAAGAAAATTTTTCCTTTGTGAGATGAATTCACACAACACAACGAAGTTTAACATAAAGCTTCTTTCTATTTTTATATGAAGATATTTACTTTTTCACCATAGGCCTCAATGGGCTCCCAAATATCCCTTCACAAATTCTATAAAAACACTGTTTTTAAACTACTGTATGTAAGGAAAGTTTTAACTCTACGAGATAAATTCACACATCACAAAGCAGTATCACAGATGGCTTCCTTGAAGCTTTTATCCTGGGATATTCGCTTTTTCTCTCTTGGCCTCAATGAGCTCTCAAACGTCAATTTGCAAAATTGACAAAAACAGTGTTAAACCCCTCTATGAAAAGAAATGTTTAACTCTGTGAGATGAAACCACACATCACAAGACAGTTTCTCAGAAAGCTTCTTCCTAGTTTTTATGTCAAGATATTTACTTTTCAATATAGGCCTCAGTGGACTCCTAAATATCCCTTCACCGATTCTACAAAAAACAGTTTTTCCAAACTGCTGGATGGAAAGAAAGGTTTAACTCTGTGAGGTTAATGCACCCATCACAGAGCAGTTTCTCAGAAAGCTCCTGTCTACTTTTTGTCTTAAGATATTTTCTTCCACAACATAGGTCTCAATGTGCTCCCAAATATCCCTTTGCAGATTCTACAAAAACAGTGCTTCCAAACTGCTGAACGAAAAGAAAGGTTTAACTCTGTGAGATGACTGCACATATCACAAAGCAGTTTCTAGAAAGCTTCTTTCTTGTTTTTATCTGAAGATATTTTCTTTTTCACCATAGGCATCAATGCGCTCCCAAATAGCCCTTCACACAATGGACAAAAACTGTGTTTCAAAACTGTTGAATCAAAAGAAAAGATTAACTCTGTGAGTTGAATACACACATCACAAAGCAGTTTCTCAGAAAGCTTCTTCTAGTTTTATTTGAAAATATTTTCTTTTTCACTGTAGGCCTCTATGCTCTCCAAAATATCCCTTTGCAGACTCTACAAAAACAGTGTTTCCAAAGTGCTGGATCAAAAGAAAGTTTTCATCCCGTGAGATGAATGCACACATCACAAATCAATTTCTCAGAAAGCTTCTTTCTAGTTTTTATATGAAGATATTTACTGTTTCACCATAGGCCTCAATGGGCTCCCTAATATCCCTTCACAGATCCTGCAAAAACACCATTTCCAAACTGCTGAATGAAGAGAAAGGTTTAGCTATGTGAGATGAATGCAAACATCACAAATCAGTTTCTCAGATAGTTTCCTTTTAGTTTTTATCCTGGGATATACACTTTTCCTCCATTGGCCTCAATGAACTCCCAAATGTGCATTCACAGAATGGACACCAACAGTGTTTCCAAACAGTTGAACCAAAAGAAAGTGTTAACTCTGTGAGATGAAAGCACACATCCAAGGCAGTTTCTCTGAAAGCTTCTGTCTAGTTCTTATTTGAAGATATTTCTTTTTTCACCATAGACCTCAATACACTCTAAAATATCCCTTTGTAGATTCTACAAAAACAGTGTTTCCAAACTGCTGTATCAAAAGAAAGGTTTAACTCTGTGAGTTGCATGCACCCATCACAGAGCAGTTTCTCAGAAAGCTTCTTTGTACTTTTTATCTTGAGATATTTTCTTCTACAACATAGGTCTGAAAGCACTCCCAATATCCCTTCACAGATTCTACAAAAACAGTGTTTTAAGTGCTGAATGAAAAGAAAGGTTTAACTCTGTGAGGTGAAACCACACATCACTAAGTCATTTCTCTTGAAACTTCCTTCTATTTTTTATCTGAAGATATTTTCTTTTTCACCATAGGTCTCAATGCGCTCCCAAATTTCCCTTTGCAGAATAAACAAAAAGAATGTTTCCAAACTGTTGAATGAAAAGAAATATTAAACTCTGAGATGAAACCACACATCACAAAGCAGTTTCTCAGAAAGCTTCTTTCTAGTTTTTATCTGAAGATATTGTCTTTTTCACCATAGGCCTCAATTTGCTCTGAAATATCCCTTCACAATAACAGTGTTTCAAAACTGTTGAATCAAAAGAAAGGATTAACTCTGTGAGATGAAAGCACACATCACACAGCAGTTTCTCTGAAAGATTCTTCCTAGTTTTTATATGAAGATATTTAGTTTTGCACCAAAAGACTAAATGTGCTCCAAAATATCCCTTTGTAGATGCTACAAAAGCTGTGTTTCCAAAGTGCTGAATGAAAAGAAAGGTTTAACTCTGTGAGATGAATGCTCACATCACATAACGGTTTCTCTCATAGCTTCCTTGAACTTTTTATCCTGGGATATTCACTTTTTCTCCTTGGCCTCAATCCTCTCCAAAATAGCCATTGGCAGAATGGAGAAAAACAGTGTTTCCAAACTGTTGAAATGAAAGAAATTTTTAACTCTGTGAGATGAAAGCACACAACACAAAGCAGTTTTTCAGAAAGCTTCTTTCTAGTTTTTATCTGAAGATATTTTCTTTTTCACCATAGACCTAAATGTGCTACCAAATATCCCTTTGCAGAATGGACAAAAACAATGTTTCAAAACTGCTGAATCAAAAGAAATGTTTAACTCTGTGAAATGAATGCACACATCACAAAGCAGTTTCTCAGAAAGCTTCTTTCCAGTTTTTATGTGAAGATATTTACTTTTTCACCATAGGATTCAATGGTCTCCCAAATATCGCTTTGCAGATTTTACAAAAAGAGTTTTCCAAACTGCTGAATGAAAAGAAAGGTTTAAATGTGTGAGATAAATGCACACATCACAAATCAGTTTCTCAGATTACTTCCATATAGTTTTTATCCTGGGATATTTGCTTTTCCTCCATTGATCTCAAAGAGCTCCCAAATGTTCATTCACAGAATGGACAAAGCAGTGTTTGCAAACTGTTGAAACAAAAGAATGTTTGTTTTAACTCTGTGTGATGAAAGCAGACATCACAAAGCAGTTTCTCAGAAAGCTTCTTTCTCGTTTTTATATGAAGATATTTACTTTTTCACCAAAGGACACGATGGGCTACCAAATATCCCTTTGCAGATACTACACAAACTGGGTTTCCAAACTCCTGAATGAAAAGAAAGGTTTAACTCAGCTTTTTTTTTTTGTGCACCTCACAAATCCGTTTCTCAGATGGCTTCCTTTTATTTTTATCCTTGGGTATTCTCTTTTCCTTCTTTGGCCTCAATGAGCTCCCAAATGTCCTGTCACAGAATGGACAAAAACAGTGTTTCCAAACTGTTGAAAAAGCAGAAAATTTTAATTCTGTGAGATGAAAGTAGACATCACAAAGCAGTTTCACAGAAACCTTCTGTCTAGTTATTATTTGAAGATATTTCCTTTTTCATCATAGGCCTCATTGGGCTCCAAATTATCCCTTTGCAGATTCTACAAAAACAGTGTTTCCAAACTGCTGAAAGAAAACAAACGTTTAACTCTGTGAGAGGAATGTGCACATCACAGAGCTGTTTCTCAGAAGCATCTTTCTAGTTTTATCTGAAGATATTTTCTTTTTCACCTTAAGCCTCAAGGCACTCTTAAATATCCCTTCACAGAATGGACAAAAACAGTGTTTCCAACGTGTTGAATCAAAAGAAAGGATTAACTCTGTGAGATGAAGCCACACATCACAAAGCAGTTTCTCTTAAAGCTTCTTTCTTGTTTCTATCTGAAGATATTTTCTTTTTCATATTAGGCCTCAATTCTCCCCCAATTATCCCTTTGCAGAGTGGACAAAAACAGTGTTTCTAAACTGTTGAATCAAAAGAAAGGATTAACTCTGTGAGATGAATACACACATCACAAAGCAGTGTCTCAGAAAGCTTCTTTCTAGTTTTTATATGAAGATATTTACTTTTTCAACATAGGACTCTTTGGGCTCTGAAATATCCCTTTGCAGATTCAACAAAAACAGTGTTTCCAAACTGCTGAATGAAAAGAAAGGTTTAACTCTGTGAGACGAATGCAAACATCACATGGCAGTTTCTCACACAGCTTCCTTCAATTTTTTATCCTGAGACATTTGCTTTTTCTCCTTTGGCCTCAATGATCTCCTAAATGGCCATTGGCAGAGTGAACAAAAACTGTGTTTCCAAACTATTGAAACCAAAGGAAATTTTAACTCTGTGAGATGAAAGCAAACATCACAAAGCAGTTTTGCAGAAAGTTTCTGTCTAGTTATTGTTTGAAGATATTTCCTTTTTTACCATAAGCCTCAAAGCTCTCTGAAATATCCCTGCACAGATTCTACAAAATCGTGTTTCCAAGCTGCTGGATGTAAGGAATGGTTTAACTCTGTGAGACGAATGCACACATCACAAAGCAGTTTCTCAGAAACCTTCTTTCTAGTTTTTATAAGAAGATATTTACTTTATCACCATAGGCCTCAAGGGGATCCCAAATATCCCTTCACAGGTTCTACAAAAACAGTGTTTCCAAACTGCTGAATGTAATGAAAGGTTTACCTCTGTGAGATGAATGCATACATCACAAAGTAGTTTCTCAGATAGTTTCCTTGAAGTTTTTAACCTGGGATATTTGCTTTTCTCCATTGGTGTCAATGAACTCCCAAATGTCCATATGCAGAATGGACAAAAACACTGTTTCCAAACTGTTGAATGAAAAGAAATGTTTAACACTGTGAGATGAATGCACACATCAAAAAACAGTTTCTCAGAAAGTTTCTGTCATGTTTTTATTTGAAGATATTTTCTTTTTCACCATAGGCCTAAATGTGTTCTGAAATATCCCTTCAGAGATTCCACAAAAACAGTGTTTCCAAACTGCTGAATGAAAAGAAAGGTTTAACTCTGTGAGACGCATGCACACATCACAAAGCAGTTTCTCAGAAAGCTTCTTTCTAGTTTTTATAAGAACATATTTATTTTTTCACCATAGGCCTCAATGGGGTCCCAAATATCCCTTTGGAGGTTCTACAAAAACAGTGTTTCTAAACTGCTGAATGAAAAGAAAGGTTTAACTCTGAAAGATTAATGCACATATCACAAAGCAGTTTCTCAGCTTCCTTCTACTGTTTATCCTGGAATATTTGCTTTTTCTCCATTGGTGTCAGTGGGGTCCAAAATGTCCATTCACAGAATGGACAAAAACAGTCTTTTCAAACTGTTGAATCAAAAGAAAGGCTTAACTCTCTGAGATGAATTCACACATCACAAAGCAGTTTCTCAGAAAGCTTCATTCTAGTTTTTATCTGAAGATATTTTCTTTTTCACTGTAGGCCTCTAGGCACTCTGAAATATCCCTTAACAGATTCTACAAAAACAGCGTTTCCAAACTGCTGAATGAAAAGAATCATTTTACTCTTCGAGATGAATGCACACATCACAAAGTTGTTTCTCAGATGGTCTCATTTTTATCCTGAGATATTCACTTTTACACCTTTGGCCTCAATGAGCTCCATAATGTCCTTTCACAGAAATGACAAAGCCAGTGTTTTCCAACTGCTGAATGAATAGAAAGGTTTAACTCTGTGAGATGAACGTACACATCACAAAACAGTTTCTCAGAAAGCCTCTTTCTTCTTTTTATCTGAAGATAATTTCTTTTTCACCATAGACTTCGATGAGCTTTCAAATATCCGTTCACAGTTTCTACAAAAACAGTTTTTCCAAACTGCTGAATGAAAAGAAAGATTTAACTCTGTGAGATGAATGCACACATCACAAAGATGTTTCTCTGATAGCTTCCTTCTAGTTTTTATCCTGGGATATTCTTCTTTTTGCCACTGGCCTCAATGAGCTCCCAAATTTCCATTCACAGAATGGACAAAAACAGGTTTCCAAACTGCTGAATCAGAAGAAAGGTTTAACTCTGGGAGATGAATTCACTTCTCACAAAGCAGTTTCTCTGAAAGCTTCTTTCTACTTTTTATCTGAGGATATTTTCTTTTTCACCATAGGCCTCAATACGCTCCCTAATATCCCTTCGCAGATTCTACAAAAACGGTGTTTCCAAAATGCTGAATGAGAAGATAGGTTTAACTGTGTGAGATGAATGTCCCCATAACAAAGCCGTTTCTCAGATAGTTTCCTTCTGGTTTTATCCAGGGAAATTTGCTTTTTCACCATTGGCCTCAATGGGTGCCAAAATGTCCATTTGTAGAATAGACAAAAACAGTGTTTTCAAACTGCTGTATCCAAAGAAAGGTTTAACTCTGTGAGATAAATGTACACATCAGAAAACAGTTTCTCAGAAAGCTTCTTTGTACTTTTTATCTTAAAGTATTTTCTTTTTCACCATATGCCTCAAAGCACTCCAAATTATCCCTTAGCAGATCCTACAAAAACATTGTTTCCTATCTGCTGAATGAAAAGAAAGTTTTAACACTGGGAGATGAATGCAAATGTCACAAAGGGGTTTTCTCAGATTGCTTCCTTCCGGTTTTTATCCTTGGATATTTGCTTTCTCTCTATCAGCCTAAAGGAGCTCCCAAATATCCATTCACAGAGTGACAAAAATACTGTTTCCGATCTACTGGATAAAAAAAATGTTTAGCTATGTGGGATGAATGCACACATCAGAAATTAGTTTCTCAGAAAGCTTCTTTCTACCTCTTATCTGAAGATATTTTCTTTTTCACCAAGGGCTCGATGTGCTCCAAAATATCCCTTTGCAGATCCTACAAAAAAAGTGTTTCCAAACGGTTGAATGAAAGGAAATATTTATCTCTGTGAGATGAATGCAGACTTCACATTGTGGTTTCTCAAATGGCTTCCTTCTACTTCTTATCCTGGTATATTCCCTTTTTCACCATTGATCTCAATGAGCTCTCAAATGTCCATTTGCAGAATGGACAAAACACTGTTTCCAAACTCTTGAATCAAAAGAAACATTTAACTCTGTTAGATGAAAGCACACACCACAAAGCAGTTTCTCAGAAAGCTTCCGTCTAGTTTCTATTTGAAGATATTTTCTTTTTCACCATAGGCCTCAATGTGCTCCAAAATATCCCTTCACAGATTCTACAAAATCAGTGCTTCCAAACTGCTGGATCAAAAATAATGTTTAACTCTGTTAGATGAATACACCCATCACAGAGCAGTTTCTCAGAAAGCTTCTTCTACTCTTTACATTAAGATATTTTCTTTTTCACTGTAGTTCTCAAAGCACTCCAAAATATCCCTTTGCAGATTCTGGAAAAACAATGTTTCCAAGCTGCTGAATAAAAAGAAAGGTTTAACTCTGTGAGAGGAATGCAAACATCACAAAGCTGTTTCTCTGATATCTTCCTTGTAGTTTTTATCCTGGGGTATTCCCTTTTTCTGCCTTGGCCTCAATAAGCTCCCAAATATCCATTCACAGAATGAACAAAAACAGTGTTTCCAAACTATTGAATCAAAAGAAAGGTTTAACTCCATGAGATGAAAGCACCTATCACAAAGCAGTTTGTCAGAAAGCTTCCTTCAGTTTTTATCTGAAGATATTTTCTTTTTCACCATAGCTTTCAATGTGCTCCCAAATATCCCTTCACAGATTCTACAAAATCAGTTTTCTAAACTGCTGAATGTAAGGAAAGTTTTAACTCTGCGAGATAAATGCACACATCACAAAGTAGTTTCTGAGATAGCTTCCTTGAAGTTTTTATCCTGGGCTATTCCATTTATCTCCATTGGCCTCAATGAGCTCCCAAATGCCCATTCACAGAATGGACAAAAACACTGTTTCCAAACTGGTGAATGAAAAGAAACGTTTAACACTGGGAGATGAATGCTCACATCACAAAACAATTACTCAGTATGCTTCTGTCTAGTTTCTATTGGAAGATATTTTCTATTTCACCATAGGCCTCAATGTGCTCCTAAATATCCCTTTGCAGATGCTACAACAACAGTGTTTCCAAACCGCTGGATCAAAAGGAAAGTTTACCTCTGTGAGATAAATGCACACATCACAAAGCAGTTTCTCAGAAAGCTTCTTTCTACTTTTTATCTTAAGATATTTTCGTTTTCACCATAGTTCTCAAAGTGCTCCCAAATATCCCTTTGCAGATTCTACCAGTGTTTCCAATCTGTTGAACCAAAAGAAAGGTTTAACTCTGTGAGATGAGTGCACATATCACAAAGCAGTTTCTCAGAAAGCTTCTTTCTTGTTTTTATCTGAAGATATTTTCTTTTTCATGATAGGCCTCAACATTCTCCAAATTATGCCTTCACAGATTCTAAAAAAACAGTGTTTCCAAACTGTTGAATGAAAAGAAAGGTTTAACTCGTGAGATGAAAACATGCATCACAAAGCGGTTTCTCAGATAGCTTCCTTCAAGTGTTTATCCTGGGATATTCAACTTTTTGCCATTGGCCTCAATGATCTCCCAAATGTCCATTTGCAGAATGGACAAAAACAGTTTTTCCAAAGTGCTGAATGAAAAGAAAGATTTAACTCTGTGATATGAAAACACACATCACAAACCAGTTTCTCAGAAAGCTTCTTTCTAGTTTTTATCAGAAGATATTTTCTTTTTCACCATAGGCCTAAATGCACTCCGAAATATCCCCTCGAAGAATCTACAAAAACAGTGTTTCCAAACTGCTGATTGAAAAGAAAGGTTTACCTCTGTGAGATGAATGCACACATCACACAGTGGTTTCTCGGATAACTTCCTTCTAGTTTTCACCCTGGGATATTCGCTTTTTGCCATTTGTCTCAATCAGCTACAAAATGTCCATTCACATAATGGACAAAAACAGTGTTTCCAAACTGCTGAATCAAAAGAAAGGTTTCACTTCAAGAGGTGAATGCAGACATCACAAAGCAGTTTCTCAGAAATCTTCTTTCTACTTTTTATCTGAAGATATTTTCCATTTCACCATAGGCCTCAATGCACTTCCAAGTATCCCTTTGCAGATTCAACAAAAACAGTGTTTCCAAACTAATTAATGAAAATAATTGTTTCACTCAGTGAGATAAATGCACATATCACAAAGCAGTTTCTCAGATAGCTTCCTCCTAGTGTTTATCCTCGGATATTCACTTTTTCTCCTTTGCCCTCAGTGAGGTCCCAAATGTCCATTTGCAGAATGGACAAAAACAGTGTTTCCAAACTGTTTAATCAAAAGAAAGGTTTAACTCTGTGAGATGAATGCACACATCACAAGCATTTTCTCAGAAAATTTCTTTCTAGTTTTTATGTGAAAATATTTTCTTTTTCACCATAGACCTCCAGGCATTCCAAAATACCCCTTAATGGATTCTACAAAAACAGTGTTTCCAAAATGCTGAGTGAGAAGAAAGGATTAATTCTGTGAGAAGAATGCACGCTTCTCAAAGCAGTTTCTCAGATAGCTTCCTTCTAGTGTTTATCCTGGGATATTTGGTTTTTAGCCATTGGCGTCAATGAGCTCCCAAATGTCCATTCACAGAATGGATAAAAACAGTGTTTACAAACTGCTGAATCAAAAGAAAGGTTTAAGTCTGTGCCATGGAAGCACACATCACAAAGCACTTTCTGAGAAAGTTTTTTTCCAGTTTTTTTCTGAAGATACTTTCTTTTTCACCATAGGCATCAACATGCTCCAAAATATCCCTTTGCAGATTATACAAAAACAGTGTTTCCAAACTGCTGAATTAAAAGGAAGGTTTAACTCTATGAGATGAATGCACACATCACAAAGGAGTTTCTCAGACAGCTTCCTTCTAGTGTTTATCTTGGGATATTCGATTTTTCCCCATTGGCCTCAATGAACCCCAAAAGTCCATTTGCAGAATGGAGAAAAACAGTGTTTTCAAATTGATAAATCAAAAGAAAGGTTTTACTCTGTGAGATGAAAGCACACATCACAAATCAGTTTCTCAGAAAGCTACTTTCTAGTTTTTATCTGACGATATTTTCTTTTTCACAATAGGCCTCAATGCTCTCTGAAATATCCCTTCACAGATCTACAAAAACAGTGTTTCCAAACTGCTGATTGAAAAGAAAGATTTAACTCTGTGAGTTGAATGCACACATCACAAAGCTGTTTTTCAGATACCTTCCTTCTAGTTTTTATCCTGGGACATTCACCTTTTCACCATTGGCCTCAATGAGCTCCTAAATTTACATTTGCAGAATGGAAAAACACAGTTTCCAAACTGCTGAATGAAAAGGAAGGTTTATCTCTGTGAGATGAATGCACACATCACAAAGCAGGTTATCATACAGATTCTTTCTAATTTTTAGTTGAAGATGTTTTATCTTTCAGCATAGGCCTCAATGAGCAGCAAAATATCCCTTCAAAGATTCTACAAAAACTGTTTCCAAACTGCTGAAACAAAAGAAAGGTTTAAGTCTGAGAGATGAATGCACACATCACAAAGCAGTTTCTCAGAACCTTTTTTTTTTACTTTTTATCTGAAGATATTTTCTTGTTCACCATAGATCTCAACACGTTTCCGAATATCCCTTCACAGATTCTATAAAAAAGTATTTCCAAACTGCTGAAAGAAAGGTAACTACCTCCATGAGGTGAATGCACATATCACTTAGCAGTTTCTCAGATAGCTTCCTCCTACAACTTTATCTTGGGATATTTGGTTTTTCACCACTGATCTCAATCAGCTCCCAATTGTCCATTCACAGAAAGGAGAAAAACAGTCTTTCCAAACTGCTGAATCAAAAGAAATACTAAACTCTGTAAGAAGAATGCACTCATCACAAAGAAGTTTTTCCAGGAATCTTCTTTCTACTTTTTGTCTGAAGATACTTTCTATTTCATCATAGGCCTCAATGTGATCCCAAATATCCCTTCAAAGATTCCACAAAAACAGTGTTTCCAAAATACAGAATGAAAAGAAAGGTTTAACTCAGTGAGATGAATGTCCACATTCCAAAGCAGCTTTTCTGGTAGATTCCCTCTAGTTTTTATCCTGGGATATTCATTCTTTTGCCGTTGGCCTCAATGAGCTCCCAAATGTCCATTCACAGAATGCACAAAAACAGTATTTCCAAACTGCTGAATCAAAAGAAGGTCTTAACTCTGTGAGATGAATGCACACATTACAAAACAGTTTCTCAGAAGTCTTCCTTCTACTTTTTGTCTGAAGATATTTTCTTTTTCACTATAGGCCTCAAAGCACTCCCAAATATCCCTTTGCAGATTCTAAAAAAACAGTGTTTCCAAACTGCTGAATGAAAAGGAAACTTTACTTCTGCAAGGTGAATGCACACATCACTGAGCAGTTTCTCAGATAGCTTTCTTCTATTTTTTATCCTGGGATATTCACTTTTTTGCCATTGGCCCCCATGAGTTCCCAAATGCCCTTTTGCAGAAAGGAGAAAAACAGTGTTTCCAAACTGCTGAGTCTAAAGAAAGGTTAAACTCTGTAATAAAAATGCACACATCACAAAGAAGTTTCTCTGAATGCTTCCTTCTACTTTTTGTCTGAAAACTATTGCATTTTCACCATAGGCATCAAAGTGCTCCGAAATATCCCTTGGTAGTTTCTGCAAAAGCACTTCTGCTTTGTGATGCATGCATGCATCTCATATAGTTAAAACTTTCTTTTGATTCAGCTGTTTGGAAACAAGGTGTTTGTCCATTATGTGAATGGACATTTGGGAGCTCATTGGTTAAAGTGAATAACCCAGGACAAAAAGTAGAAGGGAGGTACCTGAGAAACCGCATTGTGATGTGTGCATTCATCTCACTGAGTTAAACTTTTCTTTTCATTCAACAGGTTGGAAACACTGTTTTTGTAGAATCCGTGAAGGGATATGTGGGAGTGCATTGAGGCCTATGGTGAAAAAGTAAATACCTTCATATAAAAACTAGGAAGAAGCTTTCTGAGAAACTGCTTTGAGATGTGTTCATTCATTTCACACAGTTGAACCTTTCTTTTAATTCAGCAGCTTGGAAACACTATGCTCGTTCATTCACAGAATGGTGCTTATTGAGGTCAATGGCCCAAAAGAAAATATCCTGGAATTAAAACTAGAATGATGCTATCTGAGAAACTGCTTTCTGATATGTGCATTCATCTTGCAGAGTTAAATCATTCTTTTCAATCAAGAGTTTGGAAACACTGTCTTTGTAGGAACTGCAAAGGGATATTTGGGAGTGCATTAAGGCCTAAAGTGAAAAAGAAAATATTTACAGATAAAAAATAGAAAGAAGCTTTCTGAGAAACTGCTTTGTGATGTCTGCGTTCACCTCGCAGAGTTAACGCATTCATTCAGCAGTTTGGAAACACTGTTTTTGTAGAAGCTGTGAAGGGATATTTTAAAGCACAATGAGGCCTATGGTGAAAAAGAATGTATCTTCAGAAAAAATGAAGATAGAAATTTCTGAGAAACTGCTTTGTGATGTGTGCATTCATCTTCCAGAGTTAAATCTTTTTTAGATTTAGCAGTTTGGGAACACTGGTTTTGTACATTCTGCAAATGGACATTTTGTAGTTCATTGAACCTAATGATGAGAAAGCAAATATTTCAGGATAAAACCTAGAAGGAAGCTATCTGAGAAACCACTTTCAGATGTGTACATTAATCTCACAGTGTTTAACCTCTCTTTTGAATCAGCAGGTTGGAAACACTGTTTTTATAGAATCTGCAAAAGGATACTTTGGAGTGGATCGAGGCCTATGGTGAAAAAGAATTTATCTTAAGATAAAAAGTAGAAGGAAAGTTTCTGTGAAACTGTGTTGTGATGTGAGCATTCATCTCACAGAGTTCCACCTTTCTTTTGGTTCAGCAAATTTGAAACACTCTTTTTGTCAATTCTGCAAATGGACATTTGGGATCTCATTGAGCCCAATGGAGGAAAAGCATATATCCCAGGATAAAAACCAGAAGGAAGTTATCTGAGAAACTGCTTTAGGATGTGTGCATTCATCTCACAGATTTAAATCTTTCCTTTGATTCAGCAGTTTGGCAACAATGTTTTTGTCCATTCTGCGAATGGACATTTTGTAGCTCGAGGTCAATGGCAAAAAAGTGAATATACCAGGATGAAAACTAAAAGAAATCTGTGTGAGAAACTGCTTGGTCATGTGAACTTTAATCTCACAGAGTTAAATCTTTCTTTTCATTCAACAGTTTGGAAAAACTTTTTTATTATTATTATTATACTTTAAGTTTTAGGGTACATGTGCACATTGTGCAGATTAGTTACATATGTATACATGTGCCATACTGGTGCGCTGCATCCATTAACTCGTCATCTAGCATTAGGTATATCTCCCAATGCTATCCCTCTCCCCTCCCCCCACCCCACAACAGTTCCCAGAGTGTGATGTTCCCCTTCCTGTGTCCATGTGATCTCATTGTTCAATTCCCACCTATGAGTGAGAATATGCGGTGTTTGGTTTTTTGTTCTTGCGATAGTTTACTGAGAATGATGATTTCCAATTTCATCCATGTCCCTACAAAGGACATGAACTCATCATTTTCCATGGCTGCATAGTATTCCATTGTGTATATGTGCCACATTTTCTTTGACAAACCTGAGAAAAACAAGCAATGGGGAAAGGATTCCCCATTGTGGAAGTCAGTGTGGCGGTTCCTCAGGGATCTAGAACTAGAAATACCATTTGACCCAGCCATCCCACTACTGGGTTTATACCCAAAGGACCATAAATCATGCTGCTATAAAGACACATGCACACGTATGTTTATTGCGGCACTATTCACGATAGCAAAAACTTGGAATCAACCCAAATGTCCAACAATGATAGACTGGATTAAGAAAATTTAGAAAAACTTTTTGTAGTATCTGTGATGGGAAATTTGAAAGCTCATATAGGCCTATGGTGAAAAAGAAAATATCTTCAGGTAAAATCTAGAAAGAAGCTATCTGAGAAACAGCTTTGTGAGGTGTGCATTCATCTCACAGAGACAAAACTTTCATTTGATTTAGCACTGTTTAAACACTATTTTTGTCCATTCTGCAAATGGACATTTGGGAGCTCACTGGGGGCCTATGGCCAAAAAGTGAGTATCACTGGATAAATACTAGAAGGAAGGTACTTGAGAAACTGCTTTGTGATGTGTGCATTCATCTGACAGAGTTAAACTTTTCTTTTCTTTCAGCAATTTGGAAACACTGTTTTTGTAGAATCTGCAAACAGATATTTGGAAGCGCATTGATTCCTATGCTGAAAAAGAAAATACCTTCATATAAAAGTAGAAAGAAGCTTTCTGAGAAGCTGCTTTGTGATGGGTGCATTCATCTCACAGACTTAACCTTGCTTGTCAGGTAGCAGTTTGGAAACACTGTTTTTGTACATTGTGTGTATGGACGTTTGAAAGTTCATTGAGCCTAATGATGGAAAAGCAAATATCCCAGGATAAAAACAATAAGGACGCTAACTGAGAAACCACTTTGTGATGTGTGCATTCATCTCACAGAGTTAAACTTTTATTTTCATTCAGCATTTTGGAAACACTATTTTGTACAATCTGTGAAGAGATATTTTGGAGAACATCGAGGACTATGGCGAAAAAGAAAATGTCTTATGAGGAAAAGTAGAATGAAACTTTCTGAAAAACTTCTTTGTGATGTGTGCATTCACCTCATCAAGTTAAACAATTCTTTTCATTCAGCAGTCTGGAAACACTGCTCATGTCAATTCTATGAATGGACATTTGGGAGCTCATTGAAGACAATGGCAAAAAAGAGAGTATCCAAGGACAAAAACTAGAAGGAAGATATCTGAGAAACAGCTTTGTGATGTGTTAATTCATCTCACAGTGTTAAAACTTCCTTTTCATTCAGCAGTTTGAAAACACTCTTTCTTCAAAATCTGTCAAGGAATATTTGGGAACCTGTTGAGGCCTAAGGTGAAAAAGAAAATATCTTCAGTAAAAACTAGAAAGAAGCTTTCTGAGAAACTGCTTTATGATGTGTGCATTCATTTCACAGAGTAAAACTTTTCTTTTTATTCAGCAGTTTGGATACACTGTTTTTGCAGAATCTGCAAAGAGATATTTGGCAGCTCATTGAGGCCTAGGTTGAAAAAGAAAATATGTACAGATAAAAATCAGAAAGAAGCATCTTGAGAAACTCCTTTGTGAGGGGGGCATTCACCTCACAAAGTTAAAACTTTCTTATGATTCAGTAGTTTGGAAACACTGTTTTTGTCATTTCTGTAAATGAACATTTTGGACCTCATTGATGACAGTGGTGACAAAGCAAATATCCCAAGATACAAACTAGAAGGAAGCTATCTGTGAAAGGGCTTTGTGAGGTGTTCATTCATCTCACAGACTTAAAACTTTCCTTTAACTCAGTAGTTTGGAAACACTATTTTTGTAGAATCTGTGAAGGAATATTTGGGAGCACATCGTGGCCCATTGTGAAAAACAGAAATATCTTCAGATAAAGAGTAGGAAGAAGCTTTCTGGGAAACTGCTTTGTCACGTGTGCATCCATCTCACACAGTTAAAACTTTCTTTTGGTTCAGCAGTTTGGAAACACTGTTTTTGTGCTTTCTGTGAATGGACATTTGGGAGATCATTAAGGCCAACATTGAAAAGGAGTATATCACAGGATAAAAACTAGAAGGAAGCAATCTGAAAAACCGCTTTGTGATGTGTGCATTCATCTCACAGACTTCAACCTTTCTTTTCATTCAGCAGTTTGGAAACACTGTTTTTGTAGAATCTGAGAAGGGATACTTGGGAGCACATTGAGGCCTATGGCAAAAAAGAAAATATCTAAAGCTAAAAAGTACAAAGAGTCTTTCTGAGAAATGGCTTTGTGATGTGTGCATTCATCTCATAGAGTTAAAACTTTCTTATGATTCAGCAGTTTGGAAACACTGTTTTTGTCCCTTCTGTGACATTTGGGAGCTCAGTGAGGATAATGGCAAAAAAGTGAATACCCCAGGGTAAAACTAGAAGGAGGCTCTCTGAAAAACTTCTTTTTGATGTGTTCATTCATCCCCCAGAGGTAAAATTTCTTTTCATTTAGCAGTTTGGAAACACTGTTTTTGTAGAATCTGTGATAGGATAACTGGTAATGCGTTGAGGACTATGTTGAAAAAGAAAATATCTTCAGATAAAAACCAGAAAGAAGCTTTCTAAGAAACTTGCTTTATGATATGTGCATTCATCTCACAGAGTTAAACTTTTTTGGATTCAGCAGTTTGGAAACATGTCTTTTTCATTCTTCAAATGGACATTTGGGAGCTCATTGAAACCAATGGCAAAAAAGGGAATATCCCAGGATAAAAACTAGAAGGAAGCTATCTGAGAAACCACTTTGTGATGTATTCATTCAACTTGCAGATTTAAACCTTTCTTTTCATTCAAGAGTTTTGAAACACTGTTTTTGCAGAAACTGCGAAGGGATATTTGGGAGGGCATTGAGAACTACAGTGCATACGAAAATACCTTCAGATAAAAACTAGAAAGAAGCTTTCTGAGAAACTGCTTGATGATGTGTGTATTCACCTCACAGTGCTAAAGGTTTCTTTTGATTAAGCAGTTTGAAAACACTGTTTTTGTCCATTCACAGAATGGACATTTGGGAGTTCATACGTCCAATAGCAAAAAAGTAAATATCACAGGATAAAATCTGGAAGTAAACTATCTGAGAAACTTCTTTGTGATGTGTGCCTTCATCTAACAGAGTTAAAACTTTCATTTCATTCAGCAGTTTGGAAACACTGTTTTTGTAGTATATGCAAAGGGATATTTGGGAGCACAATGAGGTCTATGCTGAAAAAGAAAATATCTTCAGATAAAAAGTAGAAAGAAGCTTTTGGAGGAAATGCTTTTTGTTGTGTGCATTCATCTTGCAGAGTAAAACTTTTCTTTTCATTCAGCAGTTTGGAAACACTGTTTCTGTCAAATCTGCCAAGGGATATTTGGGAGCACATTGAGGCCTATGGTGAAAAAGAAAATATCTTCAGCTAAAAACTGGAAAGATGCTATATGAGAAACTGCTTTGTGATGTGTGCATTAATCTCCAGAATTAAACCTCTCTTTTGATCCAGCATTGTGGAAACACTGTTTTTGTCCATTCTGCAAATGGACATTTGGGAGCTCATAGAGACCAATGGTGAAAAAGGGAACACCTGAGGATGAAAATTAGAAGGAATCTGTCTGAGAAACTGCTATGTGATGTGTGCATTCATCTCGCAGAGTTGAACCTTTCTTTTTATTCAGCAGTTTGGAAACACTGCTTTTGTAGAATCTTTGAAGGGATATTTGGGAACATGTTGAGGCCAGTGGTGAAAAAGAATATATCTTCAGATAAAAAGTAGAAAGAAGCTTTCTGAGGAACTGCTTTTTGGTGTATGCATTCATCTCACAGAGTTAAACCTTTATTTTGATTCAGCAATTTGGAAACACTGTTTTGTCCATTCTGCAAATGGACATTTGGGAGCTCTTTGAGGCCAATAACAAAAAACGTATGTCAAAGGACAAAAACTGGAAGAAAGTGATCCGAGAAACTGCTTGGTGAGGTTTGCATTCATCTCACCGAGTTAAAGCTCACTTTCATTCAGCAATTTGGAAACACTCTTTTTGTAGAATCTGTGAAGGGATATTTAGAAGTGCCTTGAAGGCTATGGTGAAAAAGAAAATATATTCAGATAAAAAGTAGAATGAGTCTTTCTGAGGAACTGCTTTTTGATGTGTACATTCATCTCACAGAGTTGAAGCTTTCTTTTGATTCAGCAGTTTGGAAACATAGTTTTTGTCCATTCTGAAAATGGACTTTTGGAAGCTCATAGAGGCCAATGGCGAAAAAGCAAATATCTCAAATTGAAGGAAGCTATCTGAGAAAATGTTTTGAGAGGTGTGCATTCATCTCACAGAGTTAAACCTTTCTTTCCATTCAGCAGCTTGGAAACGTTTTTACAGTATATGCAAAGAGAAATTTGGGAGGGCATTGAGAGCTATGGTGAAAAAGCAAATATCTTCAGATTGAGAGTAGAAAGCTTTCTGAGAAACTGCTTTGTGATGTGTGCATTCATCTCATAAAGATAAATCTTTCTTTTGATTCACCAGTTTGGAAACACTGTTTTTGTCAATTCTGAGAATGGACATTTGGGAGCTCTTTGAGGCCAATGGTGAAAAAGAGAATATCCTACAATAAAAACTAGAAGGAAGCAATCTGAGAATCCAGTTTGTGAAGTTTGCATTCATCTGGCACACTTAAATCTTTCTTCTAATTCAGCAGTTTTGAAGAATCTGTGAAAGAATATTGGAAGTGCATTGAGGCCTCTGGTGAAAAAGAAAATATCTTCAGTTAGAAAGTAGAAAGAAGCTTTCTGAGAAACTGCTTTGTTGATGTGTGCATTTGTCTCACAGAGTTAAACCTTTATTTTGATTGAGCCCTTTGGAAACACTGTTTTTGTCTTTTCTGTGAATGGACATTTGGGAACTGAATGAGGCCACTGGTGAAAAACTGAATACGCCAGGATAAAAACTAGAAGGAAGCTATATGAGAAACCACTTTGTGATGTGTGCATTCATCCCACAGAGTTAAACCTTCCTTTTCATTCAGCAGTTTGGAAACACTGTTTTTGTCCATTCTGGGAAAAGACAATTGGAAGCTAATTGAGGTCAATTGTGAAAAAGGAAATATCCCAGGATAAAAACTAGAAGAAAGCTCTCTGAGAAATCGCTTTGTGCTGTGGGTATTCATCTCACAGAGTTAAAGTTATCTTTTCCTTCAGCCATTTGGAAACACTGTTTTTTGTGAAATCTGCAAAGGAATATTTGGACCCACATTGAGGTCTATGGTGAAAAGGTAAATATCATCAGGTAAAAAATAGAAACTAGTTTTCTGAGAAACTCTCTTGAGATTTGTGCATTTGTCTCACAGAGTTAAATTTTTCTTTTCATTTAGCAGTTTGGAAACGCTGTTGTTGTTTTTTTTTTAATTTTTCTGCAAATGGACATTTGGTAGCTCATTGAGGCCAATGGCCAAAAAGTGAATATCCCAGGATAAAAACTAGAATTAAGCTATCTGAGAAACTGATTTGTGATGTGAGCATTCATCTCCCAGAGTTAAAACCTTCTTTTCATTCAGCGGTTTGTAAACACTGTTTTTGTAGAATCTGTGAAGGAATATTTTTGAACTCCTTGATACCTAGGGCGAAAAAGAAAATGTCTTCAGATAAAAAGTAGAAAGAAGCTTTCTGAGAAACTGCTCTGTGATGTGTGCATTCATCTCATAAAGTTTCTTTGGATTCAGCAGTTTGGAAACACCGTTTTTGTGCATTCTGTGAGTGGATATTTGAGAGCTCCTTGGGGACAAATGTGAAAAAGTGAATATCCCAGGATAAAACCTAGGAGGAAGCTATCTAAGAAACTGCATTGTGATGTGTGCACTCATCTCGCAGAGTTAAACTTTTCTTTTCTTTCAGCAGTTTGAAAATGCTGTTTTTGTAGAATCTGCGAAGGGATATTTGGGAGCAAATTGAGGCCTATGGTGAAAAAGAAAGTATCTTCAGTTAAAATGTGGAAAGAAGCTTTCTGAGAAACTGCTTTGTGATGTGTGCATTCATCTCCCAGAGTTAAATCTTTTTTAGATTCAGCAGTTTGGAAACAGTGTTATTGTCCTTTCTGTGAAAGGATATTTGGGAGCTCATTGAGGCCAATGGCAAAAAAGTGAATAAACCAGGATAAAAAACCGGAAGGAAGCTATCTGAGAAACTGCTTTGTGATGTTTGCATTCACCTCGCATCATTAAACCTTTCTTTTCATTCAGCAGTTTGGCAACACTGTTTTTATTAAATCTGGCAAGGGATATTTGGGAGCGCTTTGAGGAATACAGTGAAAATATCTTCAGAGGAACACTAGAGAGAAGCTTTCTGACAAATGGCTTTGTGATGTCTGAATTCATCTCACAGTGATAAACGTTTCTTTTCATTTAGCAGTTTGTAAACCTCTTTTTTTCCATTATGTGGATGGACATTTGGGAGTTCATTGAGGCCAGTAGTGAAAAATAAAATATCTCAAAATAAAAACTAGAAGGAAGCTATCTGAGAAACCACTATGTGATGTGTGCATTCATCTTGCAGAGATAAAACTTTCTTTTTATTCAGAAGTTTTGAAACACTGTTTTAACAGAGTTGAGCCTTTCTTTTGATTAAACTGTTTGGAAACACTGTTTTGTCCATTCTGTGAATGGACATTTGGGAGCTCATTTAGGCCAATGGCAAAAAAGTGAATATCCCATGCTAAAAACCTGAAGGAAGCTATCTGAGAAAGCACTTTCATGTTTGCATTCATGTCACAGAGTTAAGCCTTTTGTTTTATGCAGCTGTTTGGAAACACTCTTTCTGTAGAATCTGTGAAGGGATATTTGGTAGTCCATTGAGACCTACCTTGAAAAAGAAAATATCTTCAGACAAAAACTAGAAAGAATCCTTCTTAGAAACTTCTTTATGGTGTGTGCATTCATCTCACAGAGTTAAACATTTTTTTTGTTTCAGCAGTTTGGAAACCTGTTTTTGCCATTCTGCAAAAGGACATTTGGGATCTCATTGAGCCCAAGAGTGAAAAAGCATATATCCCAGGATAAAAACTAGAAAGAAGCTATCTGAGAAACTTCTTTGGGACGTTTGCATTTATCTCACAGAGTTAAAGCTTTCTTTTCATTCAGCAGTTTGGAAATACTCTTTCTGTAGGATCTCCAAAGGGATACTTAGGAGCACTTTGTGGCCTATGTTGAAAAAGAAAATATCTTCAGATTAAAAAAAAAGAAAGAAGATTTGTGAGACACTGCTTTGTGATGTGTACATTCATCTCACAGAGTTAAACTTTTCTTTTGATTCAGCAGTTTGGAAACACTGTTTTTGTCCATCCTGCAAATGGACAATTGCCAGATCATTGAGGCCAATGGTAAAAAAGCACATATCTCATGATAAAACCTAGAAGTAAGCTATCTGAGAAACAGCTTTGTGATGTGTGCATTCATTTCACTGATTTATACCTTTCTTTTCATTCAGCAGTTTAGAAACACTGCTTCTGTAGAATCTGCAAAGGGATATTTGGGTGGACATTGAGGCCTATAGTGAAAAACAAAATATCTCCAGATAAAAAGTAGAAATAAGCTTTCTGAGAAGCTACTTTGTTATGTGTGCATTCTTCTCACAGAGTTAAATTTTTCTTTTGATTCACGATTTTGGAAGCACTGTTTTTGTCCATTCTGGGAATGGCCATTTAGGAGGTCATTGAGGTCAAAGGCGAAAAAGCCAATCTCCCAAGATAAAAACTAGAAGGAAGCTATCTGAGAAACTGCTCTGTGATATGTGCATTTATCTCACTGATTTAAACCCTTCTTTTTATTCAGCAGTTTGGAAACCCTGTTTTTGTAGAATTGGAGAAGGAATATTTGGGAGCACATTGAGGCCTACGGTGTAAAAGGAAATATCTCCAGATAAAAACTAGAAAGAATCTTTCTGATAAACTGCTCTCTGATGTGTGCATTCATCTCACAGAGTTAAACCTTTCTTTGGATACAGAAGTTTGGAAACACTGCTTTTGTCCTTTCTGCGAATGGACATTTGGGAGCTAATTGAGCCCAAAGGTGAAAAAGGGAATATCCCAGCATTAAAACTAGAGGAAGCTATCAGAGAAATCACTTTGTGATTTGGGCATTCATCTTCTAGAGTTAAACATTTCTTTTCATTTAATAGTTTGGAAACACTGTTTTTTAGAATATGTGAAGGAATATTTGGGAGTCCATTGAGGCCTATGGTGAAAAAGAAAATATCTTCAGATAAAAAGTAGAAAGAAGCTTTCTCAGAAACTGGTTTGTGATGTGTGTATTCATCTCACAGAATTAAACCTTTTTTTTCATTCAGCAGTTTTAAACACTGTTTTTGTAGATTCTCTGAAGGGATATTTGGGAGCCCTTTGAAGCCTACAGTGAAAAAGAAATATCTTCAGATAAAAACTAGAAAGAAGGTTTCTGAGAAACTGCTTTGTGATGTGTCCATCTCACAGAGTTATACCTTTCTTTTGAAACAGCAGTTTGGAAACACTGCTTTTGTCCTTTCTGGGAATGGACATTTGGGAGTTATTTGTGGCCAATGGTGAAAAAGGGAATATCCCAGGATAAAAACTAAAAGGAAGCTATCTGAGAAACTGCTTTGTGAGGTGTGCATTCATCTCACAGAGTTAACCTTTCTTTTCATTCAGCAGTTTGGAAACACTCTTTTGTAGAATGTGTGAAGGGATATTTGGGAGTGCCTTGAGGCCTGTTGTGAAAAGGAAATATCTTCAGATTAAAACTAGAAGGAAGATTTCTGAGAAACTTCTTTGTGATGTGTGCATGCATCTACAAGAGTTAAAACTTTTTTTGATTCAGCAGTCTGGAAACACTGCTTTTGTGCTTTCTGTGAATGGACATTTTGTACCTCATGGAGGCCAATGTCAAAAAAGTGAATATCCCTGGATTAAAACTAGTAGGAAGCTATCTGAAAAACTGCTTAATGATGTTTGCACTCATCTAGCAGAGGTAAAACTTTCTTTTCATTTTGCAGTTTGGAAAAAACTGCTTTTGTAGAATCCGTGAAGGGATATTTGGGAGTGCAATGAGGCCTACAGTGACGAAGAAAAGATCTTCAAATAAAAAAGAGATAGAAGCTTTCTGATAAACTGCTTTGTGATGTGTGCATTCATCTCACAGTGGTAAACTTTTCTACTGATTCAGCAGTCTGGAAACACTGTTTTTGTACTTTCTGCTAATGGAAATTTTGGAGCTCATTGAGGTCAATGGCAAAAACATGAATAACCTGGGATAAAAACTAGAAGGTAGCTATCTGAGAAATTGCTTTGTGAAGGGACAATTCATCTCTCAGATTTAAACCATTCTTTTCATTCAATGGTTTGGAAACACTGTTATTGTAGAATATGTGAAGGGATATTCAGGAGCTCAGAGAGGCCTATGGTGAAATAGAAAATATATTCAGATAAAAACTAGAAAAAAGCTTTCTGAGAAATTCCTTTGTGATATATGCATTCATCTCACAGAGGTAAAACTTTCTTTTGATTCAGCAGTTTGGAAACACTGTTTTTGTCCATTCTGTGAATGGACAATTGGGAGCTCATTGAGATCAATGGCTAAATACACATAACCCATGATGAAAACTAGAAGGAAGCAATCTGTGAAACCACTTTATGAAGTGTGCATTCATCTCATGGGGTTAAACTTTCTTTTCATTCAGCAGTTTGAAAAAACTGTTTTTGTTGAATCTGTGAAGGGATATTTGGAGTACATTGAAGCCTATTGTGAAAAAGAAAATTTCTTCAGATAAGAAGTAGATAGAAGTTTTCTGAGAAACTGCTTTTTTATGTATCCATTCCTCTCACAGAGTTAAGCTGTTCTGTTAATTCAGCAGTTCAGAAACACTGCTTTTATCCTTTTTGTGACTGGATATTTTGGAGCTCATTGAGGCCAATGGTGAAAAAGTGAATATCCCAGGATAAAAGCTAGAAGGACGTTATCTCTGAAACTGCTGAGTGAGGTGTGCATTCATCTCACAGAGTTAACCTTACTTTTCATTCAGCAGTTTGGAAACACGGTTTTTGTAGAATTTGCAATGGGATATTTGGATGCACATTGAGGTCTCTGGTGAAAAAGGAAATATATTCAGAAAAAAGTAGAAAGAAGCTTTCTGAGAAACTGCTTTGTGATGTAAGCATTCATCTCCCAGAGGTAAACCTGTCTTTTAATTCAGCAGTTTTGAAACACTGTTTTCATCCATTCTGCAAATGGACATCTGGGAACTCACTGAGGCCAATGGTGAAAACGTGAATTTCCCAGATAAAAACTAGAAGGAAGCTACCTGAGAAACCACTTTGTGATGTGTGCATTCATCTTGCAGTGTTAAACCTCCTTTTTCATTCAGCAGTTTGGAAACACTCTTTTTATAGAATCTGTGAAGGGATATTTGGGAGCACTTTGAGGCCTATGGTGAAAAAGAAATTATATTCAGATAAAAAGTAGAATGAAGCTTTCTGCCAAACTGCCTTATGATGTGTGCATTCATCTCACAGAGTCAAACCATTCTTTTTATTCAGCTGTTTGGAAACTCTGTTTTAATCTTTCCTGTGAAAGGAAGTTTGGGAGCTCATTGAGGCCAATGGCAAAAAAGAGAATATCCCAGGATAAAAACTAGAAGGAAGCTATCTGAGAAACAGTTTGTCATGTGTGCATTCACCTTACAGAGTTAAACCTTTCTTTTCATTCAACAGTCAGGAAACACTGTTTCTGTAAAATCCATGAAGGAATATTTGGAAGTGCATTGTGGCCTGTGGTTAAAAAGGAAATATCTTCAGATAAAAAGTAGAAAGAAGCTTTCTGAGAAACTTCTTTGTAATGTGTGCATTCATGTCACAGAGTTAAACATTTCTATTGATTCAGCAGTTTGGAAAATGTATTGTTCCATTCTGCAAATTCACATTTGTGAGCACATTTAGGCCAATGATGAAAAAGCGAATGTCCCAGGTTAAAAACTAGAAGGTAGCTATCTGAGAAACTGCTTTGTGATGTGCACATTCATCTCACAGAATTAAACCTTTCTTTCATTCAGCAGTTTGGAAACACTGTTTTTGTAGAATGTGCAAAGGGATAATTCAGAGCACACTGAGGCCTATGGTGAAAAAGCAATTATCTTCAGATAAAAACTAAAAAGAAACTTTCTCAGAAACTGCTCTGTGACGTTTGCATTCGTCTCACAGAGTTAGTCCTTTCTTTTGTTTCAGCAGTTTGGAACCACTGTCTTTGTCCATTTGGCAAATGGACATTTAGGAGCTCATTGAGGCCAAAGGTGAAAAAGTGAATTTCCCAGGATAAATATTAGAAGGAAGCTATCTGAGAAACTGCTTTGTGATGTGTGCATTCATCTCCTAGAGTTAAAACTTTCTTTTCCATCAGCAGTTTGGAAACACTCTTTTTGTAGAATCTGTGAAGGGATATTTTGGAGCACATTGAAACCTGTTGGGAGCAAGACCCCCAAAATCTGGCCATAAACTGGCCCCAAAACTGGCCCCAAACAATATCTCTGCAGCACTGTGACATATTCATGATGGCTGTAGCTCACACACTGGAAGGTTGTGGGTATACTGGAATGAGGGTAAGGAATTCCTGGCCTGCCCTGGGCAGAAAACCTCTTAAAGGCATTCTTAAGCCACAAACAATGTCATGAGCGATCTGTGCCTTTAGGACATGCTCCTGCTGCAGTTAACTAGCCCCACTTATTCCTTTAATTTGACCCATCCCTTCATTTCCCATGAGGGATACTTTTAGTTAATTTAATATCTATAGAAACAATGCAAATTACTGATTTGCTGTTAGTTAATAAGTGGGTAAATATCTGTATGGGGCTATCAGCTCTGAAGACTGTGAGACCCCTGATTTCCCGCTTCACACTTCTATATTTCTGTGTGTGTGTGTCTTTAATTCCTCTAGCACCACTGGGTTAGGGTCTCCCTGACTCAGCTGGTCTCAGCAAGTGGCACTCGTTCATGGGGCCTCGAATCCAGGTTGGTCGCCAGATCAACGGTTGAAGAATGTGGAACTAGCTGGAGGACACATGAGTACTCTTAAAGCAATCCCCGTGGTGAGTAAGAAGCGTATCTCAGAAGCATCAGGGTAACAATGGGACAAGTGTGGGGTCTGGTTCATTCTACCTTGGAACTTTTTCACACTGATGATGAGGAGGAAGGAGAGTACAATGAAGTAACAGAAGAGGTTAAAGACCAGATTTATTTGCCAGCTAAAGCTAAAGTGGCAAAGGAGGGAGAGGTTCATCCCTAACCTTTGGCACCCCCTCCATATTATTTTGAAGAAAAAGACCCTACAGAACTTTATTTCCCAGAGGACACTGGGTGAATATAGTTGCCCCAGAGACTGTTTGAGCAGTAGCTTGAGTGACTGCTCTTAGTTTTATTCCGGCAGGAATTCAGCCAGTTAGATGAGAGGGTGATTTAGAGGCTTGGCAGTTCCCTGTTAGAATACACACCCCAGATAAACAGGAAAATATTACAGCTATATTTGAGCCTTTTCCTTTTAAATTACTCAAAGAATTTAAATAAACTATAAATCAGTATGGATCAGGTTCTCCTTTTCTAATGGGACTGTTAAAGAATGTTGCTGTTTCCAGTCAGATGATTCCTACTGACCGGGACACTCTTACTTGAGCTTGTCTAACTCCTGCTCAGTTGCTACAATTTAAAACTTGGTGGCCAGATGAAGCTTCCATTCAGGCTGCTTGCAATGCCAAGGCCAAACCTCAAATTAATATAATTGCAGACCAGCTTTTGGGGACTGGCATCTGCATTGGTTTAGATGCACAAGTGGTCATGCAGGGTGATGCCATAGAACGGCTTAGTGGAGTCTGCATTAGAGCTTGGGAAAAAAATCACTTCGGGTGGAGAACAACACCTTTCCTTTAGTGCTATAAAACAGGGACCAAGAGAACCATACTTTGGTTTTATAGCTTGGTTACAGGAGTCTCTTAAAAAGATGATTGCAGATTTGGCTGCTCATGTTATAGTGTTGCAGTAATTAACTTTTGAGAATGCTAATCCCGATTGCCAGGCTGCTCTGTGACCTATCAGAGGGAAAGCACATTTAGTTGATTATGTCAAGGCCTGTGATGGTATCGGAGGTAATCTGCATAAAGCTACTTTGTTGGCACAGGCAGTGGCAGAACTGAGGGTCAATAAAGAAAATACTCCATTTCCTGGAGCTTGTTTTAACTGTGGGAAGCATGGTCATACTGAAAAAGAATGTAGAAAAAATCAGTGAGTCAGGCCACCAGATAGGGGAATAAAGAAACTTCTTGAGCCAGAAATATGTCCAAAATGTAAAAAAGGAAACATTAGGCTAATCAGTGTCATTCTAAGTTTGATAAAGATGGGAACCCAATTTTGGGAAATGCCATTAGGGGACCACCTTAGGCCCCATTCTAAACTGGGGCATTTCCAGCTCAGGCCATTCCCTCACCCTTGTACAATGTCTGTCTCCCACCACAGCCAGTAGTGCTGCAGTAGATTTATGCTGCATAAAAGTGGTGAGCCTTCTGCCTGGGGAACCCCTGCAAAAGGTTCCAACAGGAGTCTGTGGACCCTTGCCAGTGGGGACAATAGGATTACATCTAGGAAGGTCTAGTTTAAGTTTAAAAGGGGTACAAATACATACAGGAGTCATTGATTCAGATTACAATGGGGAAATTCAAATTCTTATATCTACTTCTGTTCCCTGGAAAGCAGAGCCAGGAGAGTGCATAGCACAGCTCCTGATAATGCTGTATGTGGGAATGGGAAAAAGTGAAATTAAATGAAAAGAAGGATTTGGAAGCACAAATAAACAAGGCAAAGCAGCTTATTGGGTAAATCAAATAACTGATAAACATCCTACCTGTGAAATAACTATTCAGGAAAGAAATTTAAAGATTTGGTAGATACAGGAGCAGACATTTCAATCATTTCTCTACAGCACTGGCTGTCCATGTGGCCAATTCAACCCTCTCAATTTAACATAGTTGAAGTTGGTAAAGCCCCTTAACTATATCAAAATAGTTATATTTTGCACTGTGAAGGGCCCGATGGACAACCTGGGACTATTCAACCAATTATAACTTTTGTACCTATAAATTTATGGGGAAGAGATTTATTACAACAATAGGGACCAAAAGTTCTAATTCCAGAACAAATATATAGCCTTCAAAGCCAACATATAATGCATGAAAAGAGGTATGTCCCTGGTATGGGACTAGAAAAAATCTGCAAAGTTAGAAAGAACAACTTCAAATGGAAATACAAAGTTCCCACCAAGGTTTAAGATAGCATTTTTTTATGGCAGCTATTGTTAAGCCTCCAGAACCTATACCTTTAAAATGGGTAACAGATAAGCCAATTTGGATAGAACAATGGCTACTAAGTAAAGAGAAACTGGACGCTTTAGAGAAATTAGTTACTGAACAATTAGAAAATGGGCACATAGCTCCAACATTTTCCCATTGGAATTCTCCAGTTTTCATAATTAAGAAAAATTCAGGTAAATGGAGAACGTTAACTGACTTAAGAGCCATCAATTTATGGGAGCATTACAGCCAGGATTGCCTTCTGCTGTAATTCCAAAACATTGGCCTTTAATTGTCATAGATTTAAAAGACTGTTTGTTTCTTTACTATCCCCTTAGCTGAGCAAGATTGTGAATGGTTTGCCTTTACAATTCCTGCAGTAAACAACCTGCAGCCTGCTAAGCATTATTATTGGAAAGTGTTGCCACAAGGCACGTTAAACAGTCCAACAATTTGCCAGAGGTATGTAGGACAATCTATTGACCCTATTAATAAAAATTTTCACAATGTTACATTATTCACTATATGGATGATGTACTTTGTGCTGCCCCCACTCAATAAATGTTTCTCCAATGTTATGATCACTTGCAAAATTTGATTTCTCACACCAGTTTAATTATAGCTCCTGACAAAATTCAGATTACTACTACCTACTCCTAATTGGTGACATCAGTAAATGACTCTACCATTGTGCCACAGAAAGTAAACATATGTAGGGATCAATTGAAAACATTAAAGACTTTCAAAAATTACTAGGGGACATTGATTGGATATGACACATACTAGGCATTCCTACCTATGCCATGAGTAATCTGTTTTCTATCCTTTGAGGAAATCCTAGTCTCACTAACCCTCAGCAATCAACAAAGGAGTCTGAGGTCGAGTTACAGCTGATTGAAAAGCAAGTCCATAAAGCTTAAATAAGTAGAATAGATCCAGAGAAGACTCTAGATTTGCTAATTTTTTCAACTCCACGTTCACCTACTGGTGTTATTGTCCAAGAGCAGGACTCAGTAGAGTGGCTTTTTCTTCCACATACTAATTCATGAACTCTAACTCTTTATTTAGATCAAATTGCTACTATGATAGGAATTGGGAGAACTCAGATTGTTAAATTACATGGATATGATCCTGGAAAAATTATTGTCCCTCTCAGGAAGACACAAATACATCAAGCTTTTATCAGTAGTCTTACTTGGCAAACCCATTTAGCTGACTTTGGGAGTATTCTCAATAACCATTTTCCTAAAACAAAGCTGTTTCAGGTTTTGAAATTAAGCAATAGGATTCTCCCTAAAATAACTAAATTTAAACCAATTGAGGTTGCTGAGAATGTTTTTACAAAGGGTCTAGTAATGGTAAAGCTTCTTATTCTGGCTCAAAAAGTGAAGTTTTCCAGATGCCTAAAAATGCAGAGCTGTTTGCTGTAATTGAGGTGACTGTTTTTGATATGCCTATTGATGTGATTTCTGTTTCTTCATACAAGGTTCATTCCACACAGTTAATTGAAAATGCTCAGTTAGGATTTCATACAGATGAACAACTGATGACTTTATTTACCAAAATACAAATAGCATTTAGAAGTAGAATGCACCCTTTGTACATCACTCATATTAGGGTTCATACACCTCTTCCAGGACTTTTGACTGAAGGGAATCAAATGGCTGATCATCTAGTCACTAATGCAATATCTAACAGTGGACACTTTCACAATTTAACTCATGTTAATGCCTCTGGCTTCAAATGCAGATACAGCATTACCTGGAAAGAAGCTAAAGCTATTATCCAGTGACGCCCAACTTGCCAAATGGTACATTCCTCATCTTTCATAGGAGGAGTTAATCCTCGAGGATTGGAACCTAACTCTCTTAGGCAAATGGATATCACACATGTTCCCTCGTTTGGGAGACTATCTTAGGTACATGTATGTGTGGACACCTTTTCTCACTTTGGGCTACTTGCCAATCAGGAGAGTCTTCTACCCGTGTTAAATGTCACCCTTTGTAGTGTTTTGTGGTGATGGGCATTCCCGCTACTATTAAAACAGATAATGCCCCAGGCTATACTAGCCAAGCTCTAGCTACATTTTTCTCTATGTGGAATATTAAACATGTTACTGGTATCCCATACAGTTCTCAAGGACAAGCCACAGTGGAAAGAATGAATCTCTCTCGAAAACAGCAGTTGCAAAACCAGAAAGGGGGTGAAAGAGAATATGGAACCCTGCAGATGCCACTGAATCCAGCATTATTAACTTTAATTTTTTGAGCCTGCCCAAAGGCCAGATGCTATCAGCAGCTGAACAACATCTACAGAAACCAGCTACAAAGACAGAAGCAGAACAACTGATTTGGTGGAGAGATCCGATTATGAAAAGTTGGGAAACAGGTAAAATAATAACTTGGGGTAGAAGTTATGCTTGTGTTTCTCCAGGCCAAAATCAACAGACAATCTGGATACCATCAAGACACCTGAAACTTTATTGTGAGCCAGATGCTGAGAAAGAGACCCCAGGAGGATCCTGAGGACACCCCAGTTGCAGCCATGTTGAGACTGATGCTGAGGGGGACACCAACTGTCATGAGCAACACCCATCAAACACAGCCACCCTCCTGGGGACAGATTAAGAAGCTGTCACAGATGGCAGAAGAAAACTTGAGGAAAGTGGGACAACCAGTCACAATGAATAATTTAATGGTAGCTATGATAGCAGTTATCACCACTGCCATGAGTATTCCTTCAATAAGGGCTGACAAAGAGAACAATTATACTTACTGGTAATATTTATCAATCTCGGCTGGCAATAATGCCTGGATGCAATCATTCTATGACACAGTTACACATGCTTTCTGATCTTGGTATTTACCATAATAAATTGGCTCCTATATTGAGGCAACTGCCCTCAAAAACCTATTTGTAAACAGGATTGGACCCAGTTAGAGAAAATGAACATACTTGTTTAGGAAGATTTGCATTGCAGAGCAGGCAGAGGCACTGCACAACGATTCCTATGATTCCCATGGAATCATTATTAATTAGTCCCCTAAGGGGATGTTTAGTTTGAATTGCACGTCTCAGTCTATGTGCCACGGCCACATAATGTTCAGATGATCTGAACAAAATGGTCAGATGATAGATATGATAAGAAATATAACAAAACTTCCTATTATCTGGAACCATGGTGGTATAGTGGCACCTCATCCTCAAATGATATGGCCCGCACTAAGGAGCTTAATATAAGGATTTGTAGAAACTATTAGATGCTCTTAATAAGATCAAAATTAGGGAAATAATAAAAAAGCATCTAGAAGGACACTCTACAAACTTGTTTTTGGATATAGCAAAATTAAAAGAACAAATATTTAAAGCATCCCAGGCACACCTGACTTTAATGCCAGGAACTGGAGTGTTTAAAGATCTGCAGACAAAGTAGCAGCAAGTCATCCATTAGAATGGATAAAAACACTTGGTAACTCTGTGATTTCAATGATGATTGTACTTTTAATCTTTATTGTTTGTCTTTGTATAGTCTGCAGATGCAGACCCTGACTCCTGTGAGAAGCAGCTCACCATGACAAAGCTGCCTTTGCTTTTATCAATTTGAAAATCAAAGAAGGGGTACATGTTGGGAGCAAGCTCCCCAAAAATCTGGCCATAAACTGGCCCCAAAACTGGCCATAAACAATAAGCACTGTGACATGGTCATGATGGCACTAATGCTGACACTGAAAGATTGGGGGTTTACCAGAATGAAGGCAAGAAACAACTGGCCTGTCCAGGGTGGAAAACCACTTAAAGGCTTTCTTAAGCCACAAACAGCATGAGAAATCTGTGCCTTAATGTCATGTTCCAGCTGCAGTTAACTACCCCAACCTATTCCTTTAATTTTGCCCATCCCTTCATAGCCCATAAGAGATACTTTAAGTTAATTTACTATCTATAGAAACAATGTTAATGACTGGCTTGCAGTTAATAAATTTGTGGGTAAGTGTCTGATTGAGGCTCTCAGCTCTGAAGACAGTGAGACCCCTGATTTCCCACTTCACACCTCTGTATTTCTGTGTGTGTGTTGTTAATTCCTCTAGCACCACTGGGTTAGGGTCTCCCTGAATGAGCTGGTCTTGGCAGAGGGCTATGGTGAAAAAGAAAATATCTTCAGATAAAAAGTAGAAAGAAGCTTTTGAGAAACTGCTTTGTGATGTGTGTTTTCATCTCACAGAATTAAACTTTTCTTTTGATTCAGCAGTTTGGAAACACTGGTTTTGTCCATTCCATTTGGGAGCTCATTGAGGCCAAGGGCAAAAAAAGCAAATATCCCAAGATAAAAAATTGAAGGAAGCTATCTGACAAACCGTTTTGTGATGTGTGCTTTCATCTCACAGAGACAAAACTTTCTTTTCATTCAGCAGTTTGGAAACACTGTTTTTGCAGAATCTGCAAAGGGATATTTGGGAGTGCATTAACTCCTATGGTGAAAAACAAAATAACTTCAGATGAAAAGTAGAAAGAACATTTTGAGAAACTGCTTCATGATGTGTGCATTCATCTCACAGAGTTAAACCTTTCTTTTGATTCAGCAGTTTGAAAACACTGTTTTTGTCTATTCTGCGAATGGACATTTGGGAGCTCACTAAGGCCAATGGTGAAAAAGTGAATATCCCAGGATAAAAAATAGAAGGAAGCCATCTGAGACATTGATTTGTGATGAGTGCATTCATCTCACATAGTTAAACTTTTCATTTCATGCAGCAATTTGGAAACGCTTTGTTTGTAGGGTCTGCATTGGGATATTTGGGAGCATATTGAGGCCAATGGTGAAAAAGAAAATTTCTTCAGATAAAAACTAGAAAGAAGTTTTCTGAGAAATTGCTTTGTGGTGTGAGCATTCATCTCACAGAATTAAACTTTTCTTTAGATTCAGCAGTTTGGAAACAGTTTTTGCCATTCTGCAAATGGACACTTGCAGGTTCATTGAGTCCAAAGGTGAAAAAGTGAATATCACAGGAAAAAAACTAGAAGGAAGCTATCTAAGAAATTGCTTTGTGATGTGTGCATTCATCTAGCAGGTTAAACCTTTCTTTTAGTTCAGCAGTTTGGAAACACTATTTTTGTAGAATCTGCAAAGGGATATTTGGGAGCCCATTGAGGCCCTTGGTGAAAAAGAAAAATCTTCAAATAAAAACAAGAAAGAAGCTTTCTGAGAAACTGCTTTGTGATGTGTGCATCCACCTCACAGAGTTAACCCTTTCTTTTCATTCACCAGTGTTGAAACACTGTTTTGTAGAATCTGTGAAGGCATATTTGGGAGCATGTTGAGGTCTATGGTGAAAAAGAAGATATCTTCAGATAAAAAGTAGAAAAAATCTTTCTGAGAAACTGCGTTGTGATGTATGCATTCATCTTACAGAGGTAAAACTTTCTTTTGATTCAAGAGATTATAAACACTGTTTTTGTCCATTCTGTGAATGAACATTTGGGAGCTTACTGAGGCCAATTGCGAATAAGCAAATGTACCATCATAAAGAGTAGATGGAACCTATCTGACAAACTGCTTCATGATGTGTGCATTCATCTCACAGCTTTAAACCTTTCTTTTCATTCAGCAGTTTGGATACATGGTTTTTGTAGAATCTATGAAGAGATAATAGGGAAAGTACTGAGGCCTAAGGTGAAAAAGAAAATATCTTCAGGTCAAAAGTAAAAGAAGCTTTTGGAGAACCTGCTTTGTGATGTGTGCATTCATCTCACAGAGTTAAACCTTTCTTTTGATGCAGCAGTATAGAAACACTGTTTTTCTCCTAACTGCAAATGGACATTTGGGAGCCATTGAGGCCAATGGTGAAAAAGTGAATATCTCAGGATAAAACTAGAAGAAACCTACCTAAGAAACCGCATTGTGATGTGTGCATTCATCTCACAGAGTTAAAGCTTTCTTTTCATTCAGTAGTTTGGAAACACTGTTTTGGTAGAATCTGCAAAGGAATATTTGGGAGCATATTGATGTCTATGGTGAAAAAGAAAGTATCTTCAGATAAAAACTACAAAGAAGCTTTCTGAGAAAATTCTTTGTGATATGTGCATTCATCTCACAGAGTTCAACCTTTTTTAGATTCAGCAGTTTGTAAACACTGTTATTGTCCATTCTGTGAATGGATATTTGGGAGCTCATTGAGGCCAATGGTGACAATTAAATTATCCCAGGATAAAAACTAGAAGGAAGCTATTAGAGAAACCACTTTGTGAGGTGTGTTTTTTCTTGCAGAGTTAAATCTTTCTTTTCATTCAGCAGTTTAGAAACACTATTTTTGTACAATCAACGAAGGGATATTTGGGAGTTCATTAAGGCCTATGGTGAACAAGAAAATATATTCAGAAAAAAAAAAAAAACAGAAAGAAGCCTTCTGAGAAACTGCTTTGTGAGGTGTGCATTCATCTCAAAGTGTTAAAACCTTTCTTTTGATTCGGAGTTTGGAAAAGCTGTTATTGTTGATTCAGCGAATGAATATTTTGGAGCTCATTGAGGACAATGGTGAAAAAGGGAATATCCCAGGATACAAACTAGAAAGAAGCTATCTGGGAAACCACTTTGTGATGTGTGCATTCATCTCACAGAGTTAAACTTTTCTTTCATTCAGCTGTTTGGAAACACTGTTTTTGTAGAATCTGTGAATGGATATTTGGGAGCACATTGAGGCCTATGGTGAAAAAGAAATTATCTTCAGATAAAAACTAGAAAGAAGCTTTCTGAGGAACTGCTTTGTGATGTGTGCATTCATCTCACATAGTTTAACCTTTCTTTTAATTTAGCAGTTCAGAAACATGGTTTTTAACCATCTGCAAATGGACATTCGGGAGCTCATTGAGGCAAATGCCAAAAAAGAGAACATGCCAGGATAAAAACTAGAAGGAAGCAATCTCAGAATCTGCTTTGAGATATTTGCATTCATCTCACAGAGTTAAACCTGTCTTTTCATTCAGCAGTTTGGAAACACTGTTTTTGTCCATTCTGTGGATGGACATTTTGAAGCTGATTGAGGCCAATGGTGAAAAAGCAAATATTCCATGATAAAAACTTTCAGGAAGCTATCTGAGAAACCGTTTTGTGATATGTGCATTCATCTCGCCCAGTTAAACTTTCCTTTTCACTCAGCAGTTTGGAAACACTGTTTTTGTAGAGTCTGCAAACGGATATTTGGGAGCGCATTGAGGCCACTAGTGAAAAAGCATATATGTCAGGATAAAAACTAGAAGAAAGGTATCAGAGAAACTGCTTTGTGATGCGTACATTGATCTTGCAGAGTTAAACATTTCTTTTCATTCAGCAGTTTGGGGACACTTTTTTGTAGAATCTGTGAAGGGATATATGGGAGAGCATTGAGGCCTATGGTCAAAAAGAAAATATGTTCAGATAAAAACTAGAAAGAAGCTTTCTGAGAAACTGCTTTGTGATAAGTGCATTCATCTCACAGAGTTAAACCTTTCTTTTGATTCCACAATTTGGAAACACTGGTTTTGTCCACTCTGTGAACAGACATTTGGGAGCTCATTGAGGCCAATGGTGAAAAAGGGAATATCCCAGGATAAAAACTAGAAGGAACCTATCTGAGAAACAACTTTATGACCTGTGCATTCATCTCACTGAGTTAAACCGTTCTATTCCTTCATCAGTTTGGGAACACTGTTTTTGAAAAATCTGCAAGGGCATATTTAGGAGCACATTGAGGCTTATGGTGAAAATATCTTCAGATCAGGATATAGGCATGGGCATGGAATACTATGGGCAAGGACTTCATGTCTAAAACACCAAAAGCAATGGCAACAGAAGCCAAAATTGACAAATGGGATCCAATTAAACTAAAGAGCTTCTGCACAGCAAAAGAAACTACCATCAGAGTGAACAGGCAACCTACAAAATGGGAGAAAATTTTCGCAACCTACTTATCTGACAAAGGGCTAATATCCAGAATCCACAATGAATTCAAACAAATTTACAAGAAAAAAACAAACAACCCCATCAAAAAGTGGGTGAAGGACATGAACAGACACTTCTCAAAAGAAGACATTTATGCAGCCAAAAAGCACATGAAAAAATGCTCACCATCACTGGCCATCAGGGAAATGCAAATCAAAACCACAGTGAGATACCATCTCCCACCAGTTAGAATGGCAATCATTAAAAAGTCAGGAAACAACAGGTGCTGGAGAGGATGTGGAGAAATAGGAACACTTTTACACTGTTGGTGGGACTGTAAACTAGTTCAACCATTGTGGAAGTCAGTGTGGCGATTCCTCAGGGATCTAGAACTAGAAATACCATTTGACCCAGCCATCCCATTACTGGGTATATAACCAAAGGATTATAAATCATGCTGCTATAAAGACACACACACACGTATATTTATTGCGGCATTATTCACAATAGCAAAGACTTGGAACCAACCCAAATGTCCAACAAGGATAGACTGGATTAAGAAAATGTGGCACATATACACCATGGAATACTATGCAGCCATAAAAAATGATGAGTTCATGTCCTTTGTAGGGACATGGATGAAATTGGAAATCATCATTCTCAGTAAACTACCGCAAGAACAAAAAACCAAACACCGCATATTCTCACTCATAGGTGGGAATTGACCAATGAGAACACATGGACACAGGGAGGGGAACATCACACTCTGGGGACTGTTGTGGGGTGGGTGCAGGGGGGGAGGGATAGCTTTGGGAGATATACCTAATGCTAGATGATGAGTGAGTGGGTGCAGCTCACCAGCATGGCGCTTGTATACATATGTAACTAACCTGGACATTGTGCACATGTACCCTAAAGCTTAAAGTATAATAATAATAAAAAATAAATAAATAAATAAAAAGCTAGAAAGAAGCTTTCTGAGAAACTGCTTGTGATGTGTGCATTCATCTAGCAGAGTTAAATCATTTTTTGATTCTGCAGTTTGGAAGCACTGTTTTTGTCCTGTCTGTGATCTGATATTTGGGAGCTCATTGAGGCCAACGGTGAAAAAGTGAATATCCCAGGATAAAAACTAGAAGAAACCTACCAGAGAAACTGCTTTGTGACGTTTGCCTTCATCTCACAGAATTAAAACTATCTTTTCATTCAGCATTTTGGAGACACTGATTTTGAAGACTCTGCGAAGGGATGTTTGGGAGCCCATTGAGGCCTATGGTGAAAAAGTGAATATCTTCAGATAAAAATTAGAAAGAAGCTATCTGAGAAACCACATTGTGATGTGTACATTCATCTCACAGAGTTAAACCTTTCTTTTCATTCAGCAATTTGGAAAAACTCTTTTTGTAGAATCTGCAGAGGGTTATTTCGGAGTGAATTGAGGCCTATGGTGAAAAAGAAAATATCTTCAGATAAAAACTAGAAAGAAGCTTTCTGAGAAACTGCTTTGTGATGTGTGAATTCATCTCAGAGAGTTAAAGCTTTATTTTAATTCAGCATTGTGGAAACATTGTTTTCGTAGAAACTGTGAAGGGATATTTTAGAACACAATGATGCCTATGGTGAAAAAGAAAATATCTTCAGATAAAAAGTAGAAAGAAGCTTTCTCAGAGACTGCTTTGTGAGGTATGCATTCATCTCCGATAGTTAAACCCTTCTTTTGATTCAGCAGTTTGGAAATACTGTTTTTTCCATTTTGCAAATGGATATTTGGGAGCTCATTGGGCCAATGATGAAAAAGCAAAGACCACAAGATAAAAACTAGAAAGAAACTATCTGAGAAACCACCTTGTGATGTGTGCATTCATCTCACAGAACTAAATCTTTTCATTCAGCAGTTTGGAAACACTGTTTTCGTAGAGTCTGTGAAGGGATATTTGTGAAGGCATTGAGGCCTATGGTGAAAAAGAAAAGATCTTTAGATAAAAACAAGAAAGAAGCTTTCTGAGAAACTGGTTTGTGATTTTTGCATTCATCTCACAGAGTTAAACTTTTCTCTTGAGTCAGCACTTTGGAAACCTGTTTTTGTCCATTGTGCAAATGGACATATGGGAGCTCATTGAAGGAAGTGGTGAAAAAGAGAATAACCCAGGATAAAAACTAGATGGAAGCTATCTGAGAAACTGCTATTTGATGTGTTCATTCATCTCCCAAAGCTAAAACTTTCTTTTCATTCAGCAGTTTGGAAACACTGTTTTTGTAGAATCTGTGAAGGGACATTTGAGAGTGCTTTGAGGCCAATGGTGAAAAAGAAAATATCCTCAGATAAAAAATAGAAGGAAGCTTTCTGTGAAACTGTTTGTAATGTGTGCATTCTTGTCACAGAGGTAAACCTTATTTTTACTCAGCTTTTTGGAAACACTTTTTTCTTCCGTTCTGCAAATGGACATTTGGGAGCTCATTGAGGCCAAAGGCGAAAAAGGGTAGATTTATCCCAGGATAAAAACTAGAAGGAAGGTATCTGGGAAACCACTTTTTGATGTGTGCATTCACTTGCAGAGTTAAACCTTTCTTTTCATTCAGCAGTTTGGAAACATTGTTTTTGTAGAATCTGTGAAGGGATATTTGGGAGTGCATTGAGGCCTATGGTGAAAAAGAAAATATTTTCAGATAAAAAGTAGAAAGAAGTTTTCTGAGAAACTGCTTTGTGATGTGCACATTCATCTCACAGTGTCAAATCTTTCTTTTGATCCAGCAGTTTGGAAACACTGTTTTTGTCCAATCTGAGTATGAACATTTGGGAGCTCATTGTGGCCAATGTGAAAAAGTGAATATTCCAGGATAAAAAAAGAAGGAAGCTCTCTGATAAACTTCTTTGTGATGTGTGCATTCTTCTCACAGTGTTAAACCTTTCTTTTCATTTAGCAGTTTTGGAAACAGTGTTTTTGTAGAATCTGCAAAGGGTGCATTGATGTCTATGGTGAAAAAGAAAAAGAAAATACCTGAGAAGGGTGCATTGAGGTCTATGGTAGGACCTGCGAAGGGTGCATTGAGGCCTATGGTGAAAAAGAAAATACCTCTGTATAGAAACTAGAAAGAAGCTTTCTGAGAAACTGCTTTTTGATGTGTACATTCACCTCTGAGTTTACCATTTCTTTTGATTCAGCAGTCTGGAATCATTGTTTTTTTTTCCATTCTGTGAATGGACATTTGGGAGGTCAACGAGGCCAATGGAGAAAAATGAATATCCCAGGATAAAAACTAGAAGGAAGCTATCTGAGACTGCTTTTTGATGTGTGCATTCATTTGGAAGATTTAAACCTTTCTTTTCACTCTTCAGTTTGTAAAACTGCTTTTATAGAATCTGCAAAGGGATATTTGGGAGTGCATTGAGCCCTATGGTAAAAAAGAAAATATCTTCACGTAAAAAGTAAAAGGAAGTTTTCCTAGAAACTTTTTGTGAAGTGTGTATTCATCTCACAGAGTTAAAATTTCCTTTTAATTCAGCAGTTTGGAAACACTGTTTTTGACCATTCTACAAATGGACATTTGTGAACTCATTCTGGACAATGGTGAAAAAGTGAATATCCCAGGATAAAAACTAGAATGATGCTATCTGAGAAACTGCTTTGTGATTTGTGTATTCAACTCACAGAGTTAAAACTTTCTTTTGATTCACCTGTTTGGAAACGCTGTTTTTGTCCATTCTATGAATGGACCTTTGGGAGCTCATTGAGGCCAATGGCAATAAATGAATACCCTAGGATAAAAACTAAAGGAAGCTATCTGAGAAACTGCTATTTGATGTGTTCATTCATCTCCCAAAGCTAAAACTTTCTTTTCATTCAGCAGTTTGGAAACACTATTTTTGTAGAATCTGCATAATAACATCTGGGATCACATTGAAGCTTAGGCTGAAAAACAAAATATCTTCAGATAAAAACTAGAAACAAACTTTCTGAGAAACTGCTTGGTGATCTGTGAATTCATCTCACAAAGTTAAACCTTTCTTTTAATTCAGCAGTCTGGAAACACTGTTTTTGTCCATTCTGCAAATGGACATTTCGGCGCTCATTGAGGCCAGTGTCAATAAAGCAAATATACTAGGATAAAAACTAGAAGGAAGCTAACTGATACCAGGATAAAAACTAGAAGGAAACTAACTGAGAATCCACTTTGTGATTTGTGCATTCATCTCAAAAAGTTCAACTTTTCTTTTGACACGGCAGTTTGGAAGCACTGTTTTTGTCCATTCTGCAAATGGACATTTGGGAGCTCATTGAGGCCAGTGGCGAAAAAGAGAATCTCCCAGGATAGAAACTAAAAAAAAGCTATCAGAGAAACCGTTGTGTGATGTGTGCATTCAACTAGCAGAGTTAACCCTTTCTTTTCACTCAGCAGTTGGGAAACACTGTTTTTGTAAAATCTGCGAAGGAATATTTGGGAGTGCATTGAGGCCTATAGTGAAAAAGAAAATATCTTCTGATAAGCAAGAAATTTTCTGAGAAACTTCTTTGTGATGTGTGCCTTCATCTCATAGTGTTAAACTTTATTCTGATTCAGCAGTTTGCAAACCTGTTTTTGTTTATTCTGCAAATGGACTTTTGGGAGCTCCTTGAGGTTATTGGTGAAAAATCAAATATCCTAGTATAAAAACTAGGAAGAAGCTATCTGAGAAACCACATTGTGATGTGTTCATTCATCTTGAAGAGTTAATTCTTTCTTTTCATTCCACAGTTTGGAAACACTGTTTTTGTACAATTGACAAAGGGATATTTGGGATCTCATTGAGGCCAATGGTGAAAACGTGAATACCCCAGGGTAAAAACTAGAAGGAATATATCTGAGAAACCACTTTGTGATGTGTATACTCATCTCACAGAATTAAACCTCGCTTTTCAATCAGCAGTTTGGAAACACGGTTTTTGTAGACTCTGCAAAGGGATATTTGAGAGCACATTGAGGCCTATTGGTCAGAATACCTAAAGTAGGTCTTAAATAATTAATGTTACCCAAAAGTTTTTGAAGTCATTTAAAGTTTTCAAAGGATCTCTCCTAATTTGAAATTTTGAGGTTGAATAAATTGTTTATGACCACCATTCCTAAATTTTGAACAGGAGTGGTCTGTTGAATTTTATCCTGAGCAATGTGTAATCCAGCCTCTGTAACACAGTGGCTCAAAATTTGATTACAAACAATTAATTCTTTATCAGTTGGGGGCAGCAATTAAAATATCATCAATATAATAAATAATATAGGCCTGGGGGAATTGGGCTCGAACTGGTGAAAGCACTTGTCCAACATAATGCTGGCAGATTGTAGGGCTATTCAGCATTCCCTGAGGAAGTATCTTCCATTGATAACAAGGTGCAGGCTCCTGATTTTTAATAGACAGTACAGTAAAAGCAAATTTTTCACAATCCAATTTATGTAAAGCAATATGAAAAAAACAATCTTTAAGATCAATAACTATGAGAGGCCAATTTTTAGGTACTAAAGCAGGGGCAGGCATGTCATGTTGGATAGCCCCCATAGGTTTAATTACAGTGTTAATGGCTCTTAAATCAGTTACCATCTGCTACTTGCCTGATTTCATTTTACTAGAAACACAGGAGTATTCCAGGGGGAAAGAGAAGGTTCCACATTTACAAGTTGTAACTGTTCAGAAACCAAGTGAGTTAAAGCCTCCAGTTTTTGTTTAGAGAGCAGCCACTGCTGAATCCAAACCAGTGTCTCAGATTTCCATTGTAAAGGGATAGGGTCAGGAGGCATGGCAGCAGCCACCACTGAAAAGAATAACCTAAACCTGCCCTGTTTCTTTTATAGCAACTGGGAGGGGTTTAGTAATCCCTTCATGCTTTGGACCGAGACCGAGCCCAGGAACAAACCCCATGTTTTCCATCATATGCTGATTGGGAGCACTATAAGAGTTATATGGAATATTAATTTCAGCCCCCCATTGTACCAGTAAATCTCTACCCCAGAGATTAATGGGAATTGGCATGATTTAGGGCTGAATTGTACCATTTTGACCATCTGGGCCAGTGCAAGGCAAGATAAATGTGCTCTCATACACTTCCTCAGCTTTTCCAACACCTACTAGTCCCATGTTAGTGGGATGTTTAAGCCAGGAAGAAGGCCATAAACTAGAGGAAATAACAGAAACATCAGCCCTGGTATCCACTAGACCCTCAAACTTTTTTCCTTGAATATATATGGTGCAGGTGGGCAGTTGTTTAGAAATTACATTAGTCCAATAAGTGGCCTTTTCACTGCTGGAGCCCATCCCAGGGCCACTCATCTTATCTCCTTTCTTTAAAATGATATTAGGTAGTAAAAGCAATTGAGCAATTGACTCACTGGCCTGAATGGAAACAGGAGCCTTGGCAGACACAATTAATTTAATGTCATCAACAGAATCAGAATTAATGAGACCAGTATGAATGGTGATTCCTTTAGCAGAGGTGGATGCCCTTCCTACCACCAGGCCCACTAAACCTTGAGGTAAATGGCCAGTGACCCCTGGGGGATAATTAAAGGCAAAGAGTTAGGTAGTAAATTTAGAGGAATAGTATTACAGAGATCGACCACCCTGCCCCTTACCATGGAGGTGGATAAGCATTGTACTGAGACAGAGGGAAAGGCTGGGACCCATCTGGGTTGGCTGTAGGTAAATTTGTTTGTGCTGGGGGTTGTTGGGACTGCCTGAAGTTGGACGCAATGTTGGTCTGAGTCTGAAGCATCTCATTTGATATCGGGGCCTGGGACAAGATCTGCTCCCTATTCCCCTGGTTTTGTGGTAGGGGGTTTCCATTTATATCATACTTAAAGTGACAATTACTAGCCCAATGTTTACCTTTACCACGTGGACTAATAGTAGCAGCAGCATTTGGCCATGTTTGTTGAGCCAGCTTGGAAGCTTTTAAGTTTTTAACAGTGCAATTTTTCTGAGTATGACCAAGTTGAGCATGATTATAGCACTCTCCAAGAAAAGAATTAGTGGGGCCAGTTTGATTGGTATCCTTCATGGCCTGTGCCCACAGGATAGCCTTGTGGGTGTCTGATCCAATGTCTTCACATGCTTTAATATATGCAGGCAACACCTCATGATCAGGCAAATTTTGTCATTGGACAGAATGCTTGACCATTTTACACTCATGGTTCGCATTTTCAAAAGCTAACGTACAAAGGAGAATACCTTCAGCACGCTCATCAGAGACAGACTTTTCAACAACATCTTGCAATTTTGCTAAAAAATCAGGGTACAATTCAGTGTGACCTTGTTTAATGGTAGTAAAAGAAACAGGAGGTTGGCCTGGGTCGTGTCATTTATCCCAAGCTCTCATACACACCTTTGTTACTTGTTCCGTGGTAAGAGCATCAAAGTTTAATTGGGCATAAGTATCAAAGAAATTATCGGAGCCTGTGAGCTGAGTCTGAGTAACTAGAATGCCATTAGTCCAACTTAGCTGAGCCTGCAAATTAGCCTTTCTAACCACCAGGTACGAAATTGTAAATGCTGAGATGGGGTCAGAACAGTTTTGCAAAAAGTTCCCAGTCTAAAATAAGTAAAGTGACCTCTGTAAAAAAAAAGGTTGTAATAGCATTTTAACATAAGGAGAAGTAGGACCATACTGAGTCCAAGCATCCTTAAATTCTTTTAAAAAGGTAAGATTAAGAGGTACATAGAGACACATTTGTAACCCTAGGAAGTTAGGAGCGTCTAGCATGACTGGATAAGTCCACACGTCTAATCCACTTGTTTCTTTGTTTTGGCATAATAAGTGTTGCATTGAAGTTTCAAGAGTAGGCATCTGGATGGAGTCAGCATAGAAGTGACAGGAAAATCATGTGTAGATAACGGAAACGGAGGGTGAGGGGGTCAGACAGGAATGAGAATGTGAGAAAGGGGTATTGGAGGAGCAGAAGTATACTGGTGATTACTGGCGTCCATGTGTGAAGAAGGGTACAGAGAAGCACGCTGAGTGGATGGCAAACTGACTGGCTGAGGAACCAAAACAACACGAGGGCGAGGGGCTGAAGTGGATGGGGGAGGACCTGCAGAATTATAGGCGCATTGTAGTTTGGTCCTGGAGCCATTAGTTGACTCTGGAGGTTTGAAAAGAGAAGAATTAGCGTATATATATGGTCCTGGGCTGTGTGACTTGGGGCTGCGGGAGCTACAAGTACCGGCTCTTTGTGAAAAGAAATAAGATAAGCAGGAGCTAACATTAAGCCAAAGTCACTGGAGTTAGACATTGAATTTTCAACAGGAGGAGGAGGAGTAAGTGAAGGGAGAGGATGATCAGATAACGAAGGCCATGTGGGAGAGGATGGCTGAGGAAAAGTCAGAGAAACTGAGGAAAAGGCAAAAAACTGTGACTACTGCAGGGGTTCATGGGAACGGCATGCCACCAAGACAGAACGCACAATTCCCAACCACCCCAAACAGTGACGGGGAGAAAATTCCCTGTTGAGACCAGTGCCTGGAATGCTGCACCAACACCGTCCCATACTTTGCCATATAAGGTTCCTTTTTCAGGAAACCAAGGACATTATTTTTCCACTGTCCTGAATAGAGTGACCATATTTTCCATGGTTACTTGGACCCTTCCCTGTTTTAATAGGTCTGCATTTAAATTTCCTTTTTCAGGAGATGAAGGGCAGAATTTTACCACTGCCCTAAAGAGTGACCGTATTTTCCATGGGGACTCGAACCCTTTTATGTTTTAACTGGAGTTTAATATAGAAGAGATGAGTATAATTTTTAGACTCCGTGTGACCCATAGTTAACCTGGACCATACACAGACTACTCACCAGTCATCAGGGAGTGAAACAAGCCTCTCTGAGGACCTAACCGATAACATTTCTCTGCACCTACCAAAGGGAATCAGGTTCCCACATGCACCTGGGAAAAAGAAAAAATAACGTGGGCCCCAGATATAGGGGAAACCCACCCCCAATGATTCAAGATGGGTCCTTTTATTTATTATACTTTAAATTTTAGGGTACATGTGCACAATGTGCAGGTTAGTTATGTATGTATACATGTGCCATGTTGGTGTGCTGCACCCATTAACTCGTCATTTAACATTAGGTATATCTCCTAATGCTATCTCTCCCCCCACGCCCACCCCACAACAGGCCCCACTGTGTGATGTTCCCCTTCCTATGTCCATGAGTTCACATTGTTCAATTCCCACCTATGAGTGAGAACATGCGGTGTTTGGTATTTTGTCCTTGTGACAGTTTACAGAGAATGATGGTTTCCAGCTTCAGCCATGTCTCTACAAAGGACATGAACTCATCACTTTTTATGGCTGCATAGTATTCCATGGTGTATATGTGCCACATTTTCTTAATCCAGTCTATCATTGTTCAACATTTGGCTTGGCTCCAAGTCTTTGCTATTGTGAATAGTGCTGCAATAAATATACCTGTGCATGTGTCTTTATAGCAGCATGATTTAAAATCCTCTGGGTATATACCCAGTAATGGGATGGCTGGGTCAAATGGTATTTCTAGTTCTAGATCCCTGAGGAATCTCCACACTGCCTTCCACAGTGGTTGAACTAGTTTACAGTCCCACCAACAGTGTAAAAGTGTTCCTATTTCTCCACATCCTCTCCAGCACCTGTTGTCTCCTGACTTTTTAATGATCACCGTTCTAACTGGTGTGAGGTGGTATCTCATTTTGGTTTTGATTTCCATGTCTCTGATGGCCAATGATGATGAGCATTTTTTCATGTGCTTTTTGGCTGCATAAATGTCTTCTTTTGAGAAGTGTCTGTTCGTATCATTCACCCACTTGTTGATGGGGTTGTTTGTTTTTTTCTTGTAAGTTTAAGTTCTTTGTAGATTCTGGATATTAGCCCTTTGTCAGATGAGTAGATTGCAAAAATTTTCTCCCATTCTATAGGTTGCCTGTCCACTCTGATGGGAGTTTCTTTTGATGTGCAGAAGCTCCTTAGTTGAATTAGATCCCATTTGTCAATTCTGGCTTTTGCTGCCATCGCTTTTGGTATTTTAGACATGAAGTCCTTGCCCATGTCTATGTCCTGAATGGTATTGCCTAAGTATTCTTGTAGGGTTTTTATGGTTTTAGGTCTAACATGTAAGTCTTTAATCCATCTTGATTTAATTTTTGTAGAAGGTGTAAGGAAGGGATCCAGTTTCAGCTTTCACATATGGCTAGCCTGTTTTCCAAGCACCATTTATTAAATAGGGAATCCTTTCCCCATTGCTTGTTTTTGTCAGGTTTGTCAGAGATCAGATGGTTGTAGATGTGTGATATGATTTCCGAGGGCTCTGTTCTGTTCCATTGATCTATATCTCTGTTTTGGTACCAGTGTCATGCTATTTTGTTTACTGTAGCCTTGTAGTATAGTTTGAAGTCAGGTAGTTTGATCCCTCCAGCTTTGTTCTTTTGGCTTAGGATTGACTTGGCAATGTGGACTCCTTTTGCTTCCATATGGACTGTAAAGTAGCTTTTTCCAATTGTGTGAAGAAAGGCATTGGTAGCTTGATGGGGATGGCATTGAATCTATAAATTACCTTGGGCAGCATGGCCAATTTCACGATATTGATTCTTCCTGCCCATGAGCATGGAATGTTCTTCCATTTGTTTGTATCCTCTTTTATTTCATTGAGCAGTGGTTTGTAGTTCTCCTTGAAGAGGTCCTTCATATCCCTTGTAAGTTGGATTCTTAGGTATTTTATTCTCTTTGAAGTAATTGTAAATGAGAGTTCACTCATGATTTGGCTCTCTGTTTGTCTGTTATTGGTATTTAAGAGTGCTTGCGATTTTTGCACATTGATTTTGTATCCTGAGATTTTGCTGAAATTGCTTATCAGCTTAAGGAGATTTTGGGCTGAGATGATGGGGTTTTCTAAATATACAATCATGTCATCTGCAAACAGGGACAATTTGACTTCCTCTTTTCCTAATTGAATACCCTTTATTTCCTTCTCCTGCCTAATTGCCCTGGCCAGAACTTCCAACACTATGTTGAATAGGAGTGGTGAGAGAGGGCATCCCTGTCTTGCGCCAGTTTTCAAAGGGAATGGTTCCAGTTTTTGCCCATTCAGTATGGTATTGTCTGTGGGTTTGTCATAGATAGTTCTTATTGTGTTGAGATACATCCCATCAATACGGAATATACTGAGTTTTTAGCATGAAGGGTTGTTGAATTTTGTCAAAGGCCTTTTCTGCAACTATTGAGATAATCATGTGGTTTTTGTCTTTGGCTCTGTTTATATGTTGGATTACATTTATTGATTTGCGTATGTTGAACCAGCCTTGCATCCCAGGGATGAAGCCCACTTGATCATGGTGGATAAGTTTTTGATGTTCTGCTGGATTTGGTTTGCCAGTATTTTATTGAGGATTTTTGCGTCGATGTTCTTCAGGGATATTGGTCTAAAATTCTCTTTTTTTGTTGTGTCTCTGCCCAGCTTTGGTATCAGGATGATACTGGCCTCATAAAATGAGTTAGGGAGGAGTCCCTCTTTTTCTATTGATTGGAATAGTTTCAGAAGGAATGGTACCAGCTCCTCCTTGTACCTCTGGTAGAATTCGGCTGTGAATCCATCTGGTCCTGGACTTTTTTTGGTTGGTAATCTATTAATTATTGCCTCAGTTTCAGAGTCTGTTATTGGTCTATTCACAGATTCAACTTCTTCCTGGTTTAGTCTTGGGAGGGTGTATGTGTCCAGTAATTTATCCATTTCTTCTAGATTTTCTAGTTTATTTGTGTAGAGGTGATTTTAGTAATCTCTTATGGTAGTTTGTATTTCTGTGGGATCGGTGGTGATATCCCCTTTATTGTTTTTTATTGTATCTATTTGATTCTTCTTTTCTTCTTTATTAGTCTTGCTAGTGGTCTATCAATTTTGTTGATCTTTTCAAAAAACCAGCTCCTGTATTCATTGATTTTTGAAGGTTTTTTTGTGTCTCTATTTCCTTCAGTTCTGCTCTGATCTTAGTTATTTCTTGCCTTCTGCTAGCTTTTGAATGTGTTTGCTCTTGCTTCTCTAGTTCTTTTAATTGTGATATTAGGTTGTCCATTTTAGATCTTTCCTGCTTTCTCTTGTGGGCATTTAGTGCTATAAACTTCCCTCTACACACTGCTTTAAATGTGTCCCAGAGATTCTGGTATTTTTTGTCTTTGTTCTCGTTGGTTTCAAAGAACATCTTTATTTCACCTTCATTTCGTTATGTACCCAATAGTCATTCAGGAGGAGGTTGTTCAATTTCCATGTAGTTGAGTGGTTTTGAGTGAGTTTCTTAATCCTGAGTTCTAGTTTGATTGCACTGTGGTCTGAGAGACAGTTTGTTATAATTTGTATCCTTTTACATTTGCTGAGGAGTGCTTTACTTCCAACTGTGTGGTCAGTTTTGGAATAGGTGTGGTATGCTGCTGAGAAAAAAGTATATTCCGTTGATTTGGATGGAGAGTTCTGTAGATGTCTTCATAGGTCTGCTTGGTGCAGAGCTGAGTTCAATTCCTGGATATCCTTGTTAACTTTCTGTCTCATTGATCTGTCTAATGTTGACAGTGAGGTGTTAATGTCTCCCATTATTATTGTGTGGGAGTCTAAGTCTTTTTGTACGTCTCTAGGGACTTGCTTTATGAATCTTGGTACTCCTTTATTGGGTGCATATATATTTAGGATAGTTAGCTCTTCTTATTGAATTGATCTCTTTGCCATTTTGTAATGGCCGTCTTTGTCTCTTTTGATTTTTGTTGGTTTAAAGTGTGTTTTATCAGAGACTAGGATTGAGACACGTGTCTTTTTTTGTTTTCCATTTGCTTCGTAGATCTTCCACCATCCCTTTATTTTGAGCCTACGTGTGTTATTTTCTCATGGCAGTTGGAGTAAACCAATACAATGGGGCTTGTGTTTTGGAGCAAAACAGTTTAAGTGGGCCTCAGGACATAAATGGAAATTTTCGCCAAGATTATTCTTCTGTGGAGTATGAATGAAGAAAACTTTAGGCCACACTATTGCCTCTGTAGAAACAGACAACCTCAACAGTTATCCAAGAACAAGAGTTGAAATCCAGTGGTAATTATATTAGCTAAACTTTTTCTACTGGCAATTTTCTCCTGCACATTTCAAAGAAATGTGGGAAGAAAACAAAAGACACTTTCAGAATAAATGGATGATCCTTAATTATATGATTTTCTTTGCCAAAAATAAAGATTATTTTCTCCCATATCTTTTATTTTAGCAACACATTTTTGTAAAAGCTACTTGCAGAAATGTTCTGAAAACTGACATTTTCAAGCAGGTCCAGGCACTGCACAGGGCATTGAGACAGCCCTCTCAGCATGTTTACCTCTGCTTTTCCCTGCACCAAGTTCTGATCTCAGAGGGAGATTTGAACTCATTATGAAATAGAATTCACTTTCCAGAACTGGGTACCATATGTCTTCCTTGGTGATAAGGTTGACATTTGCATCCATTGAAAATACATAAGACAAGTCATTCTTGTGCTAATGCTCAAGGGAAGAAGCTGCTGCTGACTTAAACCCAAGCATTGACAGATAGTAGCCCTGGAATCCTGCAGGATTTCACATCAGCACATCTTCCACAAGGTGCAATTGTTAGGCGTCCTGCCTTGGAATTTTGAAACAGATAATAGATAAAGAGGTAAAAGGAAGTTAGAATTTTTGCTTTCTCTTCATCTTTTGTCTCCATAGCTTACACTGCTCATTGAGAGACTTTCCTCTCTGTTCAGTTTCCACTTGTTTCTGTTTTATATGCGGTAAGTTTCTCTATAGAAAATTTTAATAGTCCATTGTGCTGTTTTAATTGGAAAATGTGAATATTAACTTATATCAGCATAAAGTTGAGAAAAATGCGTTTACTGAGGTTTCTTTTTGTTCACTACATTCTATCAGTTTCCCATTATCACCTTTGAGTAATATTTTGTGGCAGAACCAGAATAAAAAGTATGTAGAAATAACCATTTTTATTATTCTCTGATTAATATGACCTTGTTAAACACAAATTTCTAAGGTATAATAATGATGTTAACTTACACTCATTTTCTAATTGATTTTTACATCTTAAAAGTATTCGAGTTCTTGCTTTGCTATTTATGTGACTTTAGTCAAACCATCCTAAATCACCACAGTTACCTAACATGTCTATCATCCTAAAAACACTAGACATAATGTTATTTAATTATTTGATGGCCAATTATCCATCTTGGATTTTGGAAAAATGTGGGGTTGGTTAACATTTCACTAGAGGACAGGAAGAGGAAGAGAGAATTAATAAAACTTGAATTCATTATCTTTATGGTAATTGGGTATTTGAATACCTAAGACTTCTCTTTAAATTACTGAAGTAATAGGGAATAGTTTAGCTTTTAGTGGGTTATTTTGTTACATTCTAGCAATGCAACCAGGCTGAACACATTACAGAGTACAAAAACATAAGGGGGGGTGGGGGAGTGGGAGGAGTGGCATGTCAAAAGCAATGCTTGGGTAGTAAAGAGGGCCTGGCTTTTTGCCTTGCCTCTGTCCCTGTTTTTCTGTGTGATCTGTCACATTCACAAAGTCTGTCACATTTTCCTCATCTATAAACAGTAGTAGTGAGACCTTGTCTGGTATCATTTGGATTGTGTGGCCTCTAAATCTCATCTGGATATGTGATTCCTAGTGTCAGAGGTGGGGCCTGGTGGGAGTGTTTGGGTCATGGGATGGATCCCTCGTGCCTTAGTGCTGTCCTCTTAATAGTGAGTGAGATCTTGTGAGATATGGTGTTTCCGGGTGCATGGCATTTCTGCCCCACTCTCACTTTCCTGCTACTACATTCGCCATGTGACATATCTGTTCCTGCTTGGCCTTCCACCTTGAGTAAAAGTGCCCTGCCTGAGGTCTCCCTAGAAGCTGAGCAGATGCCAGTTTCAAGCTTGTACAGCCTGTGGAACTGTGAGTGAATTAGACCTCTTTTCTTTATAAATTACCCAGGTTCCAGTATTCCTTTATAGCAATGCAAGAATAGCCTAACATGTTGTCAATCTATGAAGATTCTTGTGATTAAATTAGGTAATGAATAAAATTCAGTTAGAAAATATTTAAGTATAAAGTATTCTCACTATTAATTGGAGGCTAATTTATTTGTTATCTTGAATGGTGAGTTAGTCTAAGCATGAAAAGATTATTTTGTATTACTCCTCAGAACTGGTATTGGATTGTGCTTAATGTTATGTACCTTTTATTTAAATAATATTCTTATAGATTTAAAAACATATTTACATGGTCTCATTTAATTTTGTATACACCTTATAGGCTCCATGATATTGGGCAAGATGTCTTGTTATGGTAGGTATTTGGTAGCTGATGAAATGGATCTTGAATGAACGAATTACCTAATAAATGCAAGAATGTTCAAGGTATTTGGATGTCACAAAAGGAAAAGGAAATTAGATGGTAAAGTATTGTAAAATAAGTTTATGCTACATCGTTTAAAATATGTTGCATGATTTCCAGTAATGATGTAAGTTGAGAAGAAAAAAACTATCTGCCTCAAATTATTATTTTGCATTATTATTTCAAGTAGTTAGTACAATTTTCTTATCATTAAAAAATTATTTTTCTCTTGTCAAAAATACCTAGAATAAAAGTTTAGCCTGCTTTATTACCCTGAATGCACTGGTGGAGAATGATGGATGACTGTTATGAGCTAAACTTTTGGGAAATTTGACCTATTCTAGCAGTATTCGGGAGATCAGAAAAGGCACTGGGGTGAATATGTAAGACAATAAACATCAACCTAAAACTAAATGTACCTGTCTTTGTCAGGTTTAAAATTCGAAAATAGAGACTTCCATTGAGATGCAATGGAAGATTTAGGAAATGCATCTGCCTCCTTCCCTTTCTTCTTCCCTCTCTTCCTGCCTCCTTTTTCCTTTTCCTTCATTTTTACTTTCCTTCAGTTCTTTGACTCCTTTTCATGCCCCATCTAGTTTATAAATGATTCTACTTTTCTGACATTCCACAATTACTGCCATTTGCTTTCAGATAAGTAATTTCTCTCTGCTTCAGAAGATGAAACTATAGAGTCTGGACTTGTCCACTGTTTCCTTTAGCCATCTTCTCACCATTGTTATTATGACAATTTATCAATGCTTCACAAGATATTTCTTTTAATTCTTGTGTTTTTTTAATACTTAAGTCCTTAACCAAATATAACTAGTATCATCACCCACATAATATAGAGTTACCTAAATAAAACACAAATGTAATTAGCTACCCATGTAACAAAAATGGCTTATCTGTTTTTTCCATGGTAAGTTGAAGAGAAAATCTAGTTATGTACCTAAGAGCACATTTTGCTTGTAATATATATTTTTTATTCAGTGGGAAAGCAGCTGGAGCTTTGAAAATTGAAATATTTGATAGCTTAAAAGAATTACAGATAATACTGTAAAGCTCTAACATTTTAAGAGAGAATATATTGGATTCATATATATATACATACATACGTATACATATACATACATACGTATACATATACATACATACGTATACATATACATACATATATACATATGTATGTATACACATACATACGTACATATGTATATGTATACACATACATACGTACGTATGTATGTGTATACATATACATACGTATATATATACATATGTACTGATATTTTAGCCCCAGTTTCAAGATTCTGTACTATTTTCACCATAAATACAGTATTTAGAATGTATTTCCCAATTTTATCTCTGTAACATGTTACAAAATTTGCATTTGAAAGAGGGATATGATATTACCTTTACAAAAGAATTACTTATAAAACTCTGTAAAACGTCTGTATAAAGATACATCATAGTAATTATACTGAATGTGGAAGTTATTTAACATTAATTTAAAATAGCTTAAAAATAAAACCTAATAGTATTTTATTCAAGCCTGGTACTAGAATGTATTCTGCATATCAGATTTTATTATTTTAATTATTTTATTCTAGTTGTACTATGTTACACTTGCATATCTGAGTTTTTATCCATTTCTCCTGTATATATGTATGAAACAGTTCTCTTATTTATCAATGTATTGTAATCTCAATGTAATAAAATTTTTAATTAACCTCTCATATTTGAAACCATGACTTCAATTTTCTTGCATTATAAGATGATTTATTTTCTCCAAATATAGATATTTCTAGAAATTTCCCTATTAGGAATGTCCCTATATCTATGACTAAAACACAAATTATGTCCCAATATTGTGCATGTGTACTATGACATATAAATCAAGTATATAGATTTCTTAAAGTGTATGTAAACAAATAGTAACTGTAAAATATATAACGTAATTATATAAGCAAATTGATATATTATGAGGGCTAACACTTTGAAAAGCCTTTTAAAATTAAAATATTTGAGTTAATAGGTCTGTGTGCTGCCCAGTACAATACACTACAAACTATTTTTCTCTGAGACAATTAGGTTTACCCATCTAATTTTTAATCTTCTTATCCTGACTATTAATCAAATGTAAAGCTTAGTTAATGTAAATAAAAATTCACTGAGAGTTAACAAAATGAGAATACTAACTCAGGTTATACTTCTTTGTGGCTTTGTGCAAATCACTTATGTTCTTTTACCTTTTGGGGCTGTTCAAAATTTGTATCACAAACTTCTGGAAAACATGCTTTATTTCCCTAATCGCAATTGATTCCTGCTCTCTGCATTTTTACCGTCCAGTGTTTGACCATAGAATATACTACATTTTTCTACTTATGTTTCAATTTAAGATTATTTCCCTCACTAGATTTTAAATTCTTCATGGTCAAAAAACAGGTCTTTTCCTGCAGTGTACCTCAGGACATTTTGGACTAAATTCTTAATGACAAATTGATAAGCCTGAAACTCTGAGGGATCTGGGATGCTACCCTACTTGCAAACTGAAGAGTTACCATTCTGCAGAAACTTAAGACCTCTAGGTCAGTGGAAAGACCATTTAATCATGGAACATCTTTCACGAGTCTCCATGTCACAAATCCCTGCAAGCCATGCAGTGAGAGCTAAATTTGTACCAAAGAAGAGGAGTTCTGAAATATGAAACCTGGAGCTTACATAGGGTGCTGCAAGGTCTGACATTCTCCTCTTGGAAAAAGAAAGTGAAACTTTGCTATGGAATGTAGACGAATCCTCTCTAGGAAAAAAGGATAAGGTTACTAAGTCACTACTCTGAAATGAAAAGAAATAGCTCTGAGAGATACATCTCTGGTCATTCTGGTGGCTCTATCAGTATAGTTGCTATGCAATCATCCTTTAATTCAAGTGCCAGTGCTCTCTGCTCAAAGTACTCTGATGATGCAGAATATTCATCAAACATTATCCCCAATCACACATAAATAAAGTGATATTTATTGTCCAAACTAGGAAGCTTTTGAGAGTGAAAGGGGTGCCATTAAAATTGTTGCCAGAACAATATTATGAAAGATGAAGAAAGGTTGAGAAACTATTGTAGCTCAAAAAAAGAGGTACATGTGCATAGACACCATCACCCTGCCTCCACACATGACCCTGATGGCACCACTCCAATGAAATACTTTTTTTGCCAGCATCCCCCATCAGAGTATTGTTGCCAGTGGACTGGGAACACCTCAGTTCCTCCAACACAGCAGGTGCTTAACCTTGAGTGGATAGAGAACAAAGGCACAGACCTGGTACCAGCCCCTAGGTTTAGAGTATGCAGCCCAGGAGTGCTGAGATGAGCCTTGGCCCCCTGAAATATCCATAAACAAAGCCACCCAACTAAAGCCAATATACCACAGTCAAACCCTCAAGGACATCAAAGAATATAAAAGCAAAAAACCCCATCCAAAGGACAGCAACTTCAAAAATTAAAGATACATCAGTCCACACAGAAGATAAAGAACCAGCACAAGAACTCTGGCAACTCAAAAAGCCAGAGTGTCTTCTTACTTGCAAATGTCCATACTACCTCCCCAGCAACGGTTCTTAGCCAGATTGAAATGGCAGAAAAAACAGACATAGAATTCAGAATATGGATAGAAAAAAAATGATTAGATTCAGGAGAAAGTAAAAACCCAACCCAATTGAAGGAATCCAATAAAATGATAGGAGCTGAAAGATGAAAGAGCAATTGTAAGAGGGTACCAAACTCATCTGATAGAGCTGAAAAACTCACCACAAGAATTTCATAATACAATCAGAAGGGTATTTTTTTGTTTGTTTTGAGACAGAGTCTCACTCCATCACTCAGAGTTCAAGTGATTCTCCTGCCTCAGCCTCCTGAGTAGCTGGAATTATTACAGGCATGCACCTCCACACCCAGCTAATTTTTGTATTTCTAGTAGAGTTTCTCCATGTAGGCCAGGCTGGCCTCAAATTCCTAACATGAAAAGGAACAACTGGTACCAGCCACTGCAAAAATATGCCAAATTGTAAAGACCATCAAGGCTAGGAAGAAAGTGTCTCAACTAATGAGCAAATCAAAATGACAGCTGACATCAAAATGACAGGATCGAATTCACACATAACAATATTATCCTTAAATGTAAATGGGCTAAATGCTCCAAATAAAAGACACAGACTGCAAAACTGAATAAAGAGTCAAGACCCATCAGTGTGCTGTATTCAGGAAACCCATCTCACATGTAGAAACACAAATAGGCTCAAAATAAAGGGATGGAGGAAGATCTACCAAGCAAATGGAAAACAAAAAGAAGGCAGATGTTGCAATCCTAGCCTCTGATAAAACAGACTTATACCAGCAAAGATCAAAAGAGACAAGGAAGGCCATTACATAATGGTAAAGGGATCAATTCAACAAGAAGAGCTAACTATCCTAAATATATATGCACCCAATACAGGAGCACCAAGATTCATAAAGCAAGTCCTTAGAGACCTACAAAGAGACTTAGACTCCCCCACAATAATTATGGGAGACATTAACACCTCACTGTCAACATTAGACAGATCAATGAGACAGAAAGTTATCAACGATATCCAGGAGTTGTACTCAGCTCTGAACCAAGCAGACCTACAAAGACATCTACAGAACTCTCCACCCCAAATCAACAGAATATACATTCTTCTCAGCACCACACCTATTCCAAAACTGACCACACAGTTGGAAGTAAAGCACTCCTCAGCAAATGTAAAAGAGTAGAAATTATAACAAACTGTCTCTCAGACCACAGTGCAATCAAACTAGAACTCAGGATTAAGAAACTCACTCAAAACCACTCAACTATATGGAAACTGAACAGCCTGCCCTGGAATGACTACTGGGGACATTATGAAATGAAGGCAGAAATAAAGATGTTCTTTGAAACCAACGAAAACAAAGACAAAAAATACCAGAATCTCTGGGACACATTTAAAGCAGTGTGTAGAGGGAAATTTATAGCACTAAATGCCCACAAGAGAAAGCAGGAAAGATCTAACACTGACACCCTAACATCACAATTAAAAGAACTAGAGAAGTAAGAGCAAACACATTCAAAAGCTAGCAGAAGGCAAGAAATAATTAAGACAAGAGCAGAACTGAAGGAAATAGAGACACAAAAAACCCTTCAAAAAATCAATGAATCCAGGAGCTGATTTTTTGAAAAGATCAACAAAATTGATAGACTGCTAGCAAGACTAATAAAGAAGAAAAGATAGAAGAATCAAATAGATGCAATAAGAAATGATAAAGGGGATATCACCACCAATCCCACAGAAATAGAAACTACCATCAGAGAATACTAAAAACACCCCTATGCAAATAAACTAGAAAATCTAGAAGAAATAGATAAATTACTGGACACATACAGCCTCCTAAGACTAAACCAGGAAGAAGTTGAATCTCTGAATAGACCAATAACAGGTTCTGAAACTGAGGCAATAATTAATATCTTACCAAGCAAAAAAAAACTCCAGGACCAGACAGATTCACAGCTGAATTCTACCAGAGGTACAAGGAGGAGCTGGTACCATTCCTTCTGAAACTATTCCAATCAATAGAAAAAGAGGGACTCTTCCCTAACTCATTTTATGAGGCCAGCATCATCCTGATACCAAAGCCTGGCAGAGACGTGACAAAAAGAAAAAGAATTTTAGACCAATATCCCTGATGAACATCTATGCAAAAATCCTCAATAAAATACTGGCAAACCGAATCCAGCAGCACATCTAAAAGCTTATCCACCATGATCAAGTGGGCTTCACCCCTATGATGCAAGGCTCATACAACATAGGCAAACCGGTAAATGTAATCCAGCATAGAAACAGAACCAAAGACAAAAAACACATGATTATCTCAATAGATGCAGAAAAGGCCTTTGACAAAATTCAACAGCCCTTCATGCTAAAAACTCTCAATAAATTAGGTATTGATGGGATATATCTCAAAATAATAAGAGCTATTTATGACAAACCCACAGCCAATATCATACTGAACGGGCAAAAACTGGAAACATTCCCTTTGAAAACTGGCACAAGACGGGGATGCCCTCTCTCACCACTCCTATTCAACATAGTGTTGGAAGTTCTGGCCAGTGCAATCAGGCAGGAGAAGGAAATAAAGGGTATTCAATTAGGAAAAGAGGAAGTCAAATTGTCCCTGTCTGCAGATGACATAATTGTATATCTAGAAAAACCCATCATCTCAGCCCAAAATCTCCTCAAGCTGATAGGCAACTTCAACAATGTCTCAGGATACAAAATCAATGTGCAGAAATCACAAGCATTCTTATACACCAATAACAGACAAACAGAGAGACAAATCATGAGTGAACTTCCATTCACAATTGCTTCAAAGAGAATAAAATACCTAGGAATCTATCTTACAAGGGACGTGGAGGACCTCTTCAAGGAGAACTACAAACCACTGCTCAATGAAATAAAAGAGGATACAAACAAATGGAAGAACATTCCATGCTCATGGGCAGGAAGAATCAATATCGTGAAAATAGCCATACTGCCCAAGGTAATTTACAGATTCAATGCCATCCCCATCAAGCTACCAATGACTTTCTTCACAGAATTGGAAAAAACTACTTTAAAGTTCATATGGAACCAAAAAAGAGTCTGCATCGCCAAGTCAATCCTAAGCCAAAAGAACAAAGCTGGAAGCATCATGTAATCTGACTTCAAACTATACTACAAGGCTACAGTAACCAAAACAGCACAGTACTGGTACCAAAACAGAGATATAGATCAGTGGAACAGAACAGAGCCCTCAGAAATAATGCTGCATATATACAACTATCTGATCTTTGACAAACCTGAGAAAAACAAGCAATGGGGAAAGGATTCCAGATTTAATAAATGGTGCTGGGAAAACTGGCTAGTCATATGTAGAAAGCTGAAACTGGATCCCTTCCTTACACCTTATACAAAAATCAATTCAAGATGGATTAAAGACTTAAACGTTAGACCTAAAACCACAAAAACCCTAGAAGAAAACCTAGGCATCACCATTCAGGACATAGGCATGGGCAAGGACTTCATGTCTAAAACACCAAAAGCAATGGCAACAAAAGCAAAAATTGACAAATGGGATCTAATTCAACTAAAAAGCTTCTGCACAGCAAAAGAAACTACCATCAGAATGAACAGGCAACCTACAGAATGGGAGAAAATTTTTGCAATCTACTCATCTGACAAAGGGCTAATATCCAGAATGTACAATGAACTCAAACAAATTTACAAGAAAAAAACAAACAACCCCAACAAAAAGTGGGTGAAGGATATGAACAGACTATTCTCAAAAGAAGACATTTATGCAGTCAAAATACCCATGAAAAAATGCTCACCATCACTGGCCATCAGAGAAATGCAAATCAAAACCACAATGAGATACCATCTCACACCAGTTAGAATGACGATCATTAAAAAGTCAGGAGACAGCAGGTGCTGGAGAGGATGTGGAGAAATAGGAACACTTTTACACTGTTGGTTGGAGTGTAAACTAGTTCAACCATTGTGGAAGTCAGTGTGGTGATTCCTTGGGGATCTAGAACTAGAAATACCATTTGACCCAGCCATCCCATTCCTGGGTATATACCCAAAGGATTATAAATCATGCTGCTATAAAGACACATGCACAAGTATGTTTATTGTGGCACTATTCACAATAGCAAAGACTTGGAACCAAGCCAAATGTCCAACAACAATAGACTGGATTAAGAAAATGTGGCACATATGCACCATGGAATACTATGCAGCCATAAAAAATGATGAGTTCATGTCCTTTGTAGGGACATGGTTAAACCTGGAAACCATCATTCTCAGCAAACTATTGCAAGGACAAAAAACCAAACACCTCATGTTCTCACTCATAGGTGGGAATTGAACAATAAGAACACATGGACATAGGAAGGGGAACATCACACACTGGAGCCTGTTGTGGGGTAGGGGGAGAGATAGCATCAGGAGATATACCCAATGTTAAATGATGAGTTAATGGGTGCAGTACACAAACATAGTATACATATGTAACTAACCTGCACATTGTGCACATGTACCCTAAAACTTAAAGTATAATAAAAAAAGAAAAGAAATTAAAGAAAGAATAAACTCTTTAGAAAGGTGGAAAAAAAAAATAAATGAAATCTGCTGTTATTGACTGTAGAGTTCTATACATGCTAATTAGATCATATTCGTTGATTGTATTGTTCAGATCCTCTATGTCCTTGCTGATTTTCTGTCTAGTAGTTCTATCAGTTAGTGAGAGGTGAGTGTCAAAATCCCCAACTCTAACTGTGGATTTTTCAATTTTTTCTTTCAGGTCTATCTTTTTGTTTTATATATATTATGGCTCTGTTATTTGGTGAGCACATATTTAGAATCATGTGTCTTCCTGATGGATTGATTCTTCTATTATTAAGTAATGTGCCTCTTTTTCTCATTCACTTTGTTAGATATTATTGTATACACTCCTTTTTGTAGAATTCGAAGTGAATTTCTTTTAAACAGCATATAGATGGGCTGTGTTTTATTATATAATCTGTCAATCTCTGTCTTTTGATTTGTGTATTTGGGCTATTTATATTTAAGGTAATTATTGATATATTAAAGCTTAAGTTGAAAAGCCAAAAAGAAAAGGAATAAAAAAGAATGAACTAACCTAGAGAAACATGGTATTATGTAAAAAGACCAACCTATGACTCATTTGTGTCTCTGAAAGAGAGGGAGAGGGAGCAAGCAGCTTGGAAAACATATTTGAGGATATTTTCTATGAAAATTTCCCCAACTTTGCTAATGAGGTCGACATTCAAATTCAGGAAATGCAGAGAAACTCTAAGATACTCTACAAGATGACCATCCCCAAGACATAGTCATCAGATTCTCTAAGAAAGAAAGAAAAAATACTTAAGACTGCTAAGTAGGAGGGGCAGAGAACCACATCAGGCTAATAGCTAACCTTTCAGCAGAAATCCTACAAGCCAGAATAAATTAGTGGCCAATATTCAGCATTCTTTAAAAAAGGAATTTCAACCAAGAATTTATTTTATTTTTGATACGGATTTTTCGCTCTTGTTGCTCAGGCTGGAGTGCAATGGCACAATCTTGGCTCCCTGTAACCTCTGCCACCCAGATTCAGGTGATTTTCCTGCCTCAGCCTCCCAAGTAGCTGGGATTACAGACATGTGCCACCACACCCAGCTAATTTTTTGTATTTAGTAGAGACAGGGTTTCACCATGTTTGTCAGGCTGGTCTCGAACTCCTGACCTCACGTATCTGCCCACCTCGGCCTTCCAAAGTGGTGCTGGGATTGCAGGCATGAGCCACCGTGCCTGGCCCCAGTCAAGAATTTTATATCCAGTCAAACTAAGCTTCATAAGTGAAAGATAAATAAAATCCTTTTCAGGCAAGCAAATGCTAAAAGAAGCAGATCTGACATACCAGAGGTCCTTAAGAGAGTGCTAACCATGGAAACAAAAGACTGTTACTGGCTACCACACAACACACTTAAGTGCATAGATCATCAACACTATAAAGCAAGTACAAAATCAAATGTGCATAAAAACCACCTAACAACATGATGACAGAACAAAATCCACACATCAATATTAACCTTGACCATAAACAGGCTAAATGCTCCACTTAAAAAGTAGAGTGGCATGTTGGATAAAGAAGCAAGACCCAGTAGCACTGTCTTCAAGATACCCATCTCATATGAACAGACATCTATAGGTTCAAAGTAAACGGATGGAGAAAAAAGCTACCAAGCAAATGGGAAATTAAAAAAGAGAAGGGATTGCTGTTTTTATTTCAGAAAAAAAAAAAGACTTTAAGTCACCAATGATCAAAAAAGACAAAGAAGGGCATTACATAGTGATAAAAGGCTCAATTCAACAAGAAGACTTAACTATCCTAAACATCTCTGCACCCAACCCTGGAGCAACCAGATTTAGAGACCTATGAAGTGGCTTGTTAACCACACAATAACAAGGCTAGACTTCAACCACCCACTGACAGTATTAAATGGATCATCAAGGCAGAAAAGTAACAAAGATATTAGGAATCTAAACTCAACACTGGACCAAATGAACCTAACAGACATTTAGGGAATACTTTATCCAACAACAACAGGATATACATTCTTCTCATCTGTACATTGCATGTATTCTAAATAGGCCACACGCTCAGCTGTAAAACAATTCTCAACAAATTTAAAAAAATACAAAATCATACCAAGCACACTCTTAGACCACAACACAATAAAAGTAAGAATTAATACTTAAAAAGATACCCCCAAATGATACAACGACATAGAAATTAAATAACCTGCTCCTAAATGACTTTTGAGTAAACAATGAAATTAAGGCAAACATCAAGAAAATTTTTGAAACTAATGAAAACAAAAACAAAACATACCAGAATCTCTGGGACACAACTAAAGCCGAGATAAGAGGAAAGTTTATATCAGTAAATACCCACATTGAAAAGTTAGAAAGATCTCAAATTAAAAACCTAACAGCACACTTAGAGGAAGTAGGAAGACAAGACCAAACCAACTCCAAAGCTAGCAGGAGAAAAGAAATAGCTAAAATTACATCTGAACTGAATTAAATTGAGATGCAAAAAAACTATGCAAAGGATTGATAAAATTAGAAGTTTGTTATTTGAAAGAAGAAATAAGATTGATAGACCACTAGCTAGACTAATAAAAAGAGAGAGAAGATCCCAACAAACACAATCAGAATAGACAAAGGTGACATTACAACTACCCCCACAGAAATTTATTATTACAGACACCTCTTTGCACACAAACTGGAAAATGTAGAAGAAAGGGATACATTACTGGAAACATGGAACTTCCCAAGATTGAACCAGGAAGAAACTGAACAGACCAATAATGAGTTCTGAAACTGAATGAATAATAAAAAACCTACCAACCAGAAAATCCCTGGACTAGATGGATTCATAGTTGAATTCTACCAGACTTAAAGAGAACTGTATTAATCCTACTGAAACTATTCCAAAACCTTGAAACTATTCCAAAACCCTTCCCTAACCCATTCTATTAGGCCACCGTCATTCTAATATCAAAACCTGGCAGGGATACAACAAAAAAGACAACTTCAGGCCAATAGCTCTGATGAACATAGATGCAAAAGTCCTCAATAAAATACTAGCACACTGAATTCAACAGCATTCAAAAAGCTAATCCACCATGATCAAGAGATCTTCTTTCCTGAGATGCGAGGTTGACTCACCATAGGCAAATCAATAAATGTGATTCATCACATAAATGGAACTAAAATAAAAAAACACATGATCATTTCAATAGAAATACAAAATTTTTCCATAAAATTTAACATCCCTTCATGTTAAAAACCCTCAATAAACTAGGCATTGAAGGAATATACCTCAAAATAAAAACAGCTATCTACTACAAACCCACAGCCAATATCATAGTGAATATCCAGAAGTTTGAATCATTTCCTTCTATGATAAAGACATATGGACTCATATGTTCATCATGGCACTATTCACAATAGCAAGTATATGGAATTAACCTAAGTGCCCATCGCTGTTGGACTGGAAAGAAAATATGGTGCATATACACCATGGAATACTACACAGCAATAAAAATGTACAGAATCATGTCCTTTATAACAGCATGGATGAAGTTGGAGCCCTTTATCCTATGCAAATTAACACAGGAACAGAAAACCAAATACCACATGTTCTGACTTAAGTGGGAACTAAACACTGAGTACACATGGACACAGAAAAGAGAACAGCAGACACCAGAGCCTACCTGAGGCTGGAGGGTGGGAGGAGGGTGAAAATAAAAAAAATCACCTATCAGGTACTATGCTTATTATCTAGTTGAAGAAGTAACCTGTTTATCAAACCCCCATGACACACAGTCTACCCAGGTAAAAAATCTGCACGTGTACGTGCCAAACCTAAAATAGAAGCTAGGAAGAAAAACTAACTAAGTAAAAATAAAAGAAATAAAAATTTGAAAAACAGAAGAGATATGTCATCTAAATTCAATGTGTGATCTGGATTAGACCCTAAATTGGAAATATATAAAAAGATTGCAAAAAAAAGACACTGTTAGGTAATTGAAAAAAATTCAATATGTACTATATATTAGTTAACATATATTATATATACATATATTATAACAAGTTTAAATTTCTTGAATGTGAATAATTTTACCGAGAAGACAAAACATTTTTGTTCTTGGAATACAAATGCTAAAGTATTAAAAGTTGAATTGCTGTAATGTCTAAAACTTATCCTAAAGTGGTTCAGAAAAAGTATTTTTTTGTATGTGCATATATACATACACTCATGTATTTATAGATAGAATATATATATTTAGAGAGTGTATAAATATATATATACTTAAAGAGTATATTATATATATATATACTTTACAGAGTGTACATATATATGTACTTAAAGAGAAGAGAAGCAAGAAAATAAACGTGATTCAATTGGAGAACTTGGTGAAGAATAATAGATGGGTGCTCAATATATTATTCATGCAGTACTGACTGGCTCTAAAGCCCATGATTGCCCTCTCTACTGTATCTGCTGCCTCCTTAAATGTCTGCCAAATAAAGTCCACTATTATGTTAGTCTTTTCACTTAATCTTTCAAGATGAGGAGAGATAAGAACAGGAATTACTTCATAGATTCAGAGTGTAGACTGGGCATGGTGGCTCATGCAGCACTTTGGTAGGCTACAGCAGGAGGACTGCTTGAGCCCAGGAGTTTGAGACCAGCGTGAGCAACATAGTGAGACCTTGTTTCTACAAAAAATAAAAAAATCAGCCAGGCATGGTGGCACATGCTTGTGTGCCCAGCTACTTAGGAGGCTGAGGTGGGAGGATGATCGCTTGAGACTGGGTGGTCGAGCCTGTAGTGAGCTGAGATTGCACCACTGCCCTTCAGCCTGAGCAACAGAGTGAGACCTTGTCACACACACACACACACACACAAAAGTAAAATATGGTACATAGATCCCCCCAAAAATCTATTATATGCATTCAGAACTAAAATCAGTGACGATGAATATTAAACACCCAACAGAAATACATTGGAGATTCTGTGTAGTATAAACCCAGAGAAGGGAGCTGCTACTATCCTTCAAGATTTGGTCTGGATCTTGAGGACTTGCTAGCTCTATAGAGATGAAGGAAAAAGGGTTCCCATAACAGCTTTCAATAAATGTACATTTGAGTTGGAACTTGTGGCATATTTTTTTGTGCTCTTTCTTTCCTTTTACCACTTTGTAAAAGGCCATCACATTACAGGAAGAAAGACGTTGAATCATTGTAGGGCATTGTTTCTACTATTTACTTATCTCCACAAATGTTTTATTTTCAAAGTGGAGTTTTGTACACATATATCTTATGTTGGTAATTAAGTATACGTTGTTAACATGTAAATAATAATTCTCCTTGAGTGGGTGGTGGTAGATTTCTGAGAAATCTTATAAGAACCACAGGACTTGAAAGCATATTTAATCAGTTATCTACATTCAATATTGTAAGTGAGATGAGTATATTAGCCACATTTTAAAGTATTTTTAGGTCAAAACAATTAAATTAATAGGAAAGAAATGCTATTTTTATTTTCTTCATTCATTTGTAGCTTTATATACTTCATTGAAATTATATAGATATTACAGTGGAACATATGTCTTTGAAATTTCTTAAAGAAAGCGATACATGGATTTCTCCAACTATGTGCTTTGAAAGATTTTTCAAAATTATGTGCTTTGAAACATACATATTACTTTCTCTCTATATATAGCTACCAGGATTATCACAACTGTCTTACTGGAAATAAAGTATTGTTTAAAACTGAGGCCATCTCAGAGGATCTATGAAACTCAGACTTCAGGCATTCCATATTTCTAAACTAAGAACACCTGGGCTTTCTGAGTGAATTTAGTTGAATCATGTTTGGTTTGCCTTAATAGGAGCTGAAAGTCATTCATAATCGGCTGATTACATAGCCAATCTTTGTTTCTTCCCCCATTATTGTTTACGGTGTAACACCCAGGGAAAGAAAATTCCTTTGGATAGAAAAGAGAGTCATGTGCACATATCAATGGAAGAATAGAAGGAAGATCACTAAGGACATATAACTGTTCTAAATAATTTACTTACATAAGGCCAAATCAAATGAAAATATATGTTATTGCAAGTGTATTCATCACTTTTTCTCTATGCTGTTAATTCAAAGTTTTCCAATGTAATAAAAAGATTTGATTTTCCATAAATATATTGCATTCGCTGGATTAGCCAGCACCTTCTATTTCCATTTGAGGTCATAACCAACCAAATGGAGCTTTGTAGATGATGTTTGAATTGCTGTGAATGCCAAAATTATTTGGAGTGTTCAGTTCACTTCCCAGAACAGGAGAAAAACAGGTTAATGTAACATTATTAATAGTAGTCAATCATTTTCAACCCAATGACCCCAAATTATGCTACTTTTGCTCTGTCTTTCCTCACTGTCTCCCTGCAGAAAACTCTCACTTTATCACAATAATGAAATTAAATGAGAGGGGGAAGGCTGGAACATTTCAAATTAGTCTTTCCATCAACCCTGGATCTTTTTACTGTGATAAAACTAAGAAATCTGACCCTCCTTCTATTATACCTCTAAAAATTTCATAATGGTAGAATTATTCTATCACATAAATCATTTGACAGAAAGATCATCAAGTATCTAGAGCCAATGGTTTCTAGATACTTAAGTATCTTTCTGAAGTTGAGGTGAGGTGAGGATATAATCTATCTGCTGGATCCCTCCCTTAACACATGTATGCCTGAATACTCTTTCTTTAATTTCTCCTAAATTTATCTTCCTTGATAGTTACTTTAAATATTTTCTATTAAGAGATTTTAAAATATTTTGGTATGTCAGGAAATTTTGCATCTTCGTGGTGACCAACATGGGTCTAGCAAATTTTTATCTTCATGATATTATTTATTTGTTCTTTCAATAAATATTTATTGAGGAATTACTCTGTGGTTAGCACCATCTTTTCCCTCTAGAAACTTGGAAACTAGCAAAAGAGACAAAGAAGAAACAACTTACTATGCATTAAGTGCTATGATAGAGGTAAGATAACACATGGAGTAGACATCCAATTTAGTTTTGAGGGGGTCAAGGAGGATTTCCTGGCACAGTTGATGTCTCAGAAAGTATCTGAAGGACAAGGCAAGTTTATCTAGCAAGAAGTGGGAAGAGTATTTCAAGTAAAGGGAACAATATGTGCTAGTTGAGCCAGTTAAATAAGAATGTGGTTTTTTAGCCTAGGCAATGAATCAACACCTCATTTCTTTTGTTTTTTCTACTTTTATTTTAAGTTCTGGGATACATGTGCAGGATGTGCAGGTTTGTTACATAAGTAAATGTGTGCCATGGTGGTTTGCTGCACAGATCAACCCATCACCTAGGTATTAAGCCCAACATCCATTAGCTATTCTTCCTGATGCTCTCCCTCCCTGACTCAACAAGGCTCAGTATGTTCTTCCCTCCCATGTGTCCACATGTTTTTGTTGTTCAGTTCCCTCTTATAAGTGAGAACATGCAGTGTTTGGTTTTCTGTTCTGCCTTTAGTTTGCTGAGGAAAATGGCTTCCACCTCCATCCATGTCCCTGCAAAGGATATGATCTCATTCCTTCTTATGGCTATATAATATCTCATAGTATACATGTGCCACGTTTTCTCTATGCAGTCTATAATTAATAGGCATTTTGGTTGATTCCCTGGCTTTGCTATTGTGAATAGTGCTGAAATGAACATACACAATCATGTACTTTTATAATAGGATAATTTATATTCTTTCAGGTATATACCCTGTAATGGGATTGCTGGGTCAAATGGTATTTCTGCCTCTAGGTCTTTGAGAAATGACCACACTATCTTCCACAATAATTGAATTTTTGAAATAATTTACACTCCCATTAACAGTGTAAAAACGTCCCTTTTTCTCCAAAACCTTGCCAGCAACTGCTGTTTCTTGACTTTTTAATAATCTCCATTCCGACTGTCAAGAGATGATATCTCATTGTGGATTTGATTTGCATTTCTCTGATGATCAGTGATGTTGAGATTTGTTTTATATGCTTTTTGGCTGCATGAATGTCTCCTTTTGAGAAGTGTCTGTTCATATCCTTTACCCACTTTTGAATGGGGTTGTATGGTATTTTTCTTGTAAATTTGTTTAAGCTCCTTGTAGACTCTGGATATTAGACCTTTGCCAGAAGGATAGACTGCAATGATTTTCTCCCATTCTGTAGGTTGTCTGTCAATGATTTTCTCCCATTCTGTAGGTTGTCTGTTTACACTGATAATTTATTTTGCTGTTCAGAAGCTCATTAGTTAAATTGGATCCCATTTGTCCATTTTTACTTTTGTCAAAATTCCTTTCATTATTTTCTTCCTTTAAATTTTTTTTATTATACTTTAAGTTCTAGGGTATATGTGCACAAAGTGCAGGTTTGTTACATATGTAAACATGTGCCATATTGGTGTGCTGCACCCATTAATTTGTCATTTACATTAGGTATATCTTGTAATGCTATCCATCCCCTCTCCCCCCACTGCACAACAGGCCCTGGTGGGTGATGTTCCCCTTCCTGTGTCCATGTGTTCTCATTGTTCAGTTCCCAACTATGAGTGAGAACATGTGGTGCTTGGTTTTTTGTCCTTGTGATAGTTTGCTGAGAATGATGGTTTCCAGCTTCATCCATGTCCCTAAAAGGACATGAACTCGCCATTTTTTTATGGCTGCATAGTATTCCATGGTGTATTTGTGCCACGTTTTCTTAATCCAGTCTATCATTGTTGGACATTTAGGTTGGTTCAAGTCTTTGCTATAGTGAATAGTGCCACAGTAAACATATGTGTGCATGTGTTTTTATAGCAGCATGGCTTATAATCCTTTGGGTATATACCCAGTAATGGGATGGCTGGGTCAAATGGTATTTCTAGTTCTAGATCCCCGAGGAATCACCACACTGACTTCCACAATGGTTGAACTAGTTTACAGTCCAACCAACAGTGTAAAAGTACCCCTATTTCTCCACATCCTCTCCAGCACCTGTTGTTTTCTGACTTTTTAATGAACGCCATTCTAACTGGTGTGAGATGGTATCTCATTGTGGTTTTGATTTGCATGTGGCCATTACATAATGGTAAAGGGATCAATTCAACAAGAAGAGCTAACTATACTAAATATATATACGCCCAATATAGGAGTGCCCAAATTCATAAAGCAAGTCCTTAGAGACCTACAAAGAGACTTAGACTCCCAAACAATAATCATGGGAGACGTTAACACCCCACTGTCAACATTCGGCAATCCATGAGACAGAAAGTAAAAAGGATATCCAGGATTTGAACTCAGCTCTGCACCAAGCAGTCCTAATAGACATCTACAGAACCCTCCACCCCAAATCAGCATAATATACATTCTTCTCAGCAACACATCACACTTATTCCAAAATTGACCAATAGTTGGAAGTAACGCACTCCTCAGCAAATGTAAAAGAATAGAAATTATAACAAACTGTCTCTCAGACCACAGAGCAATCAAACTAGAACTCAGGATTAAGAAACACTTAAAACCACTCAACTATATGGAAACTGAACAACCTGCTCCTGAATGACTACTGGGTACATAACAAAATGAAGGCAGAAATAACGATGTTCTTTGAAACCAATGAGAACAAAAACACAACATACCAGAATCTCTGGGACACATTTAAAGCAGTGTGTAGAGGGAAATTTATAGCACTAAATGCCCACAAGAGAAAGCAGGAAAGATCTAACATTGACACCCTAACATCACAATTAAAAGAACTAGAGAAGTAAGAGCAAACACATTCAAAAGCTAGCAGAAGGCAAGAAATAATTAAGATAAGAGCGGAACTGAACGAGATAGAGACACAAAAACACCCTTCAAAAAATCAATGAATCCAGGAGCTGATTTTTTGAAAAGATCAACAAAATTGATAGACCACTAGCAAGAAGAAAAGAGAGAAGAATCAAATAGATGCAATAAAAAATGATAAAGGGGATATCACCACCAATTCCACAGAAATACAAACTACCATCAGAGAATACTATAAACACCTCTACACAAATCAACTAGAAAATCCAGAAGAAACGGATAAATTCCTGGACACATACACCCTCCCAAGACTAAATCAGGAAGAAGTTGAATCTCTGAATAGACCAATAACAGGCTCTGAAATTGAGGCAATAATTAACAGCTTACCAACCAAAAAAAGTCCAGGAAGGACCAGATGGATTCACAGCTGAATTCTACCAGAGGTACAAGGAGGAGCTGGTACCATGCCTTCTGAAACTATTCCAATCATTAGAAAAAGAGGGAAATCCTCCCTAACTCATTTTATGAGGCCAGCATCATCCTGATACTGAAGCCTGGCAGAGACACACACACAAAAAAAAACAATTTTAGACCAATATCCCTGATGAACATCGATGCAAAAATCCTCAGTAAAATACTGGCAAACAGAATTCAGCAGCACATCAAAAAGCTTATCCACCATGATCAAGTAGGCTTCATTCCTGGGATGCAAGGCTGGTTCAACATATGCAAATCAATAAACGTAATCCAGCATATAAACAGAACCAAAGACAAACACCACATGATTATCTCAATAGATGCAGAAAAGGCCTTAGACAAAATTCAACAACACTTCATGCTAAAAACTTTCAATAAATTAGGTATTATTGGGATGTATCTCAAAATCATAAGAGCTATTTATGACAAACCCACCACCAGTATCATACTGAATGGGCAAAAACTGGAAGCATTCTCTTTGAAAATTGGCACAAGACAGGGATGCCCTCTCTCACCACTCCTATTCAACATAGTGTTGGAAGTTCTGGCCAGGACAATCAGGCAGGAGAAAGAAATAAAGGGTATTCAATTAGGAAAAGAGGAAGTCAAATTGTCCCTGTTTGCAGATGACTTAATTGTATATATAGAAAACCCCATCATCTCAGCCCAAAATCTCCTTAAGCTGATAAGCAACTTAAGCAGCAAAGTCTCAGGATACAAAATCAATGTGCAAAAATCACAAGCATTCTTATGCACCAATAATAGACAAACAGAGAGCCAAATCATGAGTGAACTCCCATTCACAATTGCTTCAAAGAGAATAAAATAACTAGGAATCCAACTTACAAGGGATGTGAAGACCTCTTCAAGGAGAACTGCAAACCACTGCTCAACAAAATAAAAGAGGATAGAAAGAACTGGAAGAATATTCCATGCTCATGGGTGGGAAGAATCAATATCGTGAAAATGGCCATACTGCCCAAGGTAATTTATAGATTCAATGTCATCCCCATCAAGCTACCAATGACTTTCTTCACAGAACTGGAAAAAACTACTTTAAAGTTCATATGGAACCAAAAAAGAGCCCGCATCACCAAGTCAATCCTAAGCCAAAAGAACAAAGCTGGAAGCGTCACGCTACCTGACTTCAAACTATACTACAAAGCTTCCAAAACAGCATGGTTCTGTTACCAAAAGAGAGACATAGACCAATGAAACAGAACAGAGCCCTCAGATATAATACCACACATGTACAACCATCTGATCTTTGACAAACCTGACAAAAACAAGAAATGGGGAAGATTCCCTGTTTAACAAATGGTGCAGGGAAAACTGGCTAGCCATATGTTGAAAGCTGAAACTGGATTCCATCATTACACCTTATAGAAAAGTTAATTCAAGATGAATTAAAGACTTAAATGTTAGACCTAAAACCATAAAAACCCTAGAATAAAACCTAGGCGATACCATTCAGGACATAGGCATGGGCAAGGACTTCATGTCTAAAACACCAAAAGCAATGGCAACAAAAGCCAAAATTGACAAATGGGATCTAATTAAACTAAAGAGCTTCCGCACAACAAAAGAAACTACCATCAGAGTGAATAGGCAACCTAGAGAATGGGAGAAAATTTTTGCAATCTACTCATCTGACAGAGGGCTAATATCCAGAATCTACAAAGAAGTCAAACAAATTTACAAGAAAAAAACAAACAACCCCATCAACAAGTGGGTGAAGGATATGAACAGACGCTTCTCAAAAGAAGACATTTATGCAGCCAACAGACACATGAAACAATGCTTTCACTATTTTCATCATGAAATCTTTGCCCATGCCTATGTCCTGAATGGTATTGCCTAGATTTTCCTCTAGAGGTTTTTATAGTTTTTGGTTTTACATTTAAGTCTTTAATCCATCTTGAGTTAATTTTTGTATAAAGTGTAAGAAAGGGATCAAATTTCAATTTTCTGCATATGGCTAACCAGTTCTCCCAGCAGCATTTATTAAATAAGGAATCCTTTCCCCATTGCTTGTATTTGTCATGTTTCTTGAAGATGAGATTGTTGGAGGTATGTCGTCTTACTTGTGAGTTCTCTAATTTTTCCATTGGTCTATGTGTCTGTTTTTGTACCAATACAATGCTGTTTTGCTTACTGTAGCCTTGTAGTATTGTTCGAAGTTGGGAAGCATGATGTTGCCTCCAGTTTGTTCTTTTTACTTAGGATTGTCTTAGCTCTATGGGTTGTTTTTCACTCCATATGAATTTTTGAAATAGCTTTTCTAATTCTGTGAAAAATGTCAATGTTAGTTTATTGGGAATATCATTGAATCTATACATTACTTTGGGCATCATGGCCATTTTCACAATATTGATTCTTTCTATCCATGAGCGTGGAATACTTTTTCATATGTTTCTGTCCTCTCTGATTTCCTTGAGCAGTGGTTTGTAGTTTTTCTTGAAGAGGTCCTTCACTTCCCTTGTTATCTGTGTTCCTAGGTGTTTTATTCTCTTGTAGCAATCGTGAATGTAGCAAATGAGTTCATTCATAATTTGGCTCTCTGCTTGCCTGTTCTTGGTGAATAGGAATACTAGAGATTTTTGCACATTGATTTTGTATCCTGAGACTTTGCTGAAGTTGTTTATCAGCTTAAGAAGCTTTGGGGCTGAAATGATAGAGTTTTCTAGATACATGATCATGTAATCTGCAAACAAAGATAATTTGACTCCCTCTCTTTCTATCTGAATATGCTTTATTTCTTTCTCTTGCCTGATTGCCCTGGCCAGCACTTCCAGTACTATGTTGAATAGGGGTGGTGAGAGAGAGCATCCTTGTCTTGTTCCAGTTTTCATGCAAATTCTGCTTTTATTGTGAGTTTCATGAAACCCCTTTTGAAGTTGGTGGAAACCATAAATAAATAAGACATGGGAATATCATCATAATGATGTTGTCTTTTATTTGCTCTTGTTCCAGTTATCACTTCAATATTATAGCGACATGTAAAAAAGAAAAATAAAGGGAATTTGTTTATGTAAGAGAATGTTATTTTCTCAGCAAATGATTCAATAAAGAGAAGTCTCCTAGCAGCATAACCTGGCAGAGGAGTTATTTGGCTCTCTAATGAACTGCTTCCCCTTGTTTGCAGCCACATTCCTTTTGGCATTGCCATTTCAAGGAAACCAGAGAACACTTCTTTACTAGACAAAAGGGGGCCATAAATGGAGGAATACTGGAAGCTTATCCAGTAAAAAAACCTGTGTAGCAGACTTTAACAACCACCAGTGATAGGGGATAATACTTTGGTAAGGAAATATGTGAAGTTGCCAAGAATAGTAACAGCTGGATGAACATCAATAGCTGATTGTTGTTTGAAAAACAGAGATGACTAGAATAAGATAGAAATTTCAGGCAAAATGAGTGACTCAGAAATTAAAATAATACATATGCATTTAAAAAAATAAGCTTAGGAATGCAGTAAGTGGGCAATTTAGCTGCATTGCCCAAGAGTGTTGAGACTGATAAATTGTAATACCACCCTTCCTGGCTTATGGTACTGAATAGCAGAGTCACAAAAATTATTATTTTCTCAACAATAAGTTGAAAATTGTTCAAAGATATAAGTGTATGTATATATAAAACACATCCAATGTAGTATTTTACATTATAGAGAAAGAACAACAATGAAATAAATAGGGTCCATTTTCTGAATGGTCACATATTTTGAAATGAATCAGAAATGGTGCTGGTGATAGATATCTTTATTTTGCTATCTCAGAAAAATAATATATGAGTTTTCCAGCAACATCATCAGGCTGATTATGGCAGTGACAAACTAGACTTGATTGAGATTTGAGTGCTTCAGATGGTATTTTACAAACACCACTTTTCCTGAAACAAATTGTCATTGGTGATAATTCTCTTGTGTCCTCTCATCTTTCAGTATGGAGGAGATATAGAAAACCAAAGCACAAATAATAGTTGAGGCAAGGTCAGCGTTTAAATCAGGATGTAAAGTTCAGGAGACTTCATATCCAATATCATTTTCTGCGTTGACATCAGGGGATGTCATCTTTCAGCTTATTGAGATTTGTTATCCTTTTGTTTATGCTGAAAACTCTTAGAATGCTGACACTGTTCCAACAGGCTGATGAAAAAACTTTTAAAAATATGCTATTGAAAATGCTGCTAAATATTTAAATATAACAATGTGTATTTCTGTTCCTCCCTTTATATGGTGAGCATATTAATAATATAGGTGGTGTCTTAAAAAATTTTTCTTTTGGCCGGGTGCAGTGGCTCACTCCTGTAATCCCAGCACTTTGGGAGGCCGAGGTGGGTGGATCACGAGGTCAGGAGATCGAGACCATCCTGGCTAACGCGGTGAAACCCCGTCTCTACTAAAAATACAAAAAAATTAGCCGGGCATGGTGGCGGGTCCCTGTAGTTGCAGCTACTCAGGAGGCTGAGGCAGGAGGATGGCATGAACCCAGCAGGCAGAGCTTGCAGTGAGCTGATATTTTGCCACTGCACTCCAGCCTGGGCAACGGAGCAAGACTCTGTCTCAAAAAAAAAAGTTTCTTTTTACCATTTATACTTGTCGTGGTACTAATTACTCAGTGAATATTTGATGAGATTGAAAACATATTGCAAAGCAGAAAAAATAATGTATATGCATAATTTCAGAGATTATTAGAACTGAAAAAGAGACTTAGAGATCATCTGGGGTGATAAAGCATAAAAGCATGGGATTTATAGCAGATTAAATTTGTAATAATGTCTCCATCACTTATTGACCACATGACTTTGGACTGTGTCTCAGTGTCCTTATTTATAAAATAATATTCTTCAAATCTACTATCTTAGAATGGGTGTCCCCAAAGGTAGAGTCTGAGGAAACAAGTTGGGTGCAGGTAGGTTATTTAGGACATGATCCCAGAACGCAGGAGTAGAAAAGCAGGGAAAATGAAACTGAGAAGGAGACAAAGCCTGTAATACCATAATACCATAAGGATTCATTATTGATTTCGCCACTTAGGTGACAGGATCCTATGTCTTTTTTTTTTTTTTTTTTTTTTTCTGAGACAGAGTTTCTCTCTTGTTGCCCAGGCCGGAGTGCAATGGCACGATCTCGGCTAACTGCAACCTCTGCCTCCCAGGTTCAATCCATTCTCCCGCCTTAGCCTCCCGAGTAGCTGCGATTACAGGCAGCTGCCACCACACCCAGCTAATTTTTGTATTTTTAGTAGAGACCGGGTTTTGCCATGTTGGCCAGGGTGGTCTCCAACTCCTGGCCTCAGGTGATCTGCCTGCCTCAGCCTCCCAAAGTGCTGGGATTACAGGCCTGAGCAGCCGCTCCCGGCCCTTTTTATCCCATTTTAAATCAACCTTAGAATAAGTGCTAAACATTTTATTTGTAATGATCTGAAATTTCTACATACAACCTTCTGAAGAAGGAACAATAAGAAGGGTAGTATTACCATAAGTTTGATCTTATAAAAGTGTGATTAGCTTATCATATTGCTATAATTATGAAGAAAATGTGTGTTTACATAATCTTTTGAAAATTCTTTTGCCATCTTTTGGACTTCTGGTAGCGCTCTCCCCAACAACTCACCTCCACTTTAGTGGTGGAGAAACATCGACACTTGGCAAAGAAAGACACTGTTATTTATTTGTTTTTGTTTTTATAGTGTGTCTTATAGTTTTGATTCTCAGATTTTTGTTTGCTTTTTGAAGTCCACTGCTTTTGCCTTTACTTATTGACTGCTTCCATTACGCTATTTCTGTATGTCTAATTTTTAAAAAACTTGTTTCAAAAGCTCTCCTCTATCCTACAGGCTGGTCCATAGGATTCCTATATACTCCTCCTCTTCTTACCCCCTACCCTGCTACCAACCTGCTTACCAAAAGTTCTTAGAGAACTCCTTCCAATCCCTTTCTGAGAATTCCATTTTTACTCTCTCTCTCTCTTAGAGGCAAACTATATAGCAGGCAGTTACCTCTTGGTTTCCGAACAGTGTATTCATATTCATTTGGCCCCACTCTCCAAATGGACTTGAATGCCAATTTAGTGATTGTATATAAAAGGGAATAAACTAAATGATCAGGGAAATAGAGAGCTTTAATATTGTAGTGATAACATATTATCAAACCAATTCCTATTCTTCCTGGACATGCAAAAACTACATTTCCCAGCTTCCCTCTCAGTTAGGTGTGGCCATGTGTCTGAGTTCTAGCCAATGGAAGCCAGTAGAAATAGCATATGTCAGACCTTCCTGGGCATAGTCCATAAAAACCTCCCTAATGATCCTCAGTGCTCATTTCCTATTTTTCAGTGAAATGCAAATACCTAGGAAGCCACTTTTTGATAGAAGAACCTGCAGCAACCTGGGTCACTAAGTTTCAATTGTGTGGAGCAGCAGACCCTTCCTACCATCCCCAACTGAACCCAGTCTAGTCTCTTACATAAATGAGCAATAAACTTGTATGGTTTTAAATCATCAAATATTGGAGTTTGTTTAATATAGCAGTTATTCCATTTTAACTAATACAGAAATCTTTCCTTGTAATTAAAGACATTTCATGAAGCATATTAATGTAGTCACTTGACTGTTACAATATTGTATGATGTATTTTAATAGCTATTTTCAAATAAAGGATTTGAATTAAGTAATGTCATCAAGGGTTTGGGGTCAATTTCAAGATATATTTATAGAATTTTAAAGATTAGAAATACATTGGTGTTGCCAGGGAGGCAGGAGGCTGAGTGAAACCAGTAAGCTAAGATTCAGGAGCCTACAGTATGTTAAGTATTCAGCCAGGCAGGAAACATAAAATATAAAGGCTGATCCGGGGCCAAAGATGGAGTATTTTCTTCTGTGTTTTGGAATTGCAAGAGTTTTCAACAATGTGGGAATGTGTAGCTGAAGGGAACATAGCATCCCTAGAGATGCAGCTCATTCCTGATTAAATTAGGTTAGAAGGCTACGCCTTCTGAGAGTTGCTTACACCAAACAGAAACTATCCTGACACATGCCACATTCCCAGCCACTAGATGATACTCAGCCATCTACAATTATACCCTTCCTAGGTACCTCAGAGGAATCACTGTAAAATCTCCTATAATGTGATGAGTGGCATTCAAAAGTTTTAAAAGTATAAAATATGGTTGTATTATTATTTTATTTCCTACAATGAAATCTGTAGGACCCCGTTCAGCTAGTCAGCAGGGAGTTGAATGTCCTGCTGCCTGCATAATCCAAGCATCCTTTTCCATTTATGGTTTTGCATCCTCTATTTGCAGTTGTCTCCTGCACTTACTTCCAGTTATGTGTAAACAATGCCAGGCGCTGTGGCTGACTGGGGTCCCCTGCAACAGTGTCAGATCTGTTTGTCTACCTTGTGTCAATACTACAATGTCTTAATTGATTTAATTTTGTAATAACCTTTATGTTTAGTAAAATATGACTACCTTCTTTGTTCTACTTCAAGAATTTCTATTTTTTCTTGATCTTTTACACTTCCATATAAATTTTAGAATAAGCTTGTAGTTGATTGGCATAGCATTTAATCTACAGAAATATTTGAGGAACATTTACTTATGTTCAATAGGTAGTTTTGCAGTCCATGAATGTATATTTCTCTACTTATGTACATCTTCTCTAATTTTTCTCAATAGCATGTTATAGTTTTCCATGCAGATTTTTTTAAATAACAACTTTCTTGACATATAATTCATGTACCTCAAAGTCCTACCCTTTAAAACATAGAAATCAGTGTTTTTTTTTTTAGCATATTCCGTATATTCATCTATTGACGCTATCCAAATTCAGAATGCTTCATCACTCTAGGAAGAATCTTCATACTCATTAGCAATCACTCCAAATTTTCCTTTGTGCTACCTCCTGGCAACAACTAACATACTTTCTGTTACTATGGATTTACATATTCTGAACATTTTCATATAACTTGAATCATACAATATGTGGTCTTTTGTGATCTGGCTCTTTCACTTAGCTTGATATTTTTAAAGTTCATCTCTGTTGTAGGATGTATCAGTTTTTCATTCATTTATATGGCCAAAAAAATCATTTGTGTAGATATACCATATTTTGTTTATCCATTCATCCTTTGATAAATAGTTGTTTCCACTTCTTGATCACTGTGAATAATGCTTCTATGAACATTTGTGTACAAGTTTTTTGCTGAGCATCTGTTTTTAGCTTTTTGGGGAATATATCTAGAAGTTTAGTTGTCTAGACATGGGTCATGTGACTTTCCGTTCCCCATAATTTCTACATTGTTTCTCTAATAGACCTGAAAGCCACAGTCCTTATTCCAGCTTGTGCATAGCAATGAAACATCAATGGGAATTTTCCCTCCAAACTGCATATATGCTTGTTTGATATTACACAATGCTATAACCAACTGCTCACAGGAGTTGGCTCTTAATACTATAATAAATAACTCTGAGTAATGAGCTTTAGTTTACTAGTCCGAACATTATTGTTTCATATATACTGCAAGCCATTTCCTCACTGAGTTCATAATTTTTTAATAAAAGATTTTATCAAGAGGCTTGTGGATGCTATATCTGTCTGTTGCAAGCAAAACACCAGTGTTTGCTAAAATTCTCCAAAAGATGCCTGTGTGTTTGATGATTCCCTGGTGTATTCAACTTGGTAGAAGTGGCCTTCTGAAGAAAATACAATGGTCTTGGAATCATATGTTCAAGACATCATTTGTGAACTTTATATAATTCCAAAGAGAAGACACTGAAGAATTGAGGTCTACACAGAGTGTTTTATTCTGCAAGAGAAAATCACCACAACTACCTATGTATTCATTTGTAATATGGTCTGTGTGTATATGAAGAACCACTTCTTCTCTGTAATATTTGAAAGATTTTTGCTGGATATAAAATTCTTGGTTGACTGTCTATTTTTTAAAGCACTTTAAATATGTTATACCACTGCCTTCTGGCCTCCGTTGTTTCTGATAAGTCAGCTATTAATTTTATCAAGTGTCCCTGGTAGTGATGAGTCACATTTTTCTTGCAGATTTCAATATTCTCTCTGTCTTTGGCTCTTGACACCTTGAATATCAAGGTGTGGATTGCTTTTAGTTTATTCCACTTGGAGTTTGTTGAGCTTCTTGGATGTGGAGATAAATGTTTTCAAAAAATTTGAAATCTTTTTCTTCTATGATTTTATATATATGTTATTAGATAGATAGACAGATTACATAATCTCCATGATTTCTCCAGTTATTCTTTCCATTTCTTTCACTCTCTCTCCTCTGCTTTGGAAACTGACATTATGCATATGTTTGTATACTTGATGGTGTCCCACAGGTCTCTGAGCCTGTGTTTATTTTTCTTCACATTTTTTTTCCATTCCTTAGACTGGATAATTTCAATCAACATTTGTTTAAATTCACTGGTTTTTCTGCCTGCTCAGATCTACTGTTGAGCCCCTTTAGTGAATTTTTAATATCAGTTAGTGTACTTTTCACTCTAAAATTCAATTTGGTCTTTGTTAAAAATAATTTTTGTCTCTTTGGTTATATTTTGTCTTTGGTAAGATGTTTTCATACTTTGTTTTAATTTTTTATACAGGGTTTTCGTTACTTCTTTGAAGATATTTGTAACAACTTATGACATTGTGTCCTTCTTAGTTGTCTCAGTGTGCTAGATTGTTTTAGTTGTCTAGAAATGCCAACATTTGGACTTCCTCAAAGACCATTTTTATTGCCTTCAATTTTTTTCTCTTGTGAATAGACCATACTTTTCTGTTTCTTTGTGTTTCAAAAACTGAACATTTTAAATAATATAATGTGCCAACTCTGGGGATCGGATTTTCCCTGGCCACCAATATGTCATTTTCTTTGCTGTTATTATTGTTGCCATTTGTTTAGTGACTTTCCTGGACTAATTATCTAAAGCTTGTATTATTTGTTGTGTGTGGACACTGAAGCCTCTGTTCAGTTAGTTAAGTGCCCCTTTAATGATCAGACATATTTTCTTAAATGACTTGAATGTATATATCTCCTAGATTTTGCTGAAGGGCTCTGCGTGTGTGTTGGGTATAATCTCAATGCTTGCACAGGGAGTTTATAACTCTTCCTTAGCCTTTAATTCCTGCTCACACAGAACCTCAAGGTCAACCATAGGTGAGAAATGAGGTCTTTTCAACTCTTTCCTGGGCTGGCTCCCAGCCCTGGACATGTAGAGTCCTGTGCATGACATTTTTTTAGAATTTTTAAAATAATTTTTAAAAAATTTTGTGGGTACATAGTAAGTGTATATATTTATGAGGTACATGAAATGTTTAGATAGAGGCATGAAAATGTGAAATAAGCACATCATGGAGAATGGGGTATTCATTCCCTGAAGCATGTATCCTTTGAGTTACAAAAACTCCAAATACATTCTTTAGGTTGTTTTAAAATATACAATTATTATTGATTATAGTCACTCTATTGTGCTATTGTACAGTGGGTCTTATTCATTCTTTCTATTTTTTTTTTTTTTGTAACCATTAACTTTACCCATCTCCCCTGCCAAGCCCTCACTACATTTCTTAGCCTCTGGTAACAATTCTTCTACTCTCTAGGTTCATGAGTTCAATTGTTTTGAGTTTGGGATCCCACAGTTGAGTATATGTGATGTTTGTCTTTTTGTGCCTGGCTTGTTTTACTTAACATAATGATATCCAGTTCAATCCATGTTGTTGTAAATGACTGGATCTCATTCATTTTTATGGCCGAACAGTGTGCTCCATTGTGTATGTGTATCCTATTTTCTTTATCTATTCATCTGTTAATGAACACTTAGGTTACTTTCAAATCTTAGCTATTGTAAAGAGTGCTGCAACAAACATAGAAGTGCAGATATCTCTTTGATATACTGATATTTTTTCTTTTGAGTATATATCCAGCAGTGGGACTACTGAATCATATGGTAGCTCAATTTTTGCTTTGTTGAGGAACCTCCAAACTGTTCTTTATACTGATTTTACTAATTTACATTCCCACCAACCATGTACAAGGATTCCCTTTTCTCTACACCATCACAAGTAATTGTTATTGCCTATCTTTGGGATATAAGCTATTTTAACTGGAATGAGATAATATCTCATTGTAGTTTTGATTTGCATTTCTCTGACGATCTGTGATGGTAATCACCTTTTCATATGCCTGTTTTCCATGTGTATGTCTTCTTTTGAAAAAATGTCTATTCAAACCTTTTGCCCATTTTTGATCAGATTATTAGATTTTTTACCTATAGAGTTGTTTGAGCTCCTTATATGTTCTTGTTATTAATCCCTTGTCAGAGGTGGTAGTTTGCAAATATTTTCTCCCATTTACTGAGTTGTCTCTTAACTTCATTGGTTGTACTCTTTGCTGTTCAGAAGCTTTTTAACTTGGTGTGATCCCATTTTTCCATGTTTGCTTTGGTTGCCTGTGCTTCTGGGGTATTGTTCAAGAAATCTTTGCCCAGACCAATGTCCTGGATATTTTCCCCAATATTTTCTTGTGGTAGTTTCATAGTTTGAGATCTTATATTTAAGTCTTTAATCCATTTTGATTTGCTATTTTTATATGGTATGAGATAGGCAAATAGTTTTATTCTTTTGTGATCCATGGATCTATGGTAATCCAGTTTTCCCAGCACAATTTATGGAAGAGAATATCTTTTCCCCAGTGTATTTTCTTGGCACCTTTGTCAAAAATGAATTCACTATAGGTGTGTGGATTTGTTTTTGGGTTCTGTATTCTGTTTTATTGGTCTATGTGTCTGTTTGTATGCCAGTACCATGCTGTTTTGGTTACTATAGCTCTGTAGTAGAATTTGAAGCCAGGGGAAAATGTGATTTTTCCAGTTTTGTTCTTTTGGCTTAGGATAGCTTTGGTGATTCTGGATCTTTACTGGGGAAACCAGCCCCCAGTATTTCAATGTATGTTCTTTTCTATTTTCCCTAAGTGTTGACTGGTCTGAGAAATAAAGAGAAAGAGTAAAAAAGAGAGAAATTTTACAGCTGAGCCTCTGGAGGTGACATCACAAGTCAGCAGGTTCCATGATGCCCCCTGAGCAGCAAAAACGGCACGTTTTTATTAGGGATTTCAAAAGGGGAAGATTGAATAGGGAGTGGGTCACAAGATTACATGCTTTAGGGGCAATAAGAGATCACAAGGACAGAAGGGCAGAGCAAGGTTACAAGGCCAGATGAAATTATAATTACTGATGATGTTCCATGTCCCGCTGTGCATGCATTGTCATTGATAAACATCTTAACAGGAGACAGGGTTCAAGAACAGAGAACCGATCTGACTAGAATTCACCAGGCTGAAATTTCCTAATCCTAGCAAGCCTGGGGGCACTGCAGGAGACCAGGGCATATTTTATCTCTTATCTTCAACTGCATAAGACAGGCACTCCCAGAGCAGCATCCATAAGCCTCCTCTGGGAATGAATTCTCTTCCCAGGGTTATTCCTCACTGGGAAAAGAATTCTGTGATTTTCTCCTATTCATTTTCTGCAGTAAGAAAAATATGACTCTGTTCTCCCCGGCCCCACAAGCAGTCAGACCTTGTGGTTATTTCCCTTGTTCCCTGAATATCGCTGTTATCCTGTTCTTTTTCAGGGTGCCCGGATTTCATATTGTTCAGACACACATGTTTTATAAACAATTTGTGCAGTTAACACAATCATCAAGTGTCCTGAGGCGACATACCTCCTCAGCTTACGAAGATGACGGGATTAAGAGATTCAAGTAAAGACAGGCATAGGAAATTATAAGAGTAATGTTTGGGGAAGTGATAAATGTCCATGAAATCTTCACTATTTATGCTCAGAGATTGCAGTAAAGACAGGTGTAAGAAATTATAAAAGTATTAATTTGGGGAACTAATAAATGTCCATGAAATCTTCACTATTTATGTTCTTCTGCCGTGGCTTCAGCCGGTCCCTCTGTTCCGGGTCCCTGACTTCCCGCAAGAGTCTTCTGTGGTTCCATATAAATTTCAGATTTTTCTTTTCTGTGAAGAGTGTCATTCGTATTTTGATAGGTATTGCATTTGATCTATAGAACACTTTGGGTAGTATGGACATTTTAACAGTATTGATTCCTCCAATCTATGGACATGGAATGTATTTCCAGTTTTTTGTGTCCCTTTTAATTTCTTCAGTGTTTTATGGTTTTTATTATAGAGATCTTTCACTTCTTTGATTAAGTTAATTTCTAGGTATTTAATTGTATTTGTGACTTTATCTATGGAATTACTTTTTGATTTGTTTTCCATTTTATTCACTATTGACATACAGAAATGCTACTGATTTTTGTATGTTGATTTTGTATCCATCAGCTTTACTGAATTTATCAGTTTTAATTGTTTTCTTGTGGACTCTAGGTTTTTCCAAATATAAGATCTTATCATCAGCAAATAAGGATTATTTGACTTCTTCCTTTCCAATTTGGAGGTCCTTTATATATTTCTCTTGTCTGATTGCTCTGGATAGGACTTCCAGTGCTATGTTGAATAACAGAGGTGACAGTGGGCATCCTTGTTGTGTTCCAGATCTTAGAGGAAGGGCTTTCAGTTTTTCACCATTCTGTGTGATACTAGCTGTGTGTCTGTCATATATGGCTTTTATTGTGTTGAGGTATTTTCCTTCTATACCCAGTTTTTTGGGGGTTTTTACAATGAAGAAATGTTGAATTTTATCAAATGCATTTCAGCATCAATTGAAATGATCATATGCTTTTTATACTTTATTCTATCGATATGATGTATCATATTGATTGACTTGTATACGTTGAACCATCCATCCACCCAGGGATAAATCCCACTTGGTCATAATGGATGATCTTTCTAATGTATTGTTCAATTTGGTTTGCTAGTATTTTGTTCAGGATTTCTGCATCAATATTCATCAGTGATATTGGTCCGTAGTTTTCTTTTTTTTTTTTAAATATGTCTTTATCTGGTTTTGGTATATCAAGGTAATATTGGCTTCACAGAATGAGTTTGCAAGTATTCTCTTCTCTATTTTTCTGAATAGTTTGAGTACAATTGGTAATAGTTGTTCTTTGAATGTTTGGTAAAATCTGGCAGTGAAGGCATCAGGTTCCGGGCTTTTCTTTACTGTAAGACTTTTTATTATGGCTTTGATCTTGTTACTTGTTATTGGCTTTCTCAAGTTTTGAATTTCTTCCTGGTTCAATTTTGGTAGGTTGTATGTATATAGGAATTTATCTATTTCTTCCAGACTTTCCAATTTATTGGCATATAGTTGTTCATAGTAACCATTAATGATCCTATGAATTTCTGCAGTTATCAGCTGTAATGCTTCCTTTTTTATTTCTGATTTTATTTATTTAGATCATCTCTCATTTTTTCTTAGTCTGGCTAAAAGTTTGTCAATTTTGTTTAGCTTTTCAGAAAAATGAACCTTTTTTATTGATCTTTTGTATTTTTTAATTTCTATTTCACTTATTTTGGCTCTGATCTTTATTATTTATTTTGTCCTGCTAATTTAGTGTTTGGATTACTTTTCCCTTTCTAGCTCTTTAAAATGCATCATTAGATTGTTTATTTGAAGTTTTTTCTCCTTTTTAATGTAGGCACTTATATCTATGAACTTCCCTCTTAGTACTGCTTTTGCTGTATCCCACAGGTGTTCCTATGTTCTGTCTCCATTATAATTTGTTTCAAGAATTTTTTCAATTTTCTTCTTAATTTCTTCACTGACCCACCAGTCATCCAGCAGCATGTTGTTTAATTTCCATGTATTCTTGTAATTTATTAAATTCCTCTTGTTATTAATTTCTAGTTTTATTCCATTGCAGTCAGAGAAGATGCTTGATATTATTTCAATTTTTTAAATTTTTAAAACTTGTTTTGTGATCTAACATATGGTCTGTCCTTGAGAATGATCCATGCACTGTGGAAAAGAATGTGTATTCTGTAGCTCTTGGATAATATGTTCTGTATCTACTACCTTCATTTTATCTATGGTGCAGATTAAGTCTGATGTTCCCTTGTTGATTTTCTGTCTGAAAGATCTGTCCAATGCTGGAAATGGGGTATTAAGGTCTCTAGCTAGTATTGTTTTGGAGCTTATCTCTCTCTAGCTCTAATAGTATTTCATTTATATGTCTGGGTGCTCCTGTTTTGGGTGCATATATATTTAAAATTGTTATATCCTCTTGCTGAATTGATCCCTCTATCATTATATAGTGACTTCCTTTGTTTCTTCTTATAGTTTTTGTTTTGAAATCTATATTGCTGATATAAGTGTAGTTACTCCTTCTCTTTTGTAGTTTCCATTGACATGGAATATCTTTTTCCATTCCTTTATTTCAGTCTTTGTGTGTCTTTATAGGTGAAGTGTGTTACTTGTAGGCAACAGATTGATGGGTCTTGTTTAGTTTATCCATTCCGTTGGTCTATATCTTTTGATTGGAAAGTTAGTCCATTTACATTCAATATTATTATTGATAAGTGAGGACTTACTCCTGCCATTTTATTATTTGTTTTCTGGTTTGTTGTGGTCTTCTCTTTCTTTCTTTTATTCCTGCCTTCCTGTCATGAAGATGATTTTCCCTGGTGTTATGATTTAGTTTCTTGCTTTTTATTTGTTGTTTAGCCCTTGTATGTTTTTTGGTTTGAGGTTACCATGAGGCTTGCAAATAGTATCTTATAACCCATTATTTTAACCTAATAATAACTTAACACTATTTGCTTAAACAAACACAAAAGCAAAAAGAAACTAATAAAAACTTCCCTTAACTTTGTCACCCTGCTTTTTAACTTTTTATAGTTTCTGTTTTTATCTAGTTGTACTGCATATACCTGGAAAAGTTGTTGCAGTTATTGTTTTTAATTGGTTAATTGTTTAATCTTTCTACTTAGGATAAGAGTAGTTTACACACCTCAGTTACAGTGTTATAATGGTCTGTGTTTTTTTGTATACTTACTACTTCCAGTATGTTTTGAACTTTCAGTAATTATTTATTCCTCATTAGTGATTTTCTTCTTTCTGATTGAAACACTGCCCTTAACATTTCTTCTAGGACAGGTTTGGTATTGATGAAACTTTTCAGATTTTGTCTCGGAAAGTCTTTCTTTCTTTCTCCTTATTGCTTGAAGGATATTTTTGCTAGATATACTTTTCTAAGATCAAAGTTATTTTTCTTTAACACTTTAAATATCTCTTGCCACTCTCTCCTGTCCTGTAAAATTTCCACTGAAAATTCTGCTGCCAGACAGATTGGAACTCCATTGTATGTTGTTTGTTTCTTTCCTCTTGCTGTTCTGGGGATTCGTCCTTCATCCTTGACCTTTGGGAGTTTAATTATTAAATGCCTTCAGGTAGTTTGTTTGGGTTAAATCTGCTTGGTGTTCTATCAATTTCTTAAACTTGGATATTGATATCTTTCAATATGTCAGTTGGGAAGGTTTGGGAAGTTCTCTGTTATTATCTTTTTGAATAAACTTTCTACCTCAATCTCTTTCTCTGCCTCATCTTTAAGCCAATAACTCTTAAATTTGCCTTTTTGAGGCTATTATATCTGATCCTGTACATGTGCTTTATTGTTTTTTATTTTTTTTTCTTTTGGCTCCTCTAATTTTTCTTTTGGCTCACTAATTATTTCTTCTGCTAGATCCATCCTATTAAAAGACTGACACATTCTTCAACATTCTAATTGCATTTTCCAGGTCCAGAATTTTTGCTTGATTTTTTAAAAATATCTCTGATAGAATTCTTAATTCCTTCTTGTGTTATCTTGAATTTCTTTGAGTTTTCTCAACACAGCTATTTTGAATTGTCTTTCTTAAAGGTCACATGTGTCTATTTCTCTAGGATTGGTCCCTGGTACCTTATTTAGTTCATTTGCTGAGGTCACGTTTTCCTGGATGGTGTTGATGTTAGTAGATGTTCTTTGGTGTCTAGGTACTGGAGAATTAGATATTTATCATAGCCTTCACTTTCTGGGCTTATTTGTAGTCATCCTTTTGGAGAAGGCTTTCCAAATATTTGAAAGGATGTGAATGTTGTGATCTAAGTTGTTTCTGCTTTAGGGGCCACCCCAAGCCTATTAATGCTATGGTTCTTGGACACTGTTAGAAATACCACCTTGATGAACTTGGACAGTTTCTGGGAGAATTCTCTGGATTACAATGCAGAGACTCTTGTTCTCCTCCCTTACTTTCTCCCAAATATATAGTCTCTGTCTCTGTTCTAAACCATCTAAAGCTGGAAGTGAATTTACACAAGTGCTCCTGTGTCTACCACCACTATGACTGCACTGGGTCAGAGCAGAAGCCTGCTGTGTCTTGCCCAAGACCTGCTGTTACCACTTCTTGGCTATTGACTATGTTTTCTCAAGGCCCTGGGGCTCTGCAATCAACAGGTGGCAAAGCCAGCCAGGCCTGTGTTTTTCCCTTCAAGGCAGTGAAGTCCCCCAGACTCTGGTGGGATCCAGAAGTGCCATTCCAGAGTTGGGTACTAGTCAAAAACTTCTGAAGTCTACGTGGTTTTCTACTGTATTGCAGCCAAGCTGGAACTCACATCACAAGATGCAGTCCTTCCCACCATTCCCTCTTCTTTCAAAAGGCAGTGGTGTCTCACCCTGTAGCCATTGCCACCTCTGGTTATAAGGAGTATTTCCAGACTATTACTGATGTTCTCTTATGGCCCAAGGTCTCTTAAGTCAGCTGGTGGTGAATGTTGTCTGGCCTGGGACTCACCCTTCAGAGCCGTGGGACCCCTCTGACCTATGGCAGGTCTAGAAATGCCATCCAAGAGTCAAGTCTTGGAATCAGGGACCCCAAGAGTCCACTTGGTGCTCTACTCACCTGTGGCAGTGTTGGTACCTAAGGTGCAAGACAAAGACCCTTTTACTTTTCCTCTGCTTTTCTCAAACAGAAGTAGTTTTGCCCTGTAGCCACCACAGCTTGTAATGTGCTGAATCTCACCTGAAGCCGGCAAGTCTCAGAGGCTCATCAAGGCCCTCAGTGTATACCTGGGTATCTCTGCTATTCAGCACCTAAAAACTCTTCAGTTAGCAGGTGATAAATGCTGGCAGGAATGGGTCCCATCCTTCAAGGTAGTGCTTCACTTCTGGCCCAGGGTGTGTCTAGAAACGTCATCTGGGAGCTCGGGTCTGGAACAAGGGCCTCACGAATCTGAACAGTGCCCTATGCTACTGTGGCTGAGCTGGTATCCTAGATGCAAGACAAAGTCCTCCCCACTCTTCCCTCTCCTCTCCTCAAGCAGAAGAAAGGGGTCTCTTTGAAGCCATGAGCTATGTAGCCTGGGGTTAGAGGAGGGGTGATGCCAGCGTTCCCTTGGCTGTCCTAGCTGGTATCTTAATATCTCACTATCCTCCCACATCCCTCCCGCCCCAGTCTAATGTCTCTAGGCCTAGTTCAGCCTTAGGACTTGCCTATGAGTTGCAGTTCTTATGGACTAAACTGCCTTTTAAGTTTACTTAAAGACAGAGCACTTTGGATTAGGTGGGAAGTTTGAGAGCACTCAAGTTCAGGCCACTGGGATCAGCAGTTTCCCTCGGGCTAGGGCTTATTTAAATGCTCCCTCTGTGGGCAGGCAGCAGTTGAGTTTGCTCTGGGTTTCCTTTCTACTCTAACAGGACAGCATTGAGTTCAATGCCTCACAATTTCTGTGTTCACCCTCCCCCAGCACCCAGAGATGCTGGCAGCAACATGCCACCACCGCCTTGGGTAGGGGAGGGGTGGCATCAGTGATTCAGGACTGTTTTTCTTAGCTCTTCCGTGCCCCTTTCAGTGATATGAAGTTAAAATTAGGTTCTGTGAGTGCTCACCTTATTTTTGGTTCTTATGAAGGTATTTTTTCTTTGTAGATAATTGTTAACTTGGTTTACAGGGTGGGGAGGACAATCTCTGGAGTTTTCTGTTCTATCTTGCTCCGCCTCTCTCATTGCTGCATTTTTGCATGAACTTCTAGATTTCCAGATATATGTTGGAATTTATCAAAGTCCCTTATGGACATATTATTTTCAAGTTTTCCTTTTGATTTTTTAATCAGCCAGTTGTTAACCCCAACTCATAATGCTAACTCAGTCAGTTGTGTTGTTCACAGTTGTTCTTGATTTTTTTTGACAAGTTCACGGGAGATAGCATTATTTTCACAGCTCTGAGTCAGGTCAAATAAATACAAACTCTGAAAATGGAGCTTACAGTGAATTGCCAAAAGGGTTAATAGAGTTAATTGTCTGGGCTGTGGCTTTTGAGGAGCTCCTAAATCTGTTCTTTTCCAGTGCCAATAAGGCTACTAGTTTTTACAGCTACTGTAGTTGCAAACCTGGTGATTTTCAAGGTTACTACAGAGTTGGGGAGATAAGAATATTAGACTTTTTCCCTTTTTTATTGGCCTTTCAGGAATTTTATTTCCAGGCAGTTTTTTGATGTTGTTATTGCTGATATTATTTTTGTTTATCCTAAGATTCATAAAGCTTATTGCTTGATGTCACTTGCCAATTTTGGAACATTATCGGCCATTCCCTCTTCAATGATTGCTTGTACCTCATTTCATTTATTTTTTTTTCCATTCATGGCTTCAAATAAATGTATATTATGCCTTTACTTTGTATCATGTCTCATATTTCTCTTATGCCCCCTCTTTACACTTTCCATTCTTTTCAATCTCTGTGTTTCAATCAGCATATCTTTTCTGATTTATCTTCTGGTTTATTAACTTCTCTTCAACTGTAACTCATTCATTGAATTCTTAATTTTGTCTGTTGTATTTTTCAGTTCTAAAATTTTCACTTTTAAAAAATAATTTTCACTTTTTCTTCAAAATTCTCAATTTTGTCTTTTAATTGCTTGGACATAGCAATCTTAATTTTTATAAAATTTGTTTCTGACATTTTCATTATTTGAATTTCCCATAATAAATACTACATATAGCTAAAGTTTTGGTCATATAATCTTATATCCTTGTAATTCTGCTTAATTTGAGTAAGTTCTAGGCATTATATGTGATAAATAATAGAGAAAAATTGAGGCTCTGGAAGATATATTCTTCCAGAGAAGATTTAGTTTGTTTTTCGCAGAAAACTAGGTTAGGGGCATTAATAATTTCAAATTACTTCAATTAACTCACTTATAGGTACAATTTAATTCTGGGCTTTCATTCATTCTTGTTAAGGTTGCTCCATTTCTGGTTTGCCCTTATTCTTAGTGTGTAGACCTTTATTAAAGTTTCCCATATAAACTTTTGTGTGTTTGCTAGGGAACCTCCTCTTTGGTGTTCTGTAAATTCCAATCCTTCTTCTCTCATACCTCTGAGCCTGACTGAGTTCAATTCAGTTTCTCATATATTAATAATACTGTCACCATTAGTGAACCATTCTAGGGAAAAAAAATAACCCAAATGCTTGATTCACTTCTCTGATAGTATCTCTTTTCCTTTCTGCCTGCATGGGTGTCAAATATTTTTAAGTAGATTTTGTTTGTTTGTTTGTTTTTTACTTTTCCCCACTGGTCTTTCTAGTTGTTTTAAAAGAGATTATTTTTTTCCTTTTCCTTTAATCGCTAGTTGCTAGAAAGAAAATATTCATATCAAATTTTAGACAAAACACTAACCTTTGAGGAAAATCTTGCTATCTTGCTTTTAAGTGCAGTCCATTACTATACCAAGTTGCACAGGAACATATTTACTTTACTCGTTTGTTGTAAGATCTTTCCACATGACATTTTGAGAATTATAAGAATGCATTTAAAGGTAGGAAGGAAGGAGATATACAGGAAAAAAAGAAGAAAGAAAAAAATTTAATTGGGACAATAATAATTTTCTGCTTGAAACTGGGCATCTGATAAGTGCCATATTTCTAAATTTTCTAAATGACATATTATTGTGAAATAAAACCTCAGTTGTTTTTATTTTATCTCTCCTTGGTATGGCATAAGTGCTAGGGAAAATCTGTCCAATAGAACTTTCTGTGATAATGGAATTTATCTATTCTGTGAGTTAATGTAGTAGCCATAGCCATATCTTGCCATTGAGCATGTAAAATGTGGCATGTGAATGAATAATTAAATTTTATCTAATTTTAATACATTTATGTTCAATTTAAATAGCCTTGGGTGAGTACTGATTATTACGTTAGACAGTGCAGCTTCAGTGGATTCAGTCTGCTTTTCTTCTTCCCTCAGTTTCTGCAATCCATTTGAGACTGAGTTTCTCTGGTGGCAACATCTACTTTCCCCTTGTTTAATTTTGACACAGGGCTTTCTCCATGATTCCAGAACATCATGTTTCATGTCAGACATACACACAATCACACTGTTTGGAGGCTCAGCCACTTCTGTAGTGCTGCATCAAGAGTTAAACGTTAATGGTTTTAACATTTAACATTTCATCAGGGTGATTTACTTCCACTCATTTAACATTAAATACCTTTAGCTTCCTCTATGCAAAAACAGTATCTTCTGAATCCATATTTTTATTTATTTATTTTTTAATAGGAAAAAAGGTTTATTTTTATTTTTAATTTTTTTATACTTTAAGTACTGGGGTACAAGTGCAGAATATGCAGGTTTGTTACATAGATATACACGTGCCATGGTGGTTTGCTGCACCCATCAACCCATCATTTACCTTAGGTGTTTCTCCTAATGCTATCTCTTCCCTAGCTCCCCACCACCCCCCCCCCGACAGGCCCCAGTGTGTGATGTTCCCCACCCTGTGTCCATGTGTTCTCATTGTTCAATTCCCACCTATGAGTGAGAACATGTGGTGTTTGGTTTTCTGATCTTGAATTAGTTTGCTGAGAATGATGGTTTCCAGCTTCATCCGTGTCCCTGCAAAGGACATGAACTCATCCTTTTTCATGGCTGCATAGTATTCCATGGTGTATATGTGCCACATTTTCTTAATCCAGTCTATCATTGATGGACATCTGGATTGGTTCCAAGTCTTTGCTATTGTGAATAGTGCCACAATAAACATACGTGTGCATGAGTCTCTATAGTAGAATGATTTATAATCCTTTGGGTATATACCTAGTAATGGGATAGCTGGGTCAAATGGTATTTCTGGTTCTAGATCCTTGAGGAATTGCCACACTGTCTTCCACAATGGTTGAACTAATATACACTCCCACCAACAGTGTAAAAGTGCTCCTTTTTCTCCACATCCTCTTCATTATCTGTTGTTTCCTGACTCTTTAATGATTGCCATTCTAACTGCCATCTCATTGTGGTTTTGATTTGCATTTCTCTAATGACCAGTGATGATAAGCATTTTTTCATATGTTTGTTGGCTGCATAAATGTCTTCTTTTGAGAAGTGTCTGTTCATATCCTTTGCCCACTTTTTGATGGGGTTGTTTTTTTTTTCTGTATCATTATATGATTTATTTTATTTTATTATTATTATACTTTAAGTTTTAGGGTACATGTGCACAACGTGCAGGTTAGTTACATATGTATACATGTGCCATGCTGGTGTGCTGCACCCATTAACTCATCATTTAGCATTAGATATGTCTCCTAATGCTATCCCTCCCCCCTCTTCACCCCACAACAGTCCCCAGAGTGTGATGTTCCCCTTCCTGTGTCCATGTGTTCTCATTGTTCAGTTCCCACCTATGAGTGAGAACATGCGGTGTTTGTTTTTTTGTCCTTGCAATAGTTTACTAAGAATGATGATTTCCAATTGGGGTAAGGGAAACCCAGATCACTAACACCCAAGGCCCTAGCTCCTCATTTTGAGGGAATAGGAATGGAAAAACCTATCACTTTTGTTTCCCATGCTGAGCTCACAATAGTGAAAAGAACACAATGAATTACTCAAACTATCTTGCTACACATAGCTTATTGTGACAAAAAAGGGAAAACTAGCAAATGAGGGAAAACATGTATATTCTACATTATATGTTCCTATTTATAAATGTTAGCAATGTTTTCACTACATTACCAAGCACATGGTAAATGAGAAACAAATGTTTAGAAATACTTTTTGCAGGAATGAATTTTGCATTTCTGGGAACCAAATGCAAGGTAATAACTGTGTAATAATTGGTGAGTTATTTTAGCACTCTAGAAACATTTCTATATAAGCAAATTTGAAACATAGGGAGATAGTAACATAAATGGTCATAAAGAGTCAATGATGACTGTCTTAAAATGTCCTTGTTTCCATGGCAATTTTAGAGTAATTATCTAATGTCCCAGTAAACATATAAATTCTGGTTAGTTACAGAATATTCTTATTATATGTGTGTCCTGATATAATAAAAACAATCTACCTTTTATATATATATATATATATTTATTATACTTAAAGTTCTAGGATACATGTGCACAAACGTGCAGGTTTGTTACATATGTATACATGTGCCATGTTGATGTGCTGCACCCATTAACTCGTCATTTACATTAGGTATATCTCCTAATGCTATCCCTTCCCCGTCACCCCAATCTACCCATTTTTTATGTTAGTAAATACATTCATGTGATTATTACAGCTTACCCTGAACATTTGGCTAAACAACTTTTGCAAATTAACCAAATAAAATTTATTTTATATGTTGTGTATGACTTACACATTTTAATTAGAAGCAAAAGGTAAACATTATCCACAGTAATTCTTGTTATTAAAATTATACTGTATTCATGGTGTAAAATATACTATGGAATAAGTAATATTATAATATTAGTTTCAATTGATTTATAGAAATGAGAAAAATCACAAAATTGACTTCACTACAAACATAAAAAATAATGTGGCTTCATCTTTAGCAACTGTTCAGGGCATAGATTAAGTTGAAATATGTGATTTCTTTGCTGTTACAGAGATGATGCTTGATAATATATATTTATCACTTCACTACTAGTTTGGAAATAAATATGACACAGTGAGAATAAAAAAATATATGAGGTACTGAAAATAATGTGACTTAAGGAATTTGGAAATCATCATGTGTTAAAATGCAAGGCTTTAAAAATATTCCATATGGGTCTTTATTATATACAGATGCATTTTTGCTACATATTAAATAGTAGACATACAGGGCAGAAGACATAAACTATTTTCTAATCCTGATTCTATATCTCACCAGAATGAGACCACAAAATTTTTTTGCTATCTCTTGTCACAGTTTATTTACTTATTAAATTGCAATAATTTCCAACCTGTTCACCTTATAACCATGAAGTGATGATTAAATGATAAAATTAGAATATAGGGAATTTATAAGACTTTTTGACCGTAGACGGTGAGCTACTGAATAGTCAAAGCACACCTGATTTCAAGGCACAAGGTAGGTATTCTAGTTAAGAGATGATTTGGGATAGTGTTTACATATAAGGGTATACTGATTATGACTGATTTTTGGGTTCAGAAAGTGTGTAAACCTACACAATTGTATAAAAGTTAAAAAGGCTACTTAGTATGAATATCCAGATGCTATATTTCAGAACATAATTCCTTCCCAAAAATATTATGAGTAATGCAACATGAAAAAATAAATATGCAGTAAAACAGCATGCTACAAGATGTTGTGAGAATGATCATAATGGGGATAAATGTGAGAAGTCTTTAGGCATCAGTTAAGAAGAGACTAGCCCGCATGCATATTATAGAAAACCCAAAATATCTGCTACACAAAAAGAGTTTCATTTCTCTCCCACAAACAAGAAGCTAAGGGCAGGCTGTCCTCAACTAGCATAGCAACTCCATAATCATTCAGAACCAAGATTCCTTCCATCTTTTACACTACTATCCTTAGTTAGTGACATTACTTCTCAAGGTTGCCACATGGTCCAACATACCCATAAGTCTCTGTTTCAGGGAAGCTGGGGAAGGACATTCAGAAATTCTTTGTACTATTATTTTGCAATGTTTTATAAACCCGAATTAATTTCAAAATGAAAACTTATACATTTTTAAAAAATATAAAGGAAAGAAGGGGTTCTTATGCAAAGAAAATGGAACCATTTTAATTTGACATATATTATTATAATGGGCAAAAGAATGTACTGAGTTTATAAAGTAATAAGGTTATATAGAAGAGTAGTTCTTAATTTTAATGTGATAGAGAGATCCATGAATAAATATATAATTCTATTTATCTTGCATTTAGTAGTTTGGGGGAGCAAAATATTTCATTGTTTTCATTAAAATTTCAGTAGAGAGTAGCAGAATAAATGGGTTAGTTTTAAATTTTGTACCTAAATACCCTCTTTTTAGCAATAAATTCTATTCTTAAATACGAGTCCAAACAAAATCCATGAGTTTATAATATTACATGAAAATGAGAAAACAAAAAGCAATATAAATAAAACACAAAATAAAACATAAAATCTCATTAGTCATAGAAAGTAAGTAGGACACAGCTCCTTATGAAAATTGGCTCTATGCAGGAAAATAGTTAAGCATTTATTCCTTTATTTACTTTTTCATTTACAATTTCCTTGTAGAGTAACAAAGTAGTTCATATTGATAAGAGAAAGATATTCTTTGTTGTTGTTGTTTCCTTATTTCCAGCGGGGTTAGAGGGAAAGCTATTCTTTACAGAAGATAGCATGCTAATAAATGTTGAAGAAATTATAGAATTATAAAATCATGACTTTGTGATTCTTAATAGTATAATAATTATCATGGCATAAAATGATTAAATAAAAAATTGATGGGTGATATGGTTTGGCTTTGTCCCCACCCAAAATCTCATCTTGAATTGTAATCCCCATAATCCCCCAAATCCCCACATATCATGGGAGAGACCAGGTAGATATAACTGAATCATGGGGCTGATCAAATGTCATGTTATTTCACCACCTATTTTGGAAACATTTCCAAAATATATAAATGTTCTCTCATATAACCCTAATGTCATTGTCACACACAATAAAATTAACAAAAATACCTTAGTAAGAATAACATGCAAGTTGTATTCAAATTTTTTGATTGCCTAAAAAATATGTTTCACAGTTAGTTTTGTGACATACAATCTATATCAGGTTAGTCTCACATTGCCATTTGGATATTGTACCAGTTAAGTTTCCAAGAAAGCAGTAAGATGATATTAAGAGTGCAAGAGATTTATTGGGAGAACGAAAAACAGAAAGCAAGATTGGAGATGGGGAAACTGTAACACCACCATATGCTACATTCTTCTTCACTCAATAGGGAGAGCGGAGAACAAAAAGCTGAGGACGACCTACAGGAACTCACATCTGGAGGCTGTCAGCTAGGCAAGAAGTGTTTTTTTAATGGAGGATCTGAGAGGTACATCTCTGTGTCTGCCACAGTTGTTTTGTTGAGTTTCTTTCGTTCTTCGTTCTACTGACTTATCGAAAGAACTGTGTTGAGGTTTCTGTAGAATAGCGTACATTCTGCATGTGTTTGTGGCATTCTTTAGTGTAAAAGCATTCCTATTTCTCCACATCTTCTCCAGCATCTGCTGTTGTTTCCTGACTTTTTAATGACCGCCATTGTAACTGGTGTGAGATGGTATCTCATTGTGGTTTTGATTTGCATTTCTCTAATGACCAGTGATGATGAGCTTTTCTTCATATGTTTGTTGGCTGCATAAATATCTTCTGAGAAGAGTCTGTTCATATCCTTCACCCATGTAGATTCTGGATATTAGCCCTTTGTCAGATGGATAGATTGCCAAAAATTTCTCCCATTCTGTAGGTTGCCTGTTCGTTCTGATGATAGTTTCTTTTGCTGTGCAGAAGCTCTTTAGTTTAATTAGATCCCATTTGTCAATTCTGGCTTTTGTTGCCATTGCTTTTGGTGTTTTATTCATGATGTCTTTGCCCATGCCTATGTCCCGAATGGTATTGCCTAGGTTTTTCTCTAGAGTTTTTATGGTTTTAGGTCTTACGTTTAAGTCTTTAATCCAGATTGAGTTAATTTTTGTATAAGGTGTAAGGAAAGGGCCCAGTTTCAGTTTTCTGCATATGGCTAGCTAGTTTTCCCAACACCATTTATTAAATAGGGAATCCTTTCCCTATTGCTTGTTTTTGTCAGGCTTGTCAAAGATCAGATGGTTGTAGGTGTGTGGCATTATTTCTGAGACCTCTGTTCTGTTCCGTTGGTCTATATATTTGTTTTGGTACCAGTACCGTGTTGTTTTAGTTACTGCAGCCTTGTAGTATAGTTTGAAGTCAGGTAGCATGATGCCTCCAGCTTTGTTCTTTTTGCTTAGGATTGTCTTGGCTACACAGGCTCTTTTTTGGTTCCATATGAAATTTAAAGTAGTTTTTTCTAATTCTTTGAAGAAAGTCAATGGTAGCTTGATGGGGATAGCATTGAATCTATAAATTTCTTTTGCAGTATGGCTATTCTTTAAAATATTTTAGCTGAGAATAAGGGATTGAAGAAACTGGTGGAGTAATAATCTTGATAATGTTGGTGATAAGATTATAGTCTTTGTGATATGGTGATTATAAAACACTAGGACTCATTTTTTAGGCATTTAATATATGACCTTGGATGAACTGACAATGAGGAAGCTTCAAGTACTTTTTGAGGGGAGGGCATGAAATGGAAAAATGAAATAGAAGATGGACAGTTTATAAAGACAGAAGAATGGATAGGATGCTGTTTGAAAATATGAAAAATAAGATTAGTATTCAATCACATCTCATTTTAAGATTCATGTTTTTAACTAATAATTTTAAAAGATGAACTGCTATAAGATAAAGTGCATTTTCCTTTAAATAAGATGATCTAGACCTTATTATTACTTCCAGTACTTGCAAATTATCTCTCTTAGAATAAATTATTTAAATATACTTAGCTTCAATTTCTAAAACTATAAAATGGGAACAATAATCTCCATTCTTATAGCTGATGATGTATATATCATAATAAATGGACAAAAATGCAAGACACAACATTGTATAGTAAATCACATTGCCATTTTTGGGAGCCTAAAATTTGAGCACTGACATCTCATGGATTTCAACCTATTATCTCAATGAGGTGAAAATATGTACAGGGCCTGGGCATTGTGGCTTACGCCTGTAATCCCAGCACTTTGAGAGGTTGAGGCAGGAGGACTGCTTGAGCCCAGGAGCTGAAGACCAGCCCTGGCAACATAGCAAGACCCAATCTGTACAAAAAATTAGCCAGGTATGGTGATGCACGACTGTTAAGTCCCAGCTACTTGAGAAGCTGATGTGGGAGGATCGCTTGAGCCCAGGAGATGGAGGTTTCAGTGAGCTGAGGTTGCACCACTGCACTGCAACCTGGGTGACAGTGAGACTGTCTCAAAAAAAAAAAAATTGAAAAATATAAGCACAGGAAGTAATAAAACAAAACAAACACAGAAAATGCACAAAAACATTGAATGTTTGTCTTCAAGAATTTTGGGTGGTTTTGTTTTCTTCATATTTTATTTCTTCCTATTTATTTCCTCATATCTTATTTTTTATTATATTTCTAGGCAGATAGAATGGACGTTAAATATTTTGGTAATAAGAAGAGAACTTTTAGAGAAAAAGATCTTGCTTTTTAAAATTTAAAGTAATCACATAAGATAATATAAAAATGTTTACTAAAATGTAAAGTACTATACATAATAATAGTTAACATTTGTTTAATGCTAATTATGTCTATGTGCTTTACATGTTTTACTTCAGTTAATCTCAAAAACCCTGTGATTTTGGAATAATATGTATGAAAGCTGAGTTACAGTGAGGTAAAGCACATTGTTCAAATTTACCTGGCTAAGGGCAGAGTTGGAATTATTTGAACCCAGACATTCTGGAGTCCAAACCTTTAGTTTTAATTATATAAATATAGCCTAGCATCCTACTATTAGGACACGGGAATGTGATAGTGGAATGATGTCTCTTTGAATTTCCATACATCATTTTAGGAACCACATTGTGATATTCTTCACCTCCTATTGAAATAAAATCAGCATTTAAACTGTATTTTTAAAGAGAAAAGAAAAGAAAATGCAAGCCAATGAAATTCCACTTCTTTCTAGGACTTCCTGAAACCTCCCACTTACTTCATTGGTTATGTGTCAAAACCTTATACCTTTCATGTACTCAACAAGCATGCATGGAGTAACCATATTCATGCTGTATATGCTGGAAGCTGTATTTTTCTATTTCTATATAATCACAATGATGTTCTATCCCCATCCTCTTCACTCTCTCACTGTGAGAAATGAGCAGAGCAATTAAGAAATGTCATGATTGATTGACATGAATTTCACCTTTTTTTCCTGCCTACTCTCAGGGGTGAGTGCTAATGAGCACTGGAATGCAGAGGGGCAAGTAAGCAAGATGAAGTACAGAAATGCAAGCTCGGTAATCAGCTCCTAAAAACTTGAGAATTGGCAGAATTTCTTGAGAACTTAATTACTGGAGTTATAGATGGCCAGTCATCTATATTTTATTTAATGCCATTTGTAGCATTTTCCTCCATTCTACTACTTGAGAAAACAGAAACAGAGAGGATATCTAGATTGTCTGAAGCCACAAGATGAAATTAGAATAAAGTTCAGGTATTTCTGACAATTATTTCTGTATGTAGAGTACAAAGTTCATTACTGTTATCCTTTTATTGCTCTCCTCTATATATACATTTTGCTATTTTTTCCTGAAAATGTTCAGTAAACCTGCATATCTGCTGATACATATAATAAAACTCATTTATAAAGCATAAGTTATACTATGGGTTAAGTAATATTTCTCCAAGAATCTATCTATCTATGTCTATAAGTATGTATCTATATATAAAATTTAGAGTGTATTAAAATCTGAAATGCTTATTCAAAGGCATATTTCAAAACTCCATCCTCGAAGATATCCTATAATCTGTAGATAGAAGAAGAGAGAGTGGAGCCTGGTTTAGAGGTAGTTCTGCATGATATGCAGGGACCACTTGAGAGTGGACAACTATTGTACTACAGACTCTTTGGGGGACATTCCTGAAGGACAGTGGTGAAGGGAAATCTTCCCAGTGGCCAGAATTTTAAGCAGTGCACCTGGTTGTACACTTTGCTTGGAAGGAGAAATAGCCAGATATGTGATTATATCCCAACTCATGGTCTGTAGTCAATGGTATGGCTGAATGGTGAGGGACTTGGAAAGAACATGATTGGAAAAGTGGTGACAAAGAAGTTTGGGAAAGAGATATGTGGACAAAATATCTCAGAATGGTCAAAAGATATGAAGATATTTGTGTGCCATGTGAATGTTCACCAAAGGGTGACCTCAGCAGAGGAAGACTTTAATAATCATCAAGTGAATTATTTGTTTCCCTTCTCTCAGAGATTAGTGACTTTGTTGCCTGTAAACTATTGCTTCATATATTTTGTCTATTTTTTAATGGTTTCAGGTATGAGGATACATCTGGTTCCCATTTTTCATTTTTTCTAGAAGCTTACTTTTTTCATTAAAAATCTTATTGAGCACTTTTATTTAACTGCTTTCCTGCTACTCATCCTACTTACATGTACACATCCTTCTGTAATCACTGCTCTGTAACCCACCCCAAATATTCTAACTTGTTAATCTAATAAGACCTTACCCTGTATCTGTCTACAAGATATATAGTAATTTAGTAGGGATGAGAAAATTATGTTTTAATTGATGTATTCACATTTTTTCTCTGTGAATAATTCAATACACAGTTGTAAACAAAAGATACACCATTTGGAAGCAACTTTGGAATAAAGATACTTCTAGTGATTATAACCCTTTTACAAAAATATGTTTATAGCATGTAGTGTACAAAAAATTGTATGTACATTTATATTTCTCTTGCTTGCAAACCACACACACCAAATATAAGAAAAGCACCTGCTGGACAATCAAGTCCTTCTCTTTAAAAGTCAAAAATCAGGTCATAAAATATCTTTTGATAACAAACATTAGCAACATTTTCTGTGGCCCTGAAAGTAGCAATACACTGCTCTCCCACCATAGATGTTTAAGAACCTCCAAGTTTAGTGACAGCCAGTGCTGGAGTCCATCACTTTTTATTAAGAGATCTCTCTTCATTTGGTTTACTTCTACGTTTTATTTAGCCAGTACTATCGGTATGTTAATAATTACAATAAACACTGAGCTGATGTTTTAAAGATTATATATGCATGGTTTATTTACTCCTCATAAGTGCCATTTTAAAGTTGAGAAAACTGACTCAGAGAGGATAAACGACTTACCTAAAGTCACACATACTGAATAAGAACTAAAATTTAAGTTTATTTCATTCTAAAGTGTTCATTTAGTACAGCTGTAAGAAGCTACCCTTAGTTGCTATAAGAAGTAATAATAAACAATTAACACTTATATGGTCATTAAACATCAGAGTTAATTTTAATGTTATCAGAGATATTAACTCATTTAATCCTTAAAACTATATTATGAAAACTAGATAGGTTCTATTATTATCCTTATTTTAGGGATTATAAAATGGAGGCACAGATAGATCACATACCTAATAGTTGGCAGAGCTCGGATCTGAACTCTGACACTCTGTTTTTGGAGTTCATGATCTTAACCTCTAATCCGTGCTGACCATGTGCTGCCACATCATCTGCTGATTTTGATTCTAGCCTAGTTTTCTCTCTCTCTCTTTTTTTTTTTTTTTTTTGGATTACCCTGCCACCCATAACTGGCCAAGGAAATAGAGTTTTCATATGTTTATAGCCTTTAAATCTTATCTCATGTTGTATTGACTTATTTGGGAAATGGCAGATGGCTGTAAGGTCATCTCAGTTAAGGTTACCTCGGACTCACTTTAGCTTTGTGTAGTTGGAGAAATCAGACTGTTCTTTCCTATATGTGCTTTCATCTGTTTAAGTTGACCTCAATTACTGCCAAAAGTTCCTGGGACATGTATTCCAAATGAAGCACCCACATGCCACATACAACACATACAGGTGTACCAACAAACCACAATGGGGTGTATTAATAAATGGTACAAATTATAAATGTGTATGAATGTGTTTGTGTGTGTGTATGTGTATGTGTGTGGTGTTGACCTATTTCCTCCTGTCAGATGGGTGTAGTACTTTCCATGATCATTATATTTATCTAGTTTTTCCTTGTCTCTCTCATTAGACACTAAGCATCTGAAGACAAGGAAATTTTAAACTAGTGCAACAATACAACTTAAAAACAATCTTAAATAAAATTTACTTCCTAAAGTCTAGGGAACTTTAATGTTTGTGGGACTATGACTTTGATCTATTTGCAAATAAATTTCTGACAACTCATTCTCCCCCATACACCACTCCCCTACTTCTGCCACAATTCTTTCCTGTAATATTCTCTTTGTCCATTATTTTATGTTCTCTTAGTGATGTATTTGGAGCTTATGGATGATCAACTATTGTAAGTTAGACATTCCATCTGTGTCATAAGTCTTTCAACCTAAAAATGCTATTGAAATCCAGAAATTATTCCTAAAATCCAGTTTAAAAAGTAAAGTCAATAGAGAATGATCCAAACACTCATGGTGGGGGGAGGGGGTCCAATTAATTCTCAGCCTTAAGACATGTATTTTGAATCATTCATAAATTCTTTACAACAAAAAGATTGCACTTAACCAGCTTCTATTAACAAGTGTGAATAGATAGAGAGTGGGAGTTTGGAATTCCAGAGTTGAAAGGGAATTTGAGACCTCTCTTAACTCCTTCCCTCCAGCCAGAAACTAATTCTTACTAGATAGGTGGGCATATGTCTTATTTTCTGAGTATACACAACTCTTGCAACACTTACTAATGTTTACTAAATATTCAGCTACAACCTTTACAGTGGAGAAAGCTGGCAAACACTACCACAGCCAGAAAACCAAAGGCCACATCGATGGTGGTAAGTCTTGTTGATTACATGTATCCTTGCCTTGATATGATGTATTGAGAAGGCACTTTACATGTGTGGTCTTCCTCCCCATAACCCACAGTCCTAAGAGAAAAACATCAGACAAACACCAGTTGAGAAACATTTTACAAAATACCTAGAATTTTGGGACCAGTAGTCTCCAAAACTGTCAAGGGCATCAAAAACAAGAAAGTCTGAGAAACTGTCACAGCCCAGTCAAGTCTAAGGAGACATGACAACTAAATGTAATGTGTTGCTCCAAATGGGATTCTGGAACAGAAAATGGTCGTTAGGGAGAAAGTACAAAAATCTGAATGAAGTCTAGATTTTAGTTAATAATAATGTAGCAATATTGGTTCATTGGTTGTGATAAGTGTACCATACTAATACAAGATGTTAATAATAGTAAAAACCGAATACAGTGTATGTGAGAACTCACTGTACTGTCCTTGTAACTTTTCTGTAAAAAAAGATTTTTTAATTAAAAATTTATTTAGACATGAAAAAATCATGCACCTACAGAAATGTTCTTTTTCATTTAGATACAAGAATACCTTGCTGTAAGCAAAGGTGCATGGTTGTCCTGTTTTACTCCAATGACCAAAGCTGTTACATAATTCCTGATTATGATAAATGTTAGTATTGGGGTTGGTTATCTGTATGGATATTTGAAAATCCAGAGGATTTAATCAGCAGTTCAGCCTCTTAAAACTAAACCAATGGCTTCTTATCCTTTGACAATTTCTGTTAAATTGAGAGTCCCGTTATAATGAAAAATGTCTTGTTCATGCTCAATTTATTTCAGAGAGAGTTAACAATAGGAAGGATAACTGTTTCCAAAAAATTTTAGGAAACAATGTTGCTATGGTCATTTAACATAGGCCAGGAATCCTGACACGTCTTGAAGTGGTGTCCTAAAAATAGCACACTAATTTTTTGTATAAGCAGAGCCATGGTTGTATTTTATCTTATATTCTAAACTCCCTCTTTAAGAATCTTGCCATTATATTTTTAAAGTCTTATATAGAAGAAATATTTCCAACTTTGATCATGTCTTATTCCAAGAACACATATAGTTTATGCCAGCCTGGGTCATCATTCTTTCTCTGAACAAATAATGTAAAGATAATAATAGTTACATTATATGTCTCTATAACTATATTACTTAATTTTTTGGATTGTTTTTAAATTTTTAACTCAAACAAATAATATAGAAACACTTTCAATGCTTTGTATAAAATATTCTGTGACTCAGAAGTACATAAATCCATTTATTTGACCTTCACAATGAGGTGGAGTTGATATAGTAAGGTTAATGAGGCAATTATTCTTATACAGAACATCAGCCATAAAGGCACAATTTCTTCCTCCCTTTAATTAAAATAATTCTTTCTTTGCTATTTGCATTGATAAGCAATCAATGAGGTGAGGAATAATTAACATTCTAATGATCTCCTAAGCAATTTCAGGCCTTAAGTTTCATGGTATAAAACTTTTTGTGGAATAATATGTACTTTCAGACATTCCTTGTTTTGTGTGTGTGTGTGTGTGTGTGTGTGTGTCTTTCTTTCTATTTATTACAGAGGCAGAAACATGAGGTGATTCTGTGACTATCAGTTATTTGGGGAGAACTTAAACTGAAAGTGTTTCTAGAATCAGACCTTGACTACTACCCCAAGTGCAACTCTCTTGGTTAGCCATTACATTTGATCAGAAACTAATAGTTAAAAATTATTTAGTGAGTTTTCCTTTAGGTTGGTCTATAGAATCTATTTTAGGACACAGTAAAAATTACTTTTTATTTGTAAAATACTTACCATACACAAATTTTAATTTTTTTTACTCACATAAAATAAATCTAACATAAGAACCAATAATTCTGATCTATGAGTACATAAAATTATTTTATTTAAAAATATAAAAATAAAAAAAGAAGCTACTTAATGAGGTTTTTTTTGAGTTTTTGTTTTGTTTTGTTTTGTTTTTTAGACAGAGCCTCACTTTGTTGCCCAGGCAAACAGTGCAGTGGAGTGCAGTGGTGTGATCTTGGCTCACTGCAACCTCCACCTCCCAGGTTTAAGCAATTTTTCTGCCTCAACTGCCTGAGTAGCTGGGATTACAAGTGTGCACCACCACGCCTGGCTAATTTTTGTATTTTTAGTTTCACTACATTGGCCAGGCTGGTCTTGAACGTCTGATCTCAAGTGATCCACCTGCCCCAGCCTCCCAAACTGTTGGGATTACAGGCGTGAGCCACCATGCCCAGCCTTGAATGTTGAATTAAATATTACTTGGCTCATGCGCAGTAACTTGCCATGCTATATGTAAATTAAATTTAATTACAGTTTAAATATACTTACCTGTTTTGTAGCTATTTTTAGAAATAGATACTTATACACACATATTGAAGAGAAAATATAGTTGCATGTTGTAAAACTAAAAATGTGTTTGCTTCTAACTAACAAGAATGGAATAATTTTTCTCAGGTTGACTTTTTTTCATGTGAAAGGTAAAGAAAAACTAGGGACCCCAATTCACTATGCCAAAAAAAAAAAATAATAATAAGATGAAAGCTGAGTCATGCGAGAAGCTGCCTTTCCTTTTGTTCCTAAGCAGATAGCTACAGATAAAAGGTTAAATATCTCCACAGGTAGCTGCTCTATGTTCATCTTATCTTATACAAAGTACAGATTTACTGAGCACAACATGAATACATAACTGACTATTCTTCCTGTTCTGTTTCCCTTGTAACATGTGGATTATGATACCCTCCTTCTTTCCTCTTCACCCATTTTTCCCTTTAAATATTGAAGCCCTCATAATCAATTTTGGAAAAAGGCACAGATCACAGACTTTCTGTGATTCCATGATATGTTCTCTTCTGGGGATGTCCTTAACCTTGGAAAAATAAACTTCTAAATTTATTGAGACTTTCTCAGATACCTTTTGGTTTTCTAATTGGTGACCAATGGAAGGAACTCTGAGTGGAGGTGGCCCTGACCTTTGACACGTCTCCTATGGGAGCTTGGTACCATCCTGGGCTATCTTTATGGCTCAAACCAATAAGACAATTTGCTGAGGCCTGGGAGCATTCCCCTCCAGAGAATCCCTAATCTGCTAAAATCTGGTTGAGATCTAAGGTTTACTTTGCTGTAGAACTCCTTTTCTGGCCGACTTCCACCACTGAAGGCAGGTTTTCCTGCTTCTATGATGATGAGGGCAGACAACTTCTTTCTGGAGTTTCAGCTCACTTCCAACAGGATAGGCAAGTTTGAGTTTTCTGATGCTTCTAAGGTGGTAGAGAGCAGTATTAAGCCTGGGCCCCATTCCTAGGTAAGTTGCTAAATTGGGGTTTTGTCTTAAAAATCGTCCTTAATGACTAAAAGTTAAGATTAACAACGAGCTGACATTAATTTCTCTTTACCATTAGAGTGCTTAGTAATTGTGTTGTTTGTTTTTTGTTGTTGTTGTTGTTTTGGTTTTTCTCCCATCAGATTTGACCCACTCTACCCAGCTTTGCCAAATACAAATGAGAATTCAAAATTATGAGGAACAAGGCCTCTGAACTAACTAAAATTCCCCACTGTTTCAAAAAGAAAGACAAAACCACACACTTGATTTCTCTGTTCACTTTCTTTCTTAAAAATTGTTCTTTCGTTTATTTCTTTCAACCACCCTATTTCTCCTCTCCTTTTGCCATCTTCAGTACTGAGGAAAAAAAAAAAACCCTAGAGAAGACATCTAATGACTCAGACCCCTTAAACAACTCAGAATAAATGTACCACTCATCTCTTGTGGAGATGTTCTGCTTTCTTTGTGGAGTTTCAAGAGTCATGGGTAGAGTCTTCTCAGGTCTACAGCTCTGTTTTCTTGCATTGTATTACTTGATTTATTTGGCTTTTGGTGATACCAAAGAATACTTTGTACTATGAGAGCATCTGATCTTGGTGTGTGTAATGGTGGATGAGAGCTACAACGTTAGGGAGTGACTGCAAAGAGTTTACAGGAAATGGTCATTACTACAGGGACCTACTTGTTTATTTGCACATTTGAATAAGAAAGTCATGGTTTAATCCCTAAAAACTGCATGCTTTCTTGGCCCTGTTCCTTAAAAGACTCCACCCTAAAGCCAGTAATCTAATGAAGCCAAATTAAAAGGATCACCTGTCAAAATCAATCACTTTAATTAAATACTTCGTAAAGGAAATTTACAACTTTAAAGAAATCACATTTTTTAAGGGCATCTCTGTCTCTCCCGAAAACCACTAGGACCTTTAGGGGAAAGACTATAGCTTAAAGTTTACATAACAGACCTTGACTTTGCTTAGATCAATCTGTCTGTGCCATTGAGATGTACATTTTCTACCTTGTTTCACCTAAGTCATGCCTTTGGAGATGCAAATTGACAGTTGCCTAGTTAACAATTGTTTAGGACATGGAACATATAATCAAGAGATTAATAGTCTAAAGTAAGGCAAGTAAAAAAACAGGCAAGTACAAAATTATAAATCTAAAATATATGCTTCTCTCTAGGTCTGTCATGTCTATATGTTTATATGTGCCATCTGGAGGTGATACTTTACTACCAAATTATATGAAACAACTCTAAAAAATTTGCTTAAAAAAGTAAGAATTTATCAAACTAATAGAAACTAGCTTAAAGGCTTTTAAGTTCAGATGACTTTTGCAGTCTTTGGTAAGATTAATTTGATAAATTTAGTCTCAAAATTATCTCCAGTAATTTAAAATCTTAAAGCCATGTTATGTTAAATAAAATAATTCTAGGCCCTCAACTAAGAATTAGGGTTACTAAGAATTAGAATAGCAGGAGAATAAGATATGTTTTGGATGAAGATTAAAAAAAAATGAGGTTATGGCTTTTTCCTAAGAAAATGTATTTTTTTAGTTTAGAGGACTTTTCTACTTCTGTTGAAATAAAACCCACAGTTTGCATCCAACCTTTTTTTGTATACTAGTGAGTTTTGATATCTCATGGCTAAAGTTCCAAAAGAAAAGCTGTGGGATCTTTGTTTGTATAAGGGTGTATGCATGCTTATGTGTTTATGTGTATGTATTTGTGTTTGGTTGTGTGTTGTGTGTTGTGGCCACAAGGTACCAAATTGGCTTAAAACTAAAGGAGTATTCATAAAGTTAAGTAAATAAGCCCAGATGCTTTTCAAGTTCATATGACTTAAATAAATCTTTTTAAAAAAGCTTGCTTAATATGTTGGTAAAATAAAATTAGAGATGTTTTCAGATTTGTCAGCATGCTTTATTGTTTAGATGTATTGATCAAATGGTTTTATAATTAAAATGTCTGCAAGATATTATAAGGTGTCAAAATTTAAAATTTTGCATAAACCCAGCCCAAAACAGAATGATCTTACTGTAAATTTTTGATAAATGTGTTATCTAATATTGTTGGTTTAATGAAAACAATTAAATCCTGAGTTATTGGAGGAAAAAACAACCAAAATATTTATTTAACCTTAAAATTCTTACTCAGGAAAACACCTGAAATTTGCAGGTTACAAAAATTAATATGGAAATAACTAAATAATGAATATCACAGTTTTCTTAAGTAATCTAAATAAACTATTAAAATTAATTAAGTAAATATAAGGAAATAAATGCTTATAAAAAACTTGTCATATAATTTAGAATCTAAAGGTATACTAAATTAAATAATATATACCAACTAAATATCTTGGTCATTTCCAATTTAAAAAAAATATATTATAGGAAAACAATCTTCTAAAAAACTTTTACTAAAAGGAATTAATTTTTATCATATTTAAAGGCTTTTTAAGAAACAAGGTAAAAAGAGCCAGTAAATAACAGAGATGTAAAGAAAGTTCTAGACATAAAGAGGTATTTTTGGTAAGAAAGGTTAAAAGGAAAATAATTCTCTATGAGAAAGAATCGTGTATGGTAACTTCTTTGTCACAAAATAAAATGACTATTTAAGAAAGAGGGATGGTTATAATAAAACAGAAAGTCCAAGCATGTCATAAATGGTTTACATAAGTCACAATGAAGTTTGTAAAAAGAGAATTTATGGAAAAAACTGCATTTGATCAAGTTGGCTATAATTAAGAGGAAATTATAGTCTTTCAAGAGATTGGGTTTTGATATTTAAAATATTTTAATACTCTAAAAAATTGGCTAGAACAACAAAATTTTCTGAAAATATTGACTTACTCTTAATAAAATTACAAGAGATTTTAATTTTGTAAATCAAAAGTTTAACTCCTATTACATCATGTTATTTTCAGGTTTCTCTCCCCTTTGAGGAGATCTGAGATAATAATTCTCTGTTTCAACTTTTTTGTCAGCTCCTGTAATTTTTTTTCCCTCAGGTTCTAACTGCTGTTGTGGCCTGATGATAAAAATGTTTTATCTTAAAGGTCTAGAGGGAATGTTTTCTTCCAATATAACATTCTGTGCTCTTGGCTTTTCTTAATATGTCTAAAATGTTCTATGAAAACATACGTGAAAATCTTCACTTATGACCCAGGGCACATTCTCCCTATATATAATTAATTAAGTACCCTATTCATTTTTGACTTGCAGGTTATGTAAATAGAATCCTTATGGAGGGAAAGCAATCACAATGTAGGAAGTCTTTTTTTTTTTTTTTTTTTTTTTTTTTTTTTTTTGCCTTTTGGTAATGGCCTAACAACTGGATTTTACATTTAATCAGAATAGTTTCTATTTCATTATTATTAAGTTTTTCATTTGCTTAGGAAAACAGATTTTAAAATTTTTAAAAATTAAAGTTATAACATCCATGTAAGTTTTTGTATTGCTTTTAAAGTCTTTGTGCTGTTAAGTTACAGGGCCTTGACTCCTGTATCTAAAAATCCAAGTCCTGCTAAATCTGAACGTGTGACAGTAGTTAAAGCCTCATCTTCAGATCCGGGAGAAGATGACAATCAAAACAAAATGCATTACTGAGACATGGGGCCAGAATTAAAGCTATTAAACCCCTCTATGCCTAGGGACTACTGAGGAAGAGGTGTGCACATGAGGCTGTAAGGGCCAATTTTAAAAGATAAAATTAGTTCAGAATTTCTTTGTAAATTAAACATTAATATCAAAGGCGCACTGATGCATGACCAGTATCTGGGCCCCTAGGTCAAGTTAACAAGGTTTTTCTGAAGCATTAAACTACTTTTAAATTAAAATATTATGCAAAGTTACAAAAAGTTTTGTGAAAGTTATATCTTATGGTCAAGATGATTAAAATTTAGTTGATTTGCTTATAAATGTTGAGAGACAGATTTAAGTCATCTTATGCTGTCTTTACTAGGGCTTATTGTTTAGGAAATTAAGTCTCTTCCCTCAAAGAATAAAGGTTTTTTTCTTTTGAAAATTTTGAGTTATTACTTTGGCTAAATGAATGAATTATTTTACAATGACCTGTGATCCTACTTTGTGATATCAAGTGTTTGACAAACTCTTTCAGAAATCAAATTGAATTTGGTCCCTTTAACCCCATTAATTTTTTGATGTTAGGTCCTCTGTAGTCAAAAAGAGACATATTTGGCTTATTTGGAATAATAGAATCACAAAGGTAGCATTGTCAAATAATAACCTCTCTATGGATTATATTTATTTACTGTGTTATTAGTGTGTGTTCCAAAATTGTGTGAGATTATGACTCTGATGTCTTAGCATATGTTATCAGTAGTCATAATTATTATGTAAAATTGCTGTATACCACAGAAATAACCAAATTTCCTTGTTGTGTCTTTTATCATGTCTGTCCTAATGTTTTTGTCATCCACAAGTGATGTTTTACTTTGATCCTTTTATACAACCATTTATCATCAGCTACAGAACTATGCAGTGTACTCTTAAATAAAAGTTTCTGGTAACTTTAGAGCTTGTACCATCGGAATAGAGAAAAACTTTCAGAACCCTCATGGAGAGCCCATGTATTCATGAGGATTGTTGCTCCAATTGTTGTTCTGATTGAGCAGATCAGCTGTTAGTATGGGGTATACTAACAGAAGACTGAAATCATCTTTTATGAATTTTTGTTACAAATATTTGCTGATACTTTTTTTGTTGTTTTTGAGTCAAGAAAATTTTTTCTTTTAAGCTATTTACAGCTTTTAACAATTGAGTAAAGTATAATATAGTGAGCAAAATTTAAAACATAATTCCTTTCTTTCTACATAATTTATCCAAAATTTGGAAACTATTTGTGAGTATTATTAATTTATGGTAATATAGTTATTTGCATAAGTTCAATAAGAATCTGCTTTCTTTTATAACAAGGAATAACTGGAGACACTGGTTATTTTACCAAGGCCTTGACTGGAATGACATATTTTCAGATAAGTTTGAGAAAATGAAGCTGATCTATAGCTTCAATAAAAGCCCTTTGGAAAGAAACTGGCCTCATACCTTGTCTTTTTCAGGGTCCTGACCTGTGATAAGTGAAGAATGCCACTCTCTGATAGGTCCAGAAACTCCAAGTTTTATTGGGACTTTGAAAACAGAATTCAACTAATTCATACAGGTATCTACAAGCACAGATGAATCCTTGGCTGGGCCAAAGCTTTCTAAACAGGTCTAATCTTAGATTCCTTAAGGAAAAGGTTCTAGCAAAGACAATGTTAAGAAAAAGAGAGAGCCTGCCTGTTAAATGATTATTCTTACTGAACTTCATGCAAATAATCAAACCAAATATAATAAGAATAAAACTTAGTTTACAAAGAAATTGCTCCAGCTATGATTTTGTCTTCAATAAAATTGAGAATTAGCTGGTTGTGGTGATGTGTGCCTGCAGTTCCACTACTCAGGAGGCTGAGGCAGGAAAATCACTTGAACCTGGGAGGTGGAGGTTGCAGTGAGCAGAGATTGTGCCACTGCACTCCAGACTGGGTGACAGAGCAAGGCTCCCTCTCAAAAAAAAATCACATCACCAAGTCAATCCTAAGCCAAAAGAACAAAGCTGGAGGCATCACACTACCTGACTTCAAACTATACTACAAGGCTACAGTAACCAAAACAGCATGGTACTGGTACCAAAACAGAGATATAGATCAATGGAACAGAAAAAGCCCTCAGAAATAACGCCACATATCTACAACTATCTGATCTTGGACAAACCTGAGAAAAATGGGCAATGGGGAAAGGATTCGCTATTTAATAAATGGTGCTGGGAAAACTGGCTAGCCATATGTAGAAAGCTGAAACTGGATCCCTTCCTTACACCTTATACAAAAATCAATTCGAGATGGATTAAAGACTTAAACGTTAGACCTAAAACCATAAAAACCCTAGAAAAAAACCTAGGCATTACCATTCAGGACATAGGCATGGGCAAGGACTTCATGTCTAAAACACCAAAAGCAATGGCAACAAAAGACAAAATTGACAAATGGGATCTAATTAAACTAAAGAGCTTCTGCACAGCAAAAGAAACTACCCTCAGAGTGAACAGACAACCTACAAAACGGGAGAAAATTTTCGCAACCTACTCATCTGACAAAGGGCTAATATCCAGAATCTACAATGAACTCAAACAAATTTACAAGCAAAAAACAAACAACCCCATCAAAAAGTGGGCGAAGGACATGTACAGACACTTCTCAAAAGAAGACATTTATGCAGCCAAAAAAACACATGAAAAAATGCTCATTATCACTGGCCATCAGAGAAATGCAAATCAAAACCACAATGAGATATCATCTCCCACCAGTTAGAATGGCAATCATTAAAAAGTCAGGAAACAACAGGTGCTGGAGAGGATGTGGAGAAATTGGAACACTTTTACACTGTTGGTGGGACTGTAAACTAGTTCAACCATTGTGGAAGTCAGTGTGGCGATTCCTCAGGGGTCTAGAACTAGAAATACCATTTGACCCAGCCATCCCATTACTGGGTATATACCCAAAGGACTATAAATCATGCTGCTATAAAGACACATGCACACATATGTTTATTGTGGCATTATTCACAGTAGCAAATACTTGGAACCAACCCAAATGTCCAACAATGATAGACTAGATTAAGAAAATGTGGCACACATACACCATGGAACACTATGCAGCCATAAGAAATGATGAGTTCATGTCCTTTGTAGGGACATGGATAAAATTGGAAAACATCATTCTCAGTAAACTATCGCAAGAACAAAAAACCAAACACCGCATATTCTCACTCATAGGTGGGAATTGAACAATGAGATCACATGGACACAGGAAGGGGAATATCACACTCTGGGGACTGTTGTGGGGTGGGGGGAGGGGGGAGGGATAGCATTGGGAGATATACCTAATGCTAGATGACGAGTTAGTGGGTGCAGCACACCAGCATGACACATGTATACGTATGTAACTAACCTGCACATTGTGCACATGTACCCTAAAACTTAAAGTATAATTAAAAAAAAAAATTGGGGAATTGGAGAGAGAAAAATTATGTTTCAAAATAAACTATAGTACAGCTGTTAATTGGATTCTAGCCTTGTACAATATTTTCCAACTTTTATTGTTTTCTACAATTTGGACTGAGTCCTAAAATTTTTCCTGGCTACAAGTCTCCAAAATAATGTTTTTAGTTTTTTTTCTTCGTTATTATTTCCTTCCTTCTTTATTATTTTTCTTTTTTCCCATTTTTTTACTGATTTGAAATCACTAAAAATTAAGCTGTACTTTACTTAATGCCTTGAAAACTGAAGCTAAACACTTAAACTTTAGAAGAAAATGACAGCAATCTATTTATATACATGAACGATTTTATGCCTGCCTGCTGAGGTATAGACTTCTGAATAATATGGCCTATATCAGTTTTCTAGGATTGTTTCCCCTTTTTTGTTGTTGTTGTATATTATTTCCCCCTTTTTCCCCTCATTTTATTTCTTTCTTACTCTCTATATTTTCTTCCTGGGATATGAAACTTCACACCCTGCTAAAAATGAGGTTTTCTTACAATATGGGACCTATCTGTCTAGGAATAACCATCCTAGCTGAAGAGATCAGACAAAACCCAATACCAGAGATGAATTTTCTTCTAAAATGTTTTCTCTGAAAGATTTTAAAAAGGAAAGAGGGGGATGTAGAAATGTGAAAGGAAAGTAAAAACTTGGAACTCCAATTGATTATGCACAAAAGGAAAAAAATTAAGCTGAAAGTCAAGTCATGATGATAGCAGTGGCAGCCAGTCTGGAGTGGCCACTGCAAATACACTGGCTGTAGTGGGGGAAGTGTGGCTGGGGCTGTGCACTCCACAGAGCCTGTGGGAGCTGGGAAGAGACAGGGATCCTCATCCCCTTCCAAGTTGGTGGGGCAGAGATCCCACTGTCCTGGCGTAGCTGTAGCCACCCAGCCATGGCTGCAGACCCAGGTATCTCTGCATCTGGGGGTCCTGGGAAGTCCTCCTGAAGGCTTGAAAGAGTCTGCTCCAGTTGCCTGGCCTCTCCCTGCTCCTGGTGCCCCCTCCAATTTCAGAGCAAAGTTGTGGCCGAGCCTGAGCACTGTCACAACCCAGCTGGTGTGCTTGTGTTTGGGGAAGTGCTGACAAGGCAGCCTTCTGCTGCTTCAGCCCCCTCCAGACATTGGGAGCCAGTGAGCATGGGAGGGAGACTGAGGGGGGAGCTAAGGGTGGCTCATCATGGGCCTGTAGGCACCCCTCAGCACAGGGAGCCTGGGTGCTTGGGAACCATGAAGGGCAGGTTAGTGGCAGCAGGATGCAGACAGGCTCCTGGGAGGAAAGGGGCTGGTCCTCAGTAAAGCCCCTTCTTCAGGCCTGGGATGGTCTGAAGTCAGGTGGGCAGGCTGCCAGTTCTGTGGACCGAAGTGAGAACTTATAGTGTTTTTCTGGGTTTGCACATGGCTGCCTGTGGACAAATTAGCATGCCCTTTCTCCCCCTGAAGCCCACAGAAACCCTGGACTCAGCCAGACTTGGGCAGATGTCAGGACAACCTGCCTGTGGAGAGGAGCTGCCCACTGTAGGTCTCCTCTCTGCTGTGAGCTGGACTCTCATCAGGATGACCTGTCTGCAAAGAGGAGCTAACCACTGTGGGTCTCTGCTGAGCTGTTCTGTCACTCAATAAAGCACATTTTCACCTTGCTCACCCTCCACTTGCCTGCCTAACTTATTATTCCTGGACATGGGACAAGAACTCAGGACCCACTGAATGGCGGGGCTGAAAAAGCTGTAACATAAACAGGGCTGAAACACACCCCTGCTCACTACATTGCAGTGATGAGAAGGAGATGACAGAAGGAGAGAAGAGCTACGGCCCTTCGGGGAGCATAGGCCTAGGAGTTCCCTGAGCCAGGGCTGTGACACCTTCTTTGGGGCTCTGTGGTTCCTGGCAACTCCAAGCTTCAGGGTGCCACCAAGTTCCATGGTGCCCCCAGTGGAAGCTGCTTATGGCACACCTGGTCCAGCCACAGCCTTGCAGGGAGCCAGTGTCCATGCTTGTGTGTGTAGCTGCCTGCCATGTGGCAGCCAGCATGCCTGGCTCTGTGCAGTGGAAAGACCCCCATGCTTGCATGCTCATGCATCCCTCTCCACTCTGCACCTGGCTTGCCCTTGGCAGGCATGGAGTCCAGGCCAGTAGCATGAGCCAAGCACAGCCTGCCAGGCCAAGTGGGTAGAATGAACCCAGCAGGCCTAAGCAAAACTTGGGCAAAGGTGACACTGGGCACAAAGGTTTTCAGCTGGTGAAACAACACCCCAAGGATCCTGTGACATTTTCGGGGGCTCATCTGGGATCTGTGGAAGCATGAGTAAAAGTAGACTTGCTGTTTTCTGTCCTCTTTTTGCAGTCTAAACTCCACAAAAGCGAAAATGAAAGAAAAATACTGGGCCTCCGTCAGCCAGTAAAAACCAACTAGCATGAGCCAGCCATGGTGGCTCACATCTGTAATTCCAGCACTTTGGGAGGCTGAGGCAGGTGGATCACAAGGTCAGGAGTTTGAGACCAGTCTGGCCAACATAGTGAAACTTCATCTCTACTAAAAGTACAAAACATTAGCCAGGTGTGGTGGTGTGCACCTGTAATCCCAGCTACTCTGGAGGCTGAGGCAGGAGAATTGCATGAACCTGAGAGCTTGAGGTTGCAGTAAGCCAAGATCACACCATTGCACTTCCACCTGGGCGACAGTGTGAGAGTCCATCTCAAAAATAAATAAATAAATAAATAAAAAATAAAAAAAAAAATAAAAAAAAAAGCAACTAGCATGAATGCCAGACTTACATGGATGACAGGCTTGCTGGGGAGGACACTGTCAATCTCCCATCACCCTTGGGTGTTGGGAATGTTGGCCTTGTTCCAATTCAGTTTCCCTTCACAGAGGTCTAGCCATTGCATGGGATCAGAAGGAGGTTCTGGGGCAACTCAGGGTATTTGGCTGAGGATACAACTCAGTGTTATGCAAAGGGCTCTGGAGTAACTCAATTCCCGACTGCCTATTAGGGTGTCAGCACTAGGACCTCCAGTCTTTCCCTCCCTCCCTCCCTCCTTCCCTCCCTTCCCTCCTTTCTCTCTTTCTCTTTCTTTCTTTTCTTTTTCTTTCTTCTTTTCTCTTTTCTTTTCCTTTCTCTCTTTCTTTTCTTTCTTTTGTGGCTGTCAAGCCTACTGTCTCTTCTTTATATACAATGTAAAGGGTATCGTTGCAAACCTCAGGGATAATATTACTGGGTAGAGTGTGCATTTGGCTTGGTCATCAAGAGTGTAAATTGGATCAATGGTTTCTGTCTATTCTTAGAAGCAAGGAGGATGTAACAATCGAGTTTTCTTTCCCCTGTTGAAGGAACCCATTTGCAAAGGGCAAGAAGCTTTTTCCTCCAGGCACCTTCCCCTCCCCTGCACTTAAGTTGTTTTCTTCTCTTTCCTCTATCATGTCAGCAGTCAACAAAGTTCTATGAATACAGGGAGATTTTCTATTGATTTTTCCTCTTGGGAGGCACCTTGTTAGGCCAGTTACCCAATGCCCAGGACTCCCTTTCTCTCCCTTGTTTGAGGAGGACCTGGTCCCACAGTTTCAGCTGCTTATGATAGGAAAGCAAGGGAAGGGGCTGCCCCACCAGCTGCTGGCAGCAGTTTGGTGAGGGCCACCTGGGATCTATTGAGTCCATACACCCTCTGGAGGCAATTCCAAGCTTTGGGTTGAAGCCCTGGAAAGCAAAATTAGTCATGCAGGTTAGCATGACTGATTTCTGCCAATTAGGCCCTCTTGCTTCATGAATGGAGGTTATGCTCATATCCATGACACAGACAAGGTCTAGGGAACTCAAAAATTTCTAGCAGCAGGAGGCTTAGGCTCTGCCTAGGTGATTGAGGATATTCCTGCTAGCTATGCCTCCCCGCTTCATGGGTGAAGGTCACACTTGCTCCCATGGTCGGCACCTGCGAATGTCACCAGAACTTGGAGATATAAGATCAGAAGAAAGAAGGAGACACCTTTTTTTTCTCTCCTTCACATACCCCTGGTATTCACTGGAAAGAGAAAGAGAAAAAGAGTGCCCTTTTTTCTCCTCTTTCCAGATGGGAAACCAACTATATTCAGCCTGCATTCTTCTGGAGTGCATCCTGAATCACTGGGACCTCTTTGACCCTCAGAGTCTGGAAAGAGAAACAAATGCCTTTTTCCTCCTCTGTCCTCTCTACTACATGGGTAACCAATCATCTTCAGCCTACACTCCTCTAGAGTGTATCCTGAATCCCTGAGACTCCTTTGACCCTCGGACTCTTTAGAAAATGCACCTCATATTACTTTGCACAAAAGTGTGACTGAATTATGTTCTGCAGGAAGGAGAAGCATGGCCAAAGAAAGGAAGCATTAATTTCAATACATTCCTTTCCCTGGATCTTTTCTTTAAATGTGAGGGCAAATGGTCTGAGGTCCCACATGTCCAGGCTTTCTTTGCCTTGCAGGGTAGTCTGGACCTTTGCCAACATTGTAGGATTGATTCAGTCCTCCTGGCAGCCATCTCAGGAGATGCTGCAAGGGGCAATCCCAGGAAACTAGGTAAGCAAACCCTAAAGGTACCTCCAGCAGGGGAGTAAACTTCATCCCCTCCTCCCTATCCAGGTTTTCTCTTGGACTTTCCCCATCCTAGAAATCCTCATTTTAGGTGAGTCCCCCTCTCACTCCTTCCCCTAAAACAGATGTCTGGTGAATATGGCCCCATTAAGGGCCAAGTCTCCTTTTCTCTACAAGACTTAACACAAATTAAGGGGAATCTTGGCAAGTTTTCAGACTATCCTGACCGGTATATAGAGGCTTTGCAGAATTTAACCTAAGTATTTGAGCTCTCCTAGGAGGATGTTATGTTAGTTTTTAATCAAACCCTGACTACCATGGAAAAGCAGGTCACCCTGCAAGAAGCAGAGAATTTTGGGGATGAGCTTTGTATCTCATATAGTGCCAGGGAAGAGGAGGAGCCTTATCCAAATGGAAAAATATCAGTACCATTGGAGGACCCTAAATGGGGCCCCAGTGGTGAAATGGGAGAATGGAAAAGGAAACACTTTCAGGCATGCACACTAGTGGGCTTACAAAGGACTAGAACTAAGCCTCTCAATTACTACAAGCCATCCCTGGTAGACAAGGGATTAGATGAGAATCCCACTGCCTTCCTAGAAAGGCTAAGTGTGGCCTTGGTAAAGCACACCTCTCTATTTCCTGATCCAGTGAAGGGACAACTGATCCTGAAGGATAAGTTTATTACTTCGGTAGCTTGTGATATCAGGACGAAGCTGCAAAAACAGGCTACAACACCAGATAGCACTTTAGAGAACCTCCTGAAAGTGACCAACTTGGTCTTTCACAATAGGGATTGGGAGGAAGTCCAAAAAAGAGAAAATAAATACAAGAAAAAGGTAGAGGCTCTAATAGTGGCCTTGCAGGCTCACAAACCTCAGAGCCCCCAAGATATACATGTTACCTGCTACGAATGGGGCAAGCCAGGGCAATTTAGGAAGGACTGCCCAGGCAACATAAGGAAGCCACCTCAACCCTATCCAATTTCTGATGGGGACCACTGGAGGGCAGACTGTTTACAGAGACACAGGTCACTGGGTCCAGAGCCAGTTTCCCAAATGGTCCAGCAGGACTGACAGGTTCCGGGGCTCCTCTCCCCAGCTCTGCTGATCCAGACTACCATTGCCATCCTGGGTCCCGGGGTGATTTTGGAAGTTGAAGGGAGGAAGGTGGAACTCTTCATGGTCACCAAAGCAGGCCTTTCCATTCTCATCTCCAATCCAGGCCCGCCTCTTCTCTTAGCACAACAGTGAGGGGTGCCTCAAGAAAGCCTATAACCCGATATTTTTCCCAATCTCTTAGCTGTAGATGGGGAAACCTCTTGTTTACTCCTGCCTTTTAAATAATGCCTGAAAGCCCAACTCTTCTGTTGGGCAGGGATAGTTTGGCTCCTATGGGAGCCACCATCCTTACGGCTCCAAGACAGAGTCTTTTTCTCCACCCTAGTGGAGACCAATATTAACCCAGAAGTTTGGGCACCTCAAGGGAAACTAGGCCAAGCCACAATCACCACACTGGTCCAGATCCACTTTAAGGATCCTACCTCCTTTCCTAACCAGAGACACTATCCCCTAAAATAAGAAGTTAGAAAAGGACTAGAAGCCGTCATCAATAACTTGAGGATGAAAGACCTCCTCAAACCCTGCAACAGCATAATAGCCCAATATTGGAGGGACAAAAACCCAACAGGAAATAGAGAATGGTCCAGGACCTCCACCTCATTAATGAAACTGTGGTTCCAATTTATCTTGTGGTCCCCAATCCCTATACCCTTCTAACTCAAATAGCTGAGGGAACCAAATGGCTCACATGCCTGGACTAAAGGATTCCTTTTTCTGCATACCATTTGTATGAGTTCATTCTCATGCTGCTAATAAAGACATACTTGACATTGGGTAATTTATAAAGAAAAAGAAATTCGATGAACTCACAGTTCCACGTGGATGGGGAGGCCTCACAATCACTGTGGAAGGCAAAACCATGTCTTATATGGCAGCAGGCAAGAGAGAATGAAAGCCAAGTGAAAGGGGAAACCCCTTATAAAACCATCAGATCTTGTGAGACTTATTCACTACCATAAGAACTAAATCATTATCACAAGAACAGGATGAGAAACTGGCCCCAGCATTCAATTATCTCTACCTGGTCCCCGCCACAACACATAGGGATTATGGGAACTACAACTCAAGGTGAGATTTGTGTGGGAACACAGCCAAATCATATCATTCCACCCCTGGCCCTTCCCAAATCTCAGGTCTTCACAATTCAAAACACAACCACGCCTTTCCCATGGTCCCCCAAAGTCTTAACTCACTCCAGCATTAACTCAAAAGTCCAAGTCTAAAGTCCCATCTGAGACAAAGCTAGTTACTTCCACCTATCAGCCTGTAAAATTGAAAGCAAGTTAGTTACTTCCTAGATACAGTGGGGTTACAGGCATTAGGTAAATACACCCATTCCAAATGTGAAAAATTGTCCAAAATGAAGAGGCTACAGGCCTCATGCAAGTCCAAAATACAATAGGGCAGTCACTAAACCTTAAAGTTCCAAAATGATCTCCTTTGACTCCATGTCTCACATCCAGGTTACACTGATGCAAGAGGTGGGCTCCCACAACCTTGGAAAGCTCTGTCTCTGTGTCTTTGCATGGTACAGCTCCCTTCCTGGCTGTTTTCATGGGTTGGCATTGAGTGTCTGCCACTTTTCCAGGTGCACAGTGCAAGCTGTTGGTGAATCTACCATTCTGGCATCTGGAAGACAGTGACTGTCTTCTCACAGCTCCACCAGGAAGTCCCCCAGTGTGGATGCTGTGTAGGGGCTCTGACTCCACATTTGCCTTCCACACTGCCCTAGCAGAGGTTCTCCATGAGGACTCTGCTCCTGCAGCAAATTTCTACCTGGACAGCCAGGCATTTCCATATACCCTCTGATATCTAGACAGAGATTCCCAAACCTCAGTTCTTGACTTCTGTTCACCCACAGGCCCAACACCACGTGAAAACCACCAACCCTTGAGGCTTGCACCCTCTAAAGAAATGGCCTGAGCTGTATGTTGGCCCCTTTTAGCCACGGCTGAAGCTGAAGCAACTAGGATGCAGGGCACCGTGTCCTGATGCTGCACAGAACAGGGGGGCCCTGGGCCTTGCCCGTGAAACCATTTTTCCCTTGTAGGCTTCCAGGCCTTTGTCGGGAGGGTCTACTCTGAAGATCTCTGACATGCCTTGGAGACATTTTCCCCGTTGTCTTGGTGATTAACATTTGGCTCCTCATTACTTATGTGAATTTCTGCAGTGGGCTTGAATGTCTCCCCACAAAGTGGGTTTTTCTTTCTTTTCACATCATCAAGCTGCAAATTTTCCAAACTTTTATGCTCTGCTTCCTCTTGAGTGTTTTGCCACTTTGAAATTTCTTCCACCAGATACTCTAAATTATCTCTCTCAAGTTCAAAGTTCCACAGATTTCTAGGGCATGGGGGCAAAATGCCTAGCAAGAGTGACCTTTACTCTAGTTCCCAACAAGTCCCTTATTTTTATCTTAGACCACATCAGCCTGGACTTTAATGTCAATATCACTATCAGCATTTTGATCAAAGCCATTCAACAACTCTCTAGGAAGTTCCAAACTTTCCCACATCTTCCTGTCTCTGAGCCCTCCAAACTGTCCTAACCTCTGACTGTTACCTAGCCTCTGACTTAACCTCTGAAAGTTCCAAAGTTGCTTCCACATTTTTTGAGTATCCTTGCAGCAGCGTCCCACTACCAGCTTCCAATTTACTGTATTAGTCCATTCTTACACTGCTGTAAAGGAGTTCCTGAGACTGGGTAACTTACAAAAGGAAGGAGTTTAATTGCCTCACAGTTCCATATGGCTGGGGAGGCCTCAGGAAACCTGCAAGTATGGCAGAAAGCAACCCTTCACAGGACAGCAGGGGAGAGAAGGAATGCCTAGTGAAGGAGGAATTCCATTATAAAACCGTCAAATTTCATGAGAACTAATTCACTCTCAGAAGATCAGGATGGGGTAACCACTGCCATGAAACAGTTATCTCCACCTAGTCCTTCCCACCACACATGGGGATAACGGGAACTACAATTCAAGATGAGTTTTGGGTGGGAACACAGCCAAACCATATCACACCCTGACTCCCAGTATTTGTTTGCATTTGAGAATCCCTCCAACCAAGACACCCAGTTAATCTAGACTGTGTTAACTCAGGGATTCTGAGATGGCCCCCACCTGTTTGGGCAGACATCATTAATTGATCTCTCTTGAGTCCCTTAATCATCAGGTTAAAGTTTTACAATATGTAGATGGCATTCTCCTTTGTGCCCCAACTGAGGAAATCTCTCAGGAAGGCAGCAAGGCTCTTCTTACTTTCTCGTTAACAGAGTCTAGAAGGTTTCAAAATCTAAGGCTCGGTTCTGTCAGGCTTTCAGTGAAGTACCTAGGTCTAGTCTTGTTAGAGGGAACCAGGGCACTAGGTGAAGAAAGGATCAAGCCCATCTCCTCCTTTTTCCTTACCCAAACCATCAAGCAATTGAGGGGATTCTAGGGTATTACAGGATTTTGCTGGTTATGGATACATGGGTACAGTGAAATAGCTCATCCCGTATATCATCTAATAAAGGTGACTCAGGCAGCTAAGACCCATTTCCTAACTTGGGAACCAGAGGCTAAAAGGGCCTATGACCAATTAAAACAGGTTTTGCTTGATAAACCAGCTCTTAGTCTTCCCAATGGGGAGATGTTCAATCTTTATGTCTCAGAAAGGAAGGGAATCACTCTGGAAGTTCTAACCCTGGCCTGATGCCTAGCTCAGCAGTCTGCAGGCTACCTAAGCAAGGAGCTTGATTTGGTAGCTAAAGGATGGCCAGCCTGCCTCCAGGCAGTTGCAGCAGTAGCTTCGCTAGTACCAGAAGCTATAAGTTAACAATGGGGAATAACTTAACCATTTACATCCCACATAATGTGACAGAACTGTTGTCTTAAGGGAGTCTCTGGCTAATGGACAGCTGCTTCCTCAAATATCAAGCTTTGCTATTAGAGGCATCTGCAGTCCAGTTAAGAACCTGCCCCTCCCAGCTCATGCCTGTAATCTCAGAACTTTGGGAGGCCAAGATGGGCAAATTACCTGAACTTGGGAGTTTGAGACCAGCCTGACCAACATGAAGAAATCCCATCTCTACTAAAAATACAAGGATTAGCCAGGCATGGTGGCACATGCCTGTAATCCCAGCTACTCAGGAGGCTGAGGCAGGAGAATCTCTTGAACCCGGGAGGAAGAGGTTGTGGTGAGCCTAGATCGTGCCATTGCACTCCAGCCTGGGCAACAAGAGCAAAACTCTGTCTCAAAAAAACTAACAGACAAACAAACCTGTCCCTCCCTAAACCCAGCCACCTTCCTCCACCTTCCTCCAAGAGAAAGATGAGGAGCTTGAAAATGGCTGCGAACAGGTAATAGTGCAAACCTGTGGCCAGAGAGGACCTCAAAGAAACCCCCTTAGAGAACACAGACTAGATTCCCTTTATGGACAGAAGTTCCTTTGTAGAGCAAGGGATCTGTAAGGCAGGGTATGCAATGGCCACCCTAAGTGACATTATTGAGAGCACAGCTCTCTCGGTGGACAGAAATGTTCAACTAGCTAAGCTAATTGCCTTCATGAGGTCACTTGAATTAAGCAAAGGGAAACCAGTTAACATTTATACTGATTCTAAATATGTTTTTCTAGTCCTCCATGCCCTTGCCACTATCTGGAAAGAAGAAGTTCCTCACAGCCAATGGGTCTCCCAATAAATTCCATCAGGAAATTAACAGACTATTATCCTTGGCCTTCCTTCCACAAGAAGTGGAAGCAATACATTGTCAAGGCCATGAAAAGGGGATGGACGAAAGAGTTGAGGGAAATAAGTTGGCAGACCAGGCAGCTAAACCAGCAGCAAGAGGGCCCTATATTTCTGATCCACTTGAGGCCCCTCTGATCTGGGAGGGCTCCATGAAAGAAATAAAACCTCAGTATTCCTCTGCAGAGAGAGAATGGGCCACCTCTCAGGGATACACACTTCAGTCCTCAGGATGGTTGCAACTGGAGGATGGCAAGCTTCATCTACCAGCTACCAACCAATGGAAAGTTCTCAAAATTCTCCACCATGCCTTCCAGCTAAGTAAGGATAAAACCTATCAAGTGGCCCAAAGGCTGCTCTCAGGTAAAAATCTACTAAAAACAGTCAAATGGGTCATTCATTGTGAGACTTGCCTTAAACATAATCTTCTCAGTCGACATCTTCTCCCCACCAGAACCCAAAGAATGGGAAGCTACCTAGGGGAAGACTGGCAGGTCGATTTCAACCATATGCCAAAGACAAGGGGCATCTAGTACCTCCTAGTATGGGTAGATATCTTCACTAACTAGATAGAAGCATTTACATGTTGAACAGAGAAAGCCTCTGAGGTGATAAAAGTACTGATTAATGAAATAACTCCTCACTTTGGACTTCCTGGGTGCCTCCAGAGAGATAATGGCCCCTCATTCAAGGCAGCTGTCAAAGGGTATCTCAAAGGCACTAGGCATAGAATACCATCTTCATTGTGCCAGGAGACCACACTCCTCAAGAAAGGTAGAAAAGACAAATGATATTATTAAAAGGCACCTCAGAAATCTGTCTCAAGAGACTCATCTCCCTTGGATTACTCTTCTCTTCATAGCCCTACTATGTGTTAGAAATACCCCTTCAAATCTGAGTTTAGGTAACCCTGAAATGATGTGTGGATGACCTTTACTCACCAATAATTTCTTGCTAGACCAAGAAACCTCTGATTTAACTAAATATGTACATTATTTGGCCCATTTCCAACATGAACTGAAACAACTGTCAGAGGCCCAGTACCATGAACTAGGCCACCTCTATTCAACCCAGGGGACTTAGTCCTGATAAAGGCACTTCCTTCCCTTTTTCCTCTCTAGGACCAGAATGGGAGGGACCTTAAACTGTACTTCTTTCTACACCTACGGCAGTAAATGTCACTGGAATAGATTCTTGAATTCATTATACTAGCGTGAAGTCCTGGGAAACTGATGAAATTACCTCCATTGACCCAGGAGAGCACCCAAAGTACCAGAGTGAATAAATCAGGGACCTCAAGCTAACAATCTCAAAAGAGAATTACTAACAATTAACCCTCCATGAATATCCTATGCTTGCTCTTCTCACTTTTCTTCCTTGCCATAGGGCATCTTCATCAAGGACCCCTTAATCCTGAACTCCCAAGGGATTATCTACTCCCCTAAACAGTTATTTCTCTTTTAAAGTTTAACTGCCTCCATACAAGATTTAATTCCTTTTACCAGGGTGAAACAGCTCTAGCCACAACACTGTTTTCAGAATGATTAGTCTATTTTATTTCTTATTTCTGTTATCTTTTGGCACTAGATTTTTTCCTTTGCATACTTAACCTCCTTGTAAAATTTGTTTCTTCTCACCTAGAAACCATCAAACTCCAAGTGGACATGCAACTGGAGCCTCAGAAAATGGCTCTCCTTTTACCAGGGGCCTTTAGATAGGCCTCTGAGAGAGATCTGACTGCCATTTTTCCCAGAATGCCCCCTGTCAGCATGAAGGAGTTAAGAGTGGTCATTGTCTGTATCCTAATGGCAGTTAGATGTACCTCTTCGGGTGAAGCAGGGTGATGGCAGCGGTGGCTTGTCTTGAGCAGCTGCTGCAAAAAGACCAACTGCAGCAGGGGAGGCATGGCCAGGGCTACATGTTCTGTGGAGCTGGCAGGAGCTGAGAACAGGTGGGAGCCCCACCCTCTTCCAAGTTGTTGGGGCTGGAACTCCACTCTCCCAGGCACAGCTGCAGAAGCCCAGTCATGGCTGTGGACTCAGGCATCTCTGCACTCTCGGGGGCCCAGGAAGCCCCCCTTCCCCACAGGCTTGGAAGTGCCTGCTCCCACTGCCTGGCCTCTGCCCACTCCCAGCACCCACTCCAATTTTAGAGTGAAGTTGTGGCTGAGCCTGGGTGCTGTCATGACCTGGCCAGGTGTGCTCATGCTCAGGGCAGTGTTGACACACCAGCCTGCTGATGCCTTGACCCTCTCTGAACATTGAGCACTGATGAGCATGGGAGAGAGGCTGAAGGGGGACTAAGGATGACTTGGCATGGGCTTGTAGGCACCACTTGACACAGACAGCCTGGGTGCCATGGCCACCATGGGTGGCAGGTTAATGGTGTTAGGAGGAAGACAAGTTCCTGGATGGAAAGGGGTGGGTCCCCAGTGAAGCTCCCCCTTTAGGCCTGGGATGGCCTGAAGCCTGGGGGCCAGGTTGCCAGTTCCACAGACCAGAGTGAGAACTTACTGTGCTTTTTCTGGGCCTGCCAATGTCTGCCTGTGGACTAATCAGGACACCCTCTTCCCCTCTGAAGCCCATAAAAGCCCCTGACTGAGCCTTACTCAGGCAGACATCAAGATGACCTGCCTTCAAAGAGGAGCTACCCACTGTGGGTATTCTCTCTGCTGAGAGCTGAGCAGACATTTAGACAACCTGTCTGCAGAGCAGAGCTACTCACTGTGGGTCTCCTCTGAGCTGTTCTGTTGCTCAATAAAACACCTCTTTGCTTTTCTCACTCTCCACTTCTCTGAGTACCTCATTCTTCCTGGATGTAGGACAAGAACTCAGGACTGCTGAATGGCAGGGGTGAAACTGAAAGAGCTGTAACACAAACCGAGCTGAAATACGACCTCCACTTGCCACATTACAGGTGATGAGAAGGAGAGAAGAGCTGCATCCTTTTGGGGATCCCAGACCTAGGAGCTCCCTGAGCCAGGACTGTGACACTCTCTTTGGGGCTTGGTGATTCCTGGTGACTCCAAACTTCTGGGCAACACCATGTTCCCCTGTGCCTGCCATGGAAGCCACTTGTGGTACTCCTGGTCCAGCTGCAGCCTCGCAGGGAGCCAGTGCCCATGACAGCACCTGGGGCTGCCCACCCTGCTGCAGTCAGCATGCTTGGCTGTGCACAGTGGCTGGACCACACACTCATTCACTCTTGCACCACTCACCACTCTGTGTCTGGCTTGTCCTTTGCAGGTGTGGGATCCAGGTTGGTAACATAAGCTGAGTGCAGCCCACCGGCTGAGTGGGTGAAATAAGCCCAGCAGGCCCAAGCAAAACTCAGGTAAAGGCACCACTAGCCACAGAGGTTTCCAGCTGGTGAAGCAACTGAAGTATCCCATAACAATGCAAGAAACTGCCTTTCCTTTGTTCCTAAGCAGATAGCTACAAATAAAGTGTTAAATATCTTCACAGGTAGCTACTCTATATCCACCTTATCTTATATAAAGTACTGATTTACTGAGCACAGCATGTATAAATAATTGAGTATTCCCCTACCTGTTTCTTTTCTTTGGCAACATGTGGATTACCATACTCTCCCTCTTTCCCCTCCAGCCCACATTTTTTTCTTTAAATGCTGAAGCCCTCAAAATTGCTTTTGGAGAAAGGCACAGACCACAGACTGTTTCTGTGATTTTGTGTTTTTTTTCTTCTGGGCATGCCCTTAATCTTGGCAAAATAAACCTCAAAATTGATTGACACTTGTCTCAGATACTTTTAGGTTTACACTTGTTTAGCAAAATGCTTTCATGAAACATGGAAAATGAGGCTTAGACATAGCTATGAAGGCTGAGGAGAGAGACAAACCAACATTATGTTGCCCTTAATGTACTATAAAATAAGACTTTTTGAATTTCCTGACAAGTTGAGAAGTGGAAAGTGTAAGTAGAAAGTCACTAGAAGGAAGAGAAAGGAGGCCAACAAACCAAGGAAAGCCAGAATGCTACACCCTGTGATGGCAAATGAGAATGGCTGAAGGAGCATTTATAAACAGGAGTGTTTCATTTCCCACAATAAGCTCTTGGTCATGCAGAGACCTCTTGTTCCCCACCGCACCATTATATCATAACTCCTGATACTTCAGTGACAGTTGAACAGGGGCATGTCCACTTGGGGAATGGATATGTAATGGTTCTTTCCAAGAGTAAGAAGACCCAAAGAGGCATAGCAGTAGCTTGCCTTGAATAGAGAAAAGATCCATAGAGTGATCCATGGTAACCAGAAAATGTTTGGAGAAAATACATTCCTTTTTTTTCTAAGTGAAAGTAATGGGACAAAAATTTTGAAATCTATTTATGTCCTACATTTTAAGAAATGCACTCTTTCTGTGTACCTCCCTTCTAGGCTCCTGCATCTACCAACAGTAAATCATTAGCAACCTTATGAAATGCCACAGAGAATGGGCTTTTGTGGTAGAAAGATGAACATAAAAGGAGAAGCTGAGAGCAATCAAACATCCACTTAGGAAGCAGTTTTACCTATGGGAATCTTCATTGGGTGCCTTTGTTTCATTTTGATTACTAGCCTTAGTGTTTCCTGGAGAACAAAGCCCTGATTTCTAGAAGTATGCTTTATCTCCTGAGCACATAATTTCTGAGCCTAGGAGTATCTTATAGACAGTAACTATACTGATTCAGTGGACTTAGACAATTTCACATTTTCTGATTTTTTTTTCTTGGGTGGATTCCAAAGATTTAGGATAGCTTTTTTTTTTTTCAGAAACACATATAGCACAGTGTAAAAATAATTTGCATTGCTATGACTATCTCATAGGATATCTCTCTTTCAAGGTGCCCAGCAAAATTTTTGGCATGAATCAAATTTATTTGGGGCCTCAGTTACAGAGTAGACACAGTATGTAAGCAAAAATGTAAATGCATTTTTTGCTTTCATAATACAGAAAGAGCTCATAAAGCTCTGTTGGATAAACAAGTGAGTGACTCGATATTTAAGCAATTAATCAATATTTAAGAATTATGTATATATATTTATTTATATCCAAGCTTCAAGATTGGAAATTTAATTCTTTGTATATAGAAAATAATTGACGTAAGATTTTTTCCCTGACACACAAACTCTAAGATTTATGCAAGAGTTCTGAAGTGTACTTTTTATCAAATAAAATGGAAGAGTTAGAAGAGTTTTAAAAGTTAGTTAACTCCTTTGAAATTTGTAAGAACTTCAGAGAAAAAAACTTTATTAATCAAGAGAAAGATATTACACAATTCCAAATCTTTATAATACAGGCATACCTCGGGGAAATTGTGGGTTCAGTTCTAGACCACTGCAAAAAAGCAAATATCACAATAAAGCAAGTCACACAGATTTGTTGGTTTCTCAGTGCATATAAAAGCTATGTTTACACTATACTGTAGTCTATTAAGTGTGTAATAGCATTGTGTCAAAAAAACAATGTACAGACCTTAATTAAAAATATTACTAAAAAATGCTGACAATCATCTAAGCCTTCAATGAGTTGTAACCTTTTTTCTGGTGGAGGGTTTTGCTTTGTTGTTGTTGGTTGCTGAATGATCAGGGTGGTGGTTGGTTTCTGTTTGATAGCATTTTACCCACTGCAGAACTTCTTTCAAAATTGAAGGCAATCCTCTCAAACCCTGCTACTGCTTTATCAACTAAGTTTATGTGCTATTCTAAATTTTTGTTGTCACTTCAACATTGCTCATAGCATCTTCACCAAGGGCAAATTTCTTTGCTCTTTAAGAAACCATTTTCTTTGCTCCTTCAGTAACTCCTCATCCATTCAATATTTATCATGAGATTTCAGCAATTCAGTCCCATCTTTAGGGTGCACTTCTCATTCTAGCTATCTGGCTAGTTCCACTACACCTGTAGTCACTTTGTCCACTGAAGTCTTGAGCTCCTCAAAGTTATCCACAGGATTGGAATCAACTTTTTCCAAATTGCTGTTAATATTGATATTTTGACCTCTTCTCATGAGTCACCAATGTTATTAATGACATCTACAATAGGAATCCTTTCCAGAAGGTTTTAAATGTATTTTGCCCATATCCATTAGAGGAATCACTATCTATGGCCGCTATAACCTTTCAAAGTGTATGTCTTTCTTTCATTTTTATTTTAGGCATGAGATCTCTCTCTGTCACCCAGAGTGGAGTGCAGTGGCATAACCATAGCTCTCTGCAGCCTCAAACTCCTAGATTCAAGTGATCCTCCTTCCTCAGCCTCTCAAGTAGCTATAACTATAGGCACAGGCCAACACATCTGGCTTTTTTATTATTATTATATTTTAAATTCTGGGGTACATGTGCAGAACGTGCAGTTTTGTTACATAAGTATACATGTGCCATGGTGGCTTGCTGCACCCATCAACCCATCACCTACATTAGGTATTTCTCCTAATGCTATTCCACCCACTCCCCCAACCCCCCAACAGGCCCTGGTGTGTGATGCTCCCCTCCCTGTGCCCATGTATTCTCCTTGTTCAACTCCCACTTATGAGTGAGAACATGCAGTGCTTGGTTTTCTGTTCTTGCGATAGTTTGCTGAGAATGATGGTTTCCAACTTCATCCATGTCCCTGCAAAGGACATGAACTCATCCTTTTTTATGGCTGCATAGTATTCCATGGTGTTTTTATGCCACATATTTTTTATCCAGTCTATCATTAATGGATATTTGGGATGGTTCCAAGTCTTTGTTTTTGTGAATAGTGCTGCAATAAACATATGTGTGCATGTGTCTTTATAGTAGAATGATTTATAATCCTTTGGGATTATAAATCCCAGTAATGGGATTGCTGGGTCAAATGGCATTTCTCGTTCTAGATGCTTGAGGAATCGCCACACTGTCTTCCACAATGTTTGAACTAATTTACGCTCCCATCAATAGTGTAAAAGTGTTCCTATTTCTCCAAATCCTCTACAGCATGTGTTGTTTCCTGACTTTTTAATGATCACCATACTAACTGGCATGAGATGGTATCTCATTGTGGTTTTGATTTGCATTTCTCTAATGATCAGTGATGATGAGCATTTTTTCATATGTTTGTTGGCTGCAAAAATGTCTTATTTTGAGAAGTGTCTGTTCATATCCTTTGCTCACTTTTTGATGGGGTTGTTTGTTTTTTTATCTTGTAAATTTGTTTAAGTTCTTTGTAGATTCTGGATATCAGCCATTTGTCAGGCGGATAGATTGTAAAAATTTTCTCCCATTCTGTATGTTGCCTGTTCAGTCTGATGATAGTTTCTTTTGCTTTGCAGAAGCTCTTTAGCTTAATTAGATCCCATTTGTCAATTTTGGCTTTTGTTGCCATGGCTTCTGGTGTTTTAGACATGAAGTCTTTGCCCATGCCTATGTCCTGATAGGTATTGCCCACGTTTTCTTCTAGGATTTTTATGGTTTAAGTCTTACATTTAAGTCTGTAACCCATCTTGAGTTGACTTTTGCGTAAGGCGTAAGGAAGGGGTCCAGTTTCAGTTTTCTGCTTATGGCTAGCAAGTTTTCCCAACACCATTTATTAAATAGGGAATCTTTTCCCCATTGCTTGTTTGTGTCAGGTTTACCAAAGATAAGATGGTTGTAGATGTGTGGCATTATTTCTGAGGCCTCTGTTCTGTTCCATTGGTCTGTATATCTGTTTTGGTACCAGTACCATGCTGTTTTGATTACTGTAGCCTTGTAGAATAGTTTGAAGTCAGGTAGTGTGATGCCTCTAGCTTTGTTCTTTTTGCTTAGGAATGTCTTGGCTATGTGGGCTCATTTTGGTTCCATATGAAGTTTAAAGTAACTTTTTCCAATTCTGTGAAGAAAGTCAGTGGTAGCTTGATGGGGATAGCACTGAATCTATAAATTACTTTGGGCAGTAAGGCCATTTTCACAATATTGATTCTTCCTTTCCATGAGCATGGAAGGTTTTTCCATTTGTTTGTGTTCTCTCTTATTTCTTTGAGTAGTGGTTTGTAGTTCTCCTTGAAGAGGTCCTTCACATCTATTATAAGTTATGTTCCTAAGTATTTTATTCTTTTTGTAGCAACTGTGAATGGGAGTTGACTCATGATTTGGCTCTCTGTTTGTTATTGGTGTATAGGAATTCTTGTTAATTTTATAGATTGATTTTGTATCCTGAGACTTTGCTGAAGTTGCTTACCAGTTTAAGGAGATTTGGGGCTGAGAAAACGGGGTTTTCTAAATATACAACAATGTCATCTGTGAACAGAGACAATTTGACTTCCTCTCTTCCTATTTGAATGCCCTTTATTTCTTTCTGTTGCCTGATTGCCCTGGCCCGAACTTCCAATACTATGTCGAATAGGAGTGGTGAGAGAGGGCATCCTTGTTTTGTGCTGGTTTTCAAAGGGAATGCTTCCACTTTTTGCCCATTCAGTATGATATTGGCTGTGGGTTTGTCATAAATAGCTCTTATATTATTTTGAGATACAGTCCATTGATACCTAGTTTATTGAGAGTTTTTAGCATGAAAGGGTGTTGAATTTTATCGAAGGCCTTTTCTGCATCTATTGAGATAATCATGTGTTTTTTGTCATCGGTTCTGTTTATGTGATGGATTACATTTTATTGATTGGTGTATGTTGAACCAGCCTTGCATCCCAGGGATGAAGATGAATTGATCATGGTGGATAAGCTTTTTGATGTGCTGCTGGATTCGCTTTGCTAGTATTTTATTGAGGATTTTTGCACCGATGTTCATCAGGGATATTGGCCTGAAATTTTCTTTTTTTGTGTGTCTCTGCCAGGTTTTGGTATCAGGATGATGCTGGCCTCATAAAATGAGTTAGGGGGGATTCCCTCTTTTTCTATTGATTGGAATAGTTTCAGAAGGGATGGTACCAGCTCCTCTTTGTACCTCTGGTAGAATTCAGCTGTGAATCTTTCTGGTCCTGTGCTTTTTTTGGTTAGTAAGCTCTTAATTACTGCCTCAATTTCAGAACTCGTTATTGGTCTATTCAGGGATTCAACTTCTTCTTGGTTTAGTCTTGGGAGAGTGTATGTATCCAGGAATTTATCCATTTCTTCTAGGTTTTCTAGTTTATTTGCACAGAGGTGTTTATAGTATTCTCTGATGGTAGTTTGTATTTCAGTGGGATCAGTGGTGATATCCCCTATATCATTTTTTATTGCTTGTATTTGATTCTTCTCTCTTTTCTTCTTTATTAGTCTTGTTAGTGGTCTTTCTGTTTTGTTGATCTTTTCAAAATACCTGCTCCTGGATTCATTGATTTTTTGAAGGGATTTTGTGTCTCCATCTTCAGTTCTGCTCTGATCTTAGTTATTTCTTGTCTTCTGCTAGCTTTTAAATTTGTTTGCCATTGCTTCTCTAGTTCTTTTAATTTTGATGTTAGGATATCAATTTTAGATTTTTCCTGCTTTCTCTTGTGGGCATTTAGTGCTAAAAATTTCCCTTGACAGACTGCTTTAAATGTGTCCCAGAGATTCTGGTATGCTGTGTCTTCATTCTCATTGGTTTCAAAAAACATCTTTGTTTCTGCCTTCATTTTGTTATTTACCCAGTAGTCATTCAGGAGCAGGTTGTTCAGTTTCCATGTAGTTGTGAAGTTTGAGTGAGTTTTTTAAATCCTGAGTTCTAATTTGATTGCACTGTGGTCTGAGAGACTCTTTGTTATGATTTCCATTATTTTCCATTTGCTGAGGAGTGTTTTACTTCCAATTATGTGGTCAAGTTTAGAATAAGTGTGATGAGGTACTGAGAAGAATGTATATTCTGTTGATTTGGGGTGGAGAGTTCTGTAGATGTTTATTAGGTCCACTTGGTCCAGAGCTGAGTTCAAGTCCTGAATATCCTTGTTTATTTTCTGTCTTGTTGATCTGTCTAGTATTGACAGTGGGGTGTTCAAGTCTCCCACTATTATTGCGTGGGAGTCAAAATCTCTTTGTAGGTCTCTAAGAGCTTGCTTTATTAATCTGGGTGCTCCTGTATTGGGTGCATATATATGTTTAGGATAGTTAGCTATTCTTGCTGCATTGATCCCTTTACCATTATGTAATGCCCTTTTGTCTCTTTTGATCTGTGTTGGTTTAAAGTCTGTTTTATTGGAGATTAGTATTTCAACTCTTGCTTTTTTTTTTTCTTTCCATTTGCTTGGTAAACATTCCTCTATCCCTTTATTTTGACCTATGTGTGTCTTTGCCTGTGAGATGAGTCTCCTGGATACAGCACACTGATGGGTCTGGACTATTTAATTTGTTTAATTTGCCAGTCTTTGTCTTTTAATTGGGGCATTTAGCCCATTTATATTTAAGGTTAATATTGTTTTGTGTGAATTTGATTCTGCCATTACGATGCTAGCTGTTTGTTTTGCCTGCTGGTTGATGCAGTTTCTTCATAGTGTCGATATTCTTTACAATTTGTTATGTTTTTGCAGCGGCTGGTACTGGTTGTTCCTTTCCATGTTTAGTGCTTCTTTCAGGAGCTCTTGTAAGGCAGGCCTGGTGGTGACAAAATCTCTCAGCATTTGCTTTTCTGTGAAGGATTTTAATTCTCCTTTGCTTATGAAGCTTAGTTTGGCTGGATATGAAATTCTGGGTTGCAAATTCTTTTCTTTAAAAATGTTGAATATTGGCCCCAACTCTCTTCTGGCCTGTAGGGTTTCTTCAGAGAGATTCGCTGTTAATCTGATGGGCTTCCCTTTTTGGGTAACCCGACCTTTCTCTCTAGCTGCCCTTAACATTTTTTCTTTCATTTCAACCTTGGTGAATCTGAAGATTATGTGGTTTGGAGTTGTTCTTCTCAAGGAGTATCTTTGTGGTGTTCTCTGTATTTCCTGAATTTGAATGTTGGCCTGTCTTGCTAGGTTGGGGAAGTTGTCCTGGATAATATCCTGCAGAGTGTTTTCCAACTTGGTTCCATTATACCCATCACTTTCAGGAACACCAATCAAACGTAGATTTGGTTTTTTCACACAGTCCCATATTTCTTGTAGGTTTTGTTCGTACTTTTTATTCTTTTTTCTCTAATCTTGTCTTCTCACGTTATTTCATTAAGTTGATCTTCAATCACTGATATCCTTTCTTCCACTTGATCAATTCAGCTATTGGTACTTGTGTATGCTTCACGAAGTTCTTATGCTGTGTTTTTTCACTCCATCAGGTCATTTATGTTCTTCTCTAAACTGGTTATTCTAGTTACCAATTCATCTAACCTTTTTTCAAGGTTCTTAGCTTCCTTGCATTGGGTTAGAACATGCTTCTTTAGCTTGAAGGTGTTTGTTATTACCCACCTTCTGAAGCTTACTTCTGTCAATTTTCAAACTCATTCTCTGTCCAGTTTTATTCCATTGCTGGTGAGGAGTTGTGATCCTTTGGAGGAGATGAGGCATTCTAGTTTTCAGAATTTTCAGCCTTTTTGCGCTGGTTTCTTCCCATTTTTGTGGATTTGCCTACCTTTGGCCTTTGATGTTGGTGACCTTCGGATGGGGTCTTTGAGTGGACGTGCTATTCCTTTCTGTTTGTTAGTTTTCCTTCTGACAGTCAGGTCTGTCTGCTGCAGGTCTGCTGGAGCTTGCTGGAGGTCCACTCCAGACCCTGTTGGCCTGGGTATCACCAGCGGAGGCTGCAGAACAGCAAAGATTGCTGCCTGTTCTTTCCTCTGAAAGCTTTGTCCCAGAGGCGCACCTGCCAGATGCCAGCCAGAGCTCTCCTGTATGAGGTGTCTGTCGGTACCTACTGGGAGGTATCTCCCAGTTTGGATACACGGGGGTCAGGGACCCACTTGAGGAGGCAGTCTGACCCTTAGCAGAGATCGAGCACTGTACTGGGAGGTCCGCTGCTCTCTTCAGAGCCATCAGGCAGGGACATTTAATTCTGCTGAAGCTGCGCCCACAGCCGTCCCTTCCCCCAGGTGCTCTGTCCCAGGGAGATGGGGCGGTCTATCTATAAGTCTCTGACTGGGGCTGCTGCCTTTTTTTCAGAGATTCCCTGTCCAGAGAGGAAAAATCTGGCAGTCTGTCTACAGCAGCCTTGCTGAGCTCTGGCTTTTTCTCTTCTTTTCTTTATTTGGTTAGAGACAAAGTCTCACTATGTTGCTCAGGATGGTCTCATTCTTATAGCCTCAAGCAGTCCTCCCACCTTAGCCTCCTGAGTATCTAGAATTACAAGTGCAAGCCATCGCACCCAGCTCAAAATGTATTTCTTTTTTTTTTTTTTTTTTTTTTTTTTGAGACGGAGTCTCGCTCTGTCGCCCAGGCTGGAGTGCAGTGGCGGGATCTCGGCTCACTGCAAGCTCCGCCTCCCGGGTTCACGCCATTCTCCTGCCTCAGCCTCCCAAGTAGCTGGGACTACAGGCGCCCGCCACTACGCCCGGCTAATTTTTTGTATTTTTAGTAGAGACGAGGTTTCACCGTTTTAGCCGGGATGGTCTCGATCTCCTGACCTCGTGATCCGCCCGCCTCGGCCTCCCAAAGTGCTGGGATTACAGGCGTGAGCCACCGCACCCGGCCTCAAAATGTATTTCTTAAATAATGAAACAAGAAAGCTAAAATTATCCCTTGATCCATGGGCTGCAGAATGGATGTTATGTTAGCAGGGATGAGAAGAACATTAATCTCCTTGTGTATCTCAAACAGCGCTCTTAGGTGAACAGATGCATTGCCAATGAGCAGTAACACTTTGAAAAAAAATTTTTTTCTGATCAGTATGTATCAACATTGGGCTTAAAATATTCAGCAAACCATGCTGTCAACAGATGTTTTGTCATCCAGTCTTTGTAGTTCCATTCATAGAGCATTTGTAGAGTGGATTTAGCATAATTCTTAAGGCCCCTAGGATTTTTAGAATGGTAAATGAGCATTGGCTTCCACTTAAGGTCACCAGCTGCGTTATTAGCCCCCAACAAGAGAGTCAGCCTGCGTTTTGAACCTTTGAAACCAGGCATTGAATTAAACCTCTCTATGAAAGTTTTAGATGGAAGCTTCATCCAATAAAAGCCTATTTTATCTACTTGAAGATATGTTGTTTGCTGTAGCCACCTTCATCAATGATCTTAGCAAGATCTTCTGGGTAACTTGCTGCAGCTTCTACATCAGCATTTGCTGCTTCATCTTGCATTTTTATGTTATGGAGATGCCTTCTTTCCTTCAACCTCATGAACTAACCTGTACTAACTTTAAACTTTTCTTCTGCAGTTTACTCACCTCCACAGAACTGCACAGAGTTAGAGTCTTGCTACGGATTAGGCTTTGGCTTAAGGAAATAGTGTGGTTGGTCTGATCTATCCATATCATGCAAACTTCCTCAATATCAGTAATAAGGCTGTTTTACTTTCTTACCATTCTTGTGTTCACTGGAGTAGCACTTTAAATTTCCTTCAAGCTTTTTTCATTTGCATTCCAAACTTGGCTAAGTGTTTGATGTAAGAGTCCCAGGTTTCAGCCTATGTCAGCTTTCAATATGCTTTCCTCACTAAGCTTGATCATTTAGGTTGGCGCATAAGTAATTGTTGTTTTTGCATTGTTGGAATTTGCTGTTTGATATTGGAATAAATTCTTAATAAATGTTGTTGTTATATATCATTTTTTTTTTTTTTTTTTTTTTTTTTGAGACGGAGTCTCGCTCTGTCGCCCAGGCGGGACTGCGGACTGCAGTGGCGCAATCTCGGCTCACTGCAAGCTCCGCTTCCCGGGTTCACGCCATTCTCCTGCCTCAGCCTCCCGAGTAGCTGGGAGTACAGGCGCCCGCCACCGCGCCCGGCTAATTTTTTTTGTATTTTTAGTAGAGACGGGGTTTCACCTTGTTAGCCAGGATGGTCTCGATCTCCTGACCTCATGATCCACCCGCCTCGGCCTCCCAAAGTGCTGGGATTACAGGCGTGAGCCACCGCGCCCGGCCTGTTATATATCATTTTAATGTGCATTTCTTGCTTTACTATTTTGCTAATGACTTATTACTTACTGCTTATTTTATATTTATTTTAGACTATGGAAATGATGTTAAACAAAAAGCAAATTAGAGAGATTTTCTTATTTGAGTTCAAAATGGGTCATAAAGCAGTGGAGACAACTCTCAATGTCAGCAATGCATTTGGTGCAGAAACTGCTGAAGAATATACAGTGCATTGGTGGTTCAAGAAGCTTTGCAAAGGATATGAGAGCCTTGAAGATGAGGAGATAGTGGCCAGCCATGGGAAGTTGAAAACGACCAATTGAGAGCAATTATCCAAACTGATCCTCTTATGACTATATGAGAAATTGCTGAAGAACTCAGTATCAACCATTCTACAGTTGTTTGGCATTTGAAGCAAATTGGAAAGGTGAAAAAGCTCAATAAGTAGGTGCCTCATGAGCTGACTGAAAATAAAAACAAATTGTCATTTTGAAGTGTCACCTTGTCTTATGTTATGCAATAACAACGAATCATTTCATGTCTGGATTGTGAAGTGAAATGAAAAGTTGATTATACATGACAACTGGTGATGACCAGCTCAGTATCTCGACTGAGAAGAAGCTCCAAAGCACTTCCCAAGGCCAAACTTGCACCAAAAAGAGTTCATGGTCACTGTTTCGTGGTCTGCTGCTGGTCTGATCCACTGCAGCTTTCCGAATCCTGGCAAAATCATTTCATCTGAGAAGTATACTCAGCAAATCGATGAGATGCATCGAAAACTGCAATGCCTGCAGCCGGCATTGGTCAACAGAAAGAGCACAATTCTTCTCTGCAACACCCAGCTGCATATCACACAACCAACTCTTCAAGAGTTGAATGAATTGGGCCACCAGCTTTTGCCTCATCCGTTATATTCTCCTAACTTCTTGCCAACTGACTACCACTTCTTCAAGCATCTTGATGATTTTTTGCAGTTTGCAGGGAAAACACTTCCACAATGAGTAGGATGCAGAAAATGCTTTCCAAGACTTCATCGAATCCCAAAGCACAGATTTTTATGCTACAGGAATAAACAAACTTATTTCTCATTGGCAAAAATGTGTTGAATGTAACGGTTCCTATTTTCATTAATAAAGATGTGTTTGAGCCTAGTTATAATGATTTAAAATTCACAGTCCAAAACTGCAATTACTTTTGCAACATTACTTTTGCAGCATCCTTTTTGCACCTAGCTTTTGATTTAAAGTGAAAGAACACTTGAACACTTAGAGGCCATTGTAAGGTTATTAACTGGTCTAATATCTCAAGGAATAAAACGGTTCAAAAAGAGGAAGAGAGTGAGGGGAAGCGCCAGTCTGTGGAGGAGCCAGAACACACACAACGTTTATCAGTTAAGTTCACCATCTTACATAGGTATGGTTTCTGGCACTCCAAAACCATTACAATAGTAACATAAAAGATCACTGATCACAGAGCACCATAACAGATAAAATAATAATGGAAAAGTTGGAAATATTATGAGAATTACCAAAATGTGACACAGAGACACAAAGGGAGCACATGCTGTTGGAAAATTCACACCAGTAGACTTGCTTGATGCAGGGTTGTTACAAACCTTTAATTGTGAAAAGCACAATATTTGCAAATTGCAATAAAGCTAAGCACAGTAAAATGAGGTATGCCTGCAGATACTTGCATTTAAAGGAAATCAGAAACATTTCACCCCCTGATATACTTACCTGACATAGTTTTAGATGGCTACTCAGAGGGCCTGCAGACAGGAATAACCCTACAAAGCTGCCTATTGTAGAGGAGATTTGCACCTGTAGAAAAAATTGCATTGATAACATAAAACACTCAGGCTTTCTCTGAACCCATCTTCTTGTCTGTATCTAGGAAAGATTAACTCAATCATAGGCTCCCATCTATGTTTTCAGGGGGAAGCTCCAACATTTCCTGAGATATTTTCATCTGCAGAACAGAACAGCCTTTGCTTGAAATACTTTCCTTCCTTCACTCCTCTATAATCTATAATGCCACCTCCCTCAGGGTTCAGAGAAACTTGGCCCCACTTCATTGTTCTTTGGGCTCATTGATTTCCCCTGAAAATCATTTACTCCTACAACCCCCATTCCCCATATCTCCAATAAAAAGGATATTTGTGCATCAACTATCTTGCCTTTCTTTTTTTATACTTTGTATGACTCCTGTGAACACATGTGCATGGTAATAAATTTGTATGTCTTTCTTCCTGTTTCCCAACACATTGAATGTCCGATCCAATCCTTGACCCATTTGCCCTTTAATCAATTTCTTCCTCTGTTCTAGCTCATGGAGCTGATTCCCATAAACTATGCTTTCCACCCTTTCCTGTCACTGGTTTCCAACTCTGGACAATGAGAGAAACACTTGAAATAAGAGGGCAGGAAGAAGGGAGAAGCTAGGGTGTTTCCTGCCCTTTCTGTCTGTCTCAAGTAGCATCATCTATACTAGCTACATCTCTTCTTTGGCTCTGCCTTCCCCAGACAGGCCCATTGTGCTCCCAGCTTCCACCAGGTGACTCTGGCCCCGGCCTCTGTTAATACCCCCAGTTTCTTTTCATCACCAATTTAGAAATGTTTCCATCTTTCTTCAATTGCTAATCTGTGGATTGCTTCACTACTCCTGGGTAGCTTCTGAGCAACTCTATCATCTGTGTACCAATTCCTGGTACCAAATTTTTTCTGTTTTAAATACTAATAGTGGCTTGTCTTTTTCTGGTTGGGTCCTGACTGATAAAGTGTCCTATGAAATTACTGGTGATATGAGTAAAGAAGGAAAATTTTTCAATTTAATATTAGGAATATTTAAAAATATGTATATATGCTCTCCTTCATATATGAAAATAAGCAACACAAATATAGGACATCTTCTTTTCTTTTCTTTAGAAGAGATGTATTAAGTTAGTTTAATTTTCACATCATTACCTTGTAACCAATAGTTCAGGATCCTGAGGTAGCTGGCTATAGTTAGTGATGTAGTCTGTAGGCATAAATGGAATGGAGTTAACTGGATGATAAGGGAATCAAAAGTATTACCTCAAGCCTATCAACAACATGTTTGAATCAAATGAACTGATTAACTACAAAAGCTCCAATAAGACATATTGTAGCAGTATACATTTGACAGTAAATGGCTGAGGATCAACTTATACAGCAATCACATTTTTAAAATCACAGTGTAAAATCTCATTCAATTAGAAGAGCTGTTTAACTTATTATGTAATGTAGCAAATCAGCTAACTTTTATTTTGCTCCCTCTTGCTTGATTCAGCAAGACTTTAAAGAAACACACAAACCAGAAGAAACTCAACTAGCTTTGATTTGCTATACAAAATATTCACTAGGTGTTGGAAAATACTTATATACATGTGGTTCTTAATCTTGCCACTATGTGGCAAAAACACTGGAAGGTAATAACTTTAGTTGAAAAAGGGGTTATTGGAGGGTTTTTTCATATTTAGACTTTAATTTTTAAACAAAAGTGCCGAGGACTGTAAGTTGTCAGGAATCTCTATTTACATATTATGTAAATGTTTTCAATATAACTGGATGATGTAGGGAATTTTAAATTTTCCCCCTAAAGTTTTGATAATTTGAGTCTATACAACAAACTGATAAGAGATGAATTTAAGGGAAAAGGGCCATACATATTTTATTACATGCATGTGTGTTCACATGAGTCATACAAAATAGAAAAACTCAAAGAAATGCAATATGGTTGATGTTTTTATACCATCTTGAGGTTACTGAAAGAAAGAAACGGGGACTCAGAACATGACAGGTTATGGTGATCAGATAAGTTTTGGGAAGGAGAGAAGGGGAAGGGTCTGACTAGCAAAGCAGTCTTGTTATGCAGATGAAATCTCACAGGTAGCAGTCCTCAGAAAGAATAGATGGTAGCCAGTGGTAATTGTTCTTGCCAGACATTTAAAGGTGTCATACTCTCAGTGAAAAGGTGTCATACTCTCAGTTAATCTTTTCTAGGTCCAGACATCTGCAGGTTGGGGGGATGTTCAGATACAGGCTGTTTGCATCTGCTGTTTACTTCACTTCATTTCCTCTGCAGAGGCAAGTATCCTTTACAAACATCAACTTTTCAGCTATTCTTGTATTTCCAGCTCTCCTGAATAGTCATATTAAAATATATGCAAGATGTATATTTTGGGGTTATTTTGATTTCATCTCCCTTCTGAAACTTTACTTTTGGAAAAATTCATATGTTAAAAACCGAGAGGATAGCTTTGGAGAGATTTGGGTTAGAGGTTTTAGGTAAGAGATTAAGTGAAAGGGGAAGAAAACATGAAATTAGTAGAAAGAGCAAATTTAAATATATTACCTCATGTCTTCTTGAATCATTCTCTTAGTACTGAAAATGGGTCTATTTTGTTAAACAGTTGAATCTTATTTCAGGAGGTGCTGTTATAGACAGGTTCTCATCAAAGTTAGGATTCCATATATGATGCAGGCAAACAGGTCTTTAATATGAGGCATTTCTACAGATACAGAAAAAAAGCAAAGGTTAATATCTGGAGTAGTCTATGAACTACTCTAGGAAAACTATTCTAGAGTGTCTGAAGCATCTTCAGTTGAAGTGGCAATCTAACAGAATTTTCTGGATTGTAGTTTGAATTAGATATTCAAGTGAACTTTCTGAGTTGTCCATACAGCAACAGACATTAAGACTTGTTATATATGAGTTGCTGTAGTGATTTATCCCAAAGTTTACAAGTTGCCTAGCCTCAGTTTGCAGTGCTTCAAGAAGAGCAGTTTTAATTTCTAGTGATTTTAAGTCAGAATGGTGGGAGAAAATTAGAAATGTTAGTCTAAAGAGCCACAGACAGATATTTGAGGAACTGAAGTTAAGCATATAGTCCAGATTGCAGGTAAACAGCAAAATCTCAAGCATTGCTCAGGATTAGAATTTAATAACAAATGTACTATAGGTTTTCTTCTGAAACATAATTTTTCTCTCTCTAGTCCCCTGCTTCTACTAAAAACAAATCATAATAAGGCAAATTTATTTCTTAAATATTTTGGTCTTAAACTTGGTCTGATTTTTGCACAAAGTACAGCAAAAATAGTAAGTGGCCATGTAGTCTCTTTTTAACTTGGCTTAATGGGAACTTTCTCATAAGAGGTTTCAGATTAGATTTTTAAAAACCTCTGAAGGTTTATGAGCTAACCTAAAGACAATGTCTGTAATATCTCTACAAATTGGGTGAGTTATTCTCTTCTCAAGGACCCCAAAATATTTTGAGGTTCCTAAGCCTATTAGAAAGTGACATTTTTTTACTTACCTCAAGATCAGGAACTCTGTAAGGAAACTGTAAACAAGGTACCAGACCAGTCCTTTTCCAAATCTATTGGCTTTAAAGTCAACCTCAATTTCTTAAAGCAGTGTGGTCATATCTGAATATGACATGCCAGTCAAAGCTGTAGTAAAATAACTATCATTTCTAATTGTGTCCTGATACAAAAAAAATCTGATTTTTATTGAACTTCTACAAATGACTATATTGCCATAAAATAAGAACACTCAAAAATAATTTTCAAATTCTGGAGAGCTCAGATAGAAAGAAAGGTAAATGTTTCCATTTTTTCTTATAAAAGTATACTTTATTCAATTTCTATAAGCTATAAATAACCTAAAATAATAAAGTTTTCTTAACTCTGGAAAACAAAACATAAAAAGAAGCAATAATATTTCAAACAAAAAGTCATAAAAATTATTTTAGTCCTCTATCATTTTTCTACCATGTAATTAATTACCATTCTGCTTATGAAACTCATAAAAACTATTTTATATATCCAATTTTTTTCCATTGGAGTTTTTGAAATTTTTACCTAGTCAAGTTGAATAATTTCAAAGTTATAAGCAGAGGTCTGTATTTGAGAGTATCTATCAATCAGGGTTGTTTATCCTTTCCATGAATCTCCTTGAAGACACAACACTGTAGAATTTGCAAAGTGCTTTTAGAAAAATAGCTTTCAAATAAAGCTATTTAATATGGTCAACAAAACTTAAAATGGTCATGGCTAAAGATACAATTGACAACACACAAAAGAAACTACCATCAGAGTGAACAGGCAACCTACAGAATGGGAGAAAATTTTTGCAACCTACTCATCTGACAAAGGGCTAATATCCAGAATCTACAATGAACTCAAACAAATTTACAAGAAAAAAACAAACAACCCCATCAAAAAGTGGGCGAAGGACATGAACAGACACTTCTCAAAAGAAGACATTTATGTAGCCAAAAAACACATGAAAAAATGCTCACCATCACTTGCCATCAGAGAAATGCAAATCAAAACCACAATGAGATACCATCTCACACCAGTTAGAATTGCGATCATTAAAAAGTCAGGAAACAACAGGTGCTGGAGAGGATGTGGAGAAATAGGAATACTTTTACACTGTTGGTGGGACTGTAAACTAGTTCATCCCTTGTGGAAGTCAGTGTGGCTATTCTTCAGGGATCTAGAACTAGAAATACCATTTGACCCAGCCATCCCATTACTGGGTATATACCCAAAGGACTATAAATCATGCTGCTATAAAGACACGTGCACACGTATGTTTATTGCGGCACTATTCACAATAGCAAATACTTGGAACCAACCCAAATGTCCAACAATGATAGACTGGACAAACCACATTTCCATCTGGCCATATCCTCTATGGTCTCAGCTTCTTAGCTGATGTTCTGCAAGCAAAGGCCAAAAATCTCATGTGTCTCATTACCAGAAGCAGTTGGTAAGACAGAAAATCAAGAGTTGGCCATGGAAGGGAAAGGAATCAATAATGAGTGGGTATCCTAAAAAGTCAATAGTTGCACAAATATCAAACCAATTTTTATAAATGTTTCTTCTCCAGAGTTAAAGGACTTTTATTTCTAAGGGACTAGTTCCCTTTCCAGGAACTGAACACCAGGGCATGGTGATGAATGCATGGAATTTTAATTCCTTGACTAGAAGACAATATGGCCTTCATTGCAAATCCCACAGGGGATCCAAAGCAGGCAGTTCCAGTGTATGAATAATTTTGCTTTCTTTTAAAGCTGATTGCTGTTTTCTTTTAAAAACAATCTGTCAAGGGAGTTTCTAAGGCCATACTTATTTTTTAAGTCTTTTCCTAGGTACCATTAACATGGCTGGCTGTTTAAGACAAGAGTGCTCTAAAAAGCTTTCCTTTAAATATAGCCAATTCATTCATTTACTAAGTGAACTAGTTCACGTATGTTTTTGTCCTGTTAATCCAATTTGGGGAAAGAAAAAAGGCAAGGGCTCTTACCACCCTCATTTGACCTGGGGTCCCAGGCAGACATCTGGGAGAACTGACTTGGTAAAAAAAAAAAATTCTTATTTTCTTTGTTGGCTTTGTGTCAGTTGTCCCAAGATCCCGTTTGTACGCTCCAGAATAAAGTTTCCTACAGTGGGTAATATTAACTAGTAAATTTGTTAACCTATTCACTGCATCAAAACTGTAGAGAAGTTTAAATTTTCCCCCTGAAGAGTGAATAATTTGAGTCTGTGAAACAAACCGATAATAGACAGATTAAAGGGGAAAAAAGGCATACGAATTTTATTACATGTACTTGTTTGCACGGGAATTATATGAAGTATAAAAACTTAAAGAAAGGTAACATAGTTGATGCTTTTATATCATCTTGAAATTATAGAAAGAACAGGGACTTGGAATGTGACAGATTATGGGGGCAAAATGGGTTATGAAAGGGAGAGAAAAGAAAGACTTGGCTAGCAAAGGTGGTCTTACCATGCAATGAAAACCTTGAAGGTAGAAGCCATCAGAGAGAATAGATGCTAAATGTTTTTGTCAGACCTTTAAAGGCATCAGACGCTCAGTAAATCTTTCCTAGATTCAGACAAGGGGTGGTGTGGTTCAGAGAGAGCCTGTTTGCATCTGTTGCACACTTCACTTTATTTCTTCTACAGATGCAAATCTCCACAAAAGTCAGCTTTTCAATTATTCTTGTATTTCTATCTTCACTGAAATGCCATCTTGAAATACATCAAATAAGTATATTATAGGGTTTAATATTTTGGTTTCCTGCAGTGGGTAATATTAACTAGTAAAAAGGAGAGATATTCATTAAAAATATTAAGTATATGACTATTCAATTAGAAACAGGTGTCCTTCCTAAATCCAAACGTTCAGAGAAAGTAGTAGGAAGAATATCATATCATAGTCAGAAGACCTGGGTTTGAGTCTTAATTCTGCTTTATTAGTTACATGAGTTGGGCAAAACCTTTTGGAATAGTACCAGTGTCACCAAGACAACAGGATGGTTATAGAAAGGCAGAAAAACAATGTAAACAAACATTTTATAAGCATAAATAATAATAGTTATTCTTCTATATACATTCAGTGTCTCTAAGCAGATCCAAAGATTTGCCAAGTTTTAATGAGATGGAATGTGGGTTGTTTTATCTTAATTTATTTGTAATATGCCTAAAAGTAGATATATGGAAGCTTAAGGATTTATCCATCATATTCTTTTGTATTCTGAGGATCACCCTTTATGAGAATGAATGGAATACATGAATATGTCTACTTTCATTACCTTAGTCTATTTAGACCATTTTAAAATAATTATGAAAGTGACTTTACAAGAAGAGCATAATTAATTTCACATCCGGGAGATAATCCACTGTGATGAAAAATTATCAAAATCAGAAAACAATGTTTATTTTCTCCCTGTGACAATGTGAGAATTGTTAAGTGAGAATATTTCTTCTTTTACTTCTTTGTATTTGTTTCTATTCTTTGGTAAACATAATAATGTTGAGGAAATATTTTGTTAATTTATTGGGTACATTATTTATTTCTTATTTGGAAGCCTTGGAGCTGAATTCAGGCTTCTCTAAATGGCATACATATTTAACTTTATAATTGCAAAATGTTCCCTCTTTTAAACAGTATATTGTAAATATGAAAATACGGTTTATACTTCTCTCAATATACTTTCAACAAAAACATTAGATTTCCTGCCTTGTTAGTGAGTATATTTAAATATTTCATAAGTTTTCACAAGCACTCTTGAAAAATGGTCTACTTTTTTATAATAATATTGATAATTTTGTTAATATTGCTAGCATACAAATTGAGTTATATTTTTAGTAAAGTAAAATAGGTATAGTTGGAATTATCCTTATTTCTAAATGCTACTTATTTTTTAACAGTATTCATGCATATGTTTTCAAAAGCTAAATGACACAAAAAAGCTTAAAACCAAAACCATTTCCTCATTTTGTCGGCGGGGGGTGATCAGGAGTGGTGGGTTTTCCTAGTGGGGGCCACTTTGAATATTCACATTTCTAAGTCATATACTAATGCTCTAATTTCAAATATCTCCATTCTATACATTGTTTGCTGTCTTCCAGTGTGCAACTTGAGGATTTTGTTTCTTTGTATTATTATAATGCCTTTGCATCTTTCCCTAGTATCTTGATTTTTGATTAATTGAATTTTTGCACTGTTGATTGGGACTATGTAAATATTGTTAACTGCTGAGCCAAACATATTATTTTTATTAAATATTATTCTTTACATACTTTTTTCTGGGCATTTACCTCCTTTTTGCATTCCTATTTTTTGTGTACTCAATTTTAATTTTATTTGTACATTTTCCATTAGCATCTGTAATACAGTTTTCTATGGGGTTTAGCCAATTATCAGTCAGAGTTGTTCATTAGGCCATGCTCCCGGATTCTTTCTGTACTGGTCTAGACCAGTTGCTCTCTATACCTGTTTTACACCTTTGCTTGGCTTTTCATGTTCTTGGGAATTCCCTTTGCCTTGCTCTTATATTGAGTCCCTAGTTTTCTGGATTCCATTATAACTCTTTCTTGGTTTTATCTCTAGATTTCCAGTAGCTTCCATTGAAAAGGTGAGGAGGTAACTGTTTAGAGGTAGTTCATGCCCAAAAGTATTTTTATTTTATCTTTGCATTTGATTAACAGTTTGTCTGTAAAAATTTGGGCTAAATACCATTTCCTGTCAGAGTTTTCTTTATCCCTAGTGCTGTGAAATTTCAGAATAGGCTGTGATATCAGTTTTTTTCTACTGATGCTAAAAATGTCTTTTCAATTTGTAGACATTGCTAAAGGATTTTAGCACAGGGTAATTTCTTGTATAATTTTTTGATCATTTTTCTATATTTCTGACAATGTATTTTCTTTCAGGAACTCCTGTTAGGCAACTGTTAAATCTCTTGAAAAATTCTCTTCATTCTTGCAGGCTTTTGTTTCTGTTTTGTTTTCCATTTCTTTGTTTTTATTCTGCTTTTTTGTGAGATTTTCTCAAAATGGTCTAAGCCTTTGTCTTCTAATCCTTCTAATGAGTTTTAAATGTATTTCATCTATTTAAAAAACATTTCATTTTGAATAACATCCCATTTTTGCTGCATAGATGTAATATTTAATATTTTGGGAAGTTAATTTAAATTTTTGACAAATTTCTCCTGTTCACTCTATTGTTTCAATTGTCTCATATTTCCGCATTTTTTGTTAATTTTTGTGTCTGTCTCATTCAGGCTTTTTCCTCAAATGTTTGTTATATTTGGGTGTCTGTGAGTGAGCACCGAGAAGCCAGATGGAGATTGTGTGCATGGGAAAAGCTGTGTACTAGGACCTTCATGAAAGTGATGTTAGCGAAATTTGACAAATTTTATCCTATTGGAAATTATCTAATGTCAGTATCTATGTTTCTTTCTCTGGGATTTTTTGGTTTCTTCAGAAAGTGCTTCTCCATTCTTCTGTTTTAGGGTCAGTCTGGCTAGGGAAGGTGGTAGGGTCTCAGCATTAAGTATGTAGTTATCCATTGATAACTTGTGTTTTTAGGCCTGAGCCTTGCAACTGTCTCAGCTACGCTTAGTATCCGAGGCTGTCACCTATTTTCAATTCATCCAAGAAGAACCTACCAGGTCTCCTTTGTACAGAGAAGAAGTGACTACCTGGTTAGTGGGATCAGGCAGAGAACTGGGAACCCTTTGAGATTATTTCTGCTCCTTTTACCTCTGTATCTTACTCTCCCCTGTGGTATCTAACATTCCCATCAACTTTGCCTTTTGTAGGTTCCGAATGGTCACTGGTGTGCCTCTTTCTTCAGGCACTTGATTTTCACCTCCCTGTGCTCTTCCACTGAAGTTCTCTCATAATTCATCTTCCAAAATTTCCTGACATTTCATGTTGACTCCTCTCCTATTAACTCACTCTTGAGGGTTTACATATGTTTTAGTCATTTATTTTCATCTTTTTGCTGTGAGGGTGAGAAAGATAGATGTTTACTAATTCCACAGAAAGTCTACTTCTATATTTATAAAACTCCAATTTTAAATCTTTAAGCATAAAAATGGAGATAATCTCCTCAAACACAAGAATATCTTTTAAAAACCACATTTTAAGCTTCTCACCTAGCTCAAAAATATTTTAAACATGCACATGAGAACATCTTTATTTTAAAATGTGGCCTGCTAGCTTATCCTGAGGTGTTGAAATAAGGCTATGGGACAAAACATACTAACAGAAGTTGGTAACCAACGATTGTAGCCATAGTTTACATTTAAAAAAGTATGGATCACTAAAGCATTGATTTTAAAAAGTCAAATTGTTTTCAGCACAGGTTGTAGCTTCTTCTTTAACAGATAAAATATTGCATGAACTTTAGTCTTCTGATGTCAAAATCAGTGTTAAATTGCTCCAACTTAGTTCAATAACAGCATTTAGTCTTGGGTGATTTTATCTAGCTCTCACTGTGAATTGGCCTCCTGAGCCTCTGACTTTGTTTCTTTTCGGTCCTACCATTCAGTTTAGATGGTACAAAGACTTCATTCCAGTGTTGAAGTGTGAAGGTGTGAGATAAAGATCAAATTACCTGTACAAGAAAGAGAAATGGATGACTTATCATGTTTTCACATTCTTAAGATTTCTAGGTGAAACTTCCTACCCATAAATGTCAGTTAAATAAATGTCTGAAACTGCATGACTTTCTTTTGCTAAAAATGACATTAGAATTGCTATGACTTATTTTGCCTGTAGGACTAAATTACAGACAAAGCCCTAGAATTTTTTCTGCTATTACTTTTATACTTTTAGAAGTGAGATTTATTTAATTAAAATTATTGGAAAAGGTTTACAAGGACAGTAGCCATATAAATAGTGAGGATGTTATAAATAATCTCTGTTACAAAGATTTTATTTCAGAAACTAATTATTCAATTTTTTAAGTGGCTTTCTCTCCTTGCCATGAAGACATGGCTTATATAATTTTCTGTGATGAGTTTTAAGGCAATGTTTAAAAAAAAAAAAAAGAGGTAACAGTCATATATTGTTGCTTCTCTGACAACTCATTTCACAGCAAGTGAAGGCCAGTACATCTTAGCGGATAAGAAATACACATGTAAAAGAAAAAACACATTTAAAAAATTTAAAAACCAAATCCTACATTTATAGTTATAAAGATGAGCTCTCAGGGTACATATTTTGTACAATCTGTATCTCTGTCAGCAAATGTTTTCAACCCTGTCAGAGAAGTGAATGCTGCTAATTTAATACAAGAAAACACTCGCCGTGATTGGTGCCTGAAATATCTACTCCAATTCTTCAAATGCATTGCATGTGTGCTCATTACACCAAGAATGAGAGGGAGCATATCTAGGTGAACCCCACACCTTGACTCACATCACCCCAAGATTTTGCCATGGGATAATCTTGAGACCATGTCCAAAACACAGATGTTTTATTTTCCTGGATCTCTCACTGATGAATCATAATCATTAAGGAAATGATACACTGTTCTTGATCTTAAATTGCATTCCATAGTCTGAGTGTGTAAATCACAGAATCTGCTGTTCCACAGTGTCTGATTGATAAATTCAGATCTTGGCATAGTGGGCTGTGCTCTAGCAAGGTTTACCTGCTATTCAAACCTATCACGAAAAGCTGAAAGTACTGACTCACATGCCTAAGGCCCAAAATAAATTAGGACGGGCCCACAAAAGGGTGAGACAGCAAAACTAATGATGAGAAGGCAGGGAGCCCACAAAAAAGGGTAGTATACTCTACTTCCCCTTCATACTCTCTTTTGATTAGTTTTTTTATCGGGCTCTTGGGAACAAATCCTGGAGTGTATGTGCAACTGGAGGATTATTGTGCTCTGCAGTCCAGCGTTATGGGAGCAGTAGGTGGGGATTCTTAAATGTGGATGGGAATAATACAAACTTTGCAATCTGTATAAAAACTTTGTAAGTCTACAGAGTTTTGAAGACTCTGTACAGTATGATTTCAGCAGGAGTGCATGATTATAGCCTAGAAATCTAAGTTAGACTAAATAACCTCTGAAGTTAAGGTTAGCAGTTTGAATTTGTGTTTTGTTTTTTCCTCAACATCTATCTTAAAGGTAATTCAGTTGGTATTTTTGAATGGGTTTTCTATAAGACATAATTTCTTTATCGAATTGGATAATGTAAACAAAGGTGCAAACATTATGGCTTTCTCAAAATTTCTAACAATTTTAAGTTTGTATCAATTATATAATTTTGAATGAAAATAATGCATCTGCAGATGGTGCTAAATTGCATGAAATTAATTACTTCATATACAAGTTTTCAGTAATTAACTCCAGTGAGGCCTGTAAAAATCCATTATGAGCAGAATTACATGCTTCTTAGCCTCTTCTCTTCTAATCTGAAAATTGTTTTGTTTTTGTTTTTTTTTTTTTCACTTTTGAGAACTGGTTAAAGTGACATGGAATAGTAAAGGTCATTTCAGGGAAATGTATGATGCCCTTGGGATGTAAAAGAACCAAGTTCTTAGATTATGGTGAGTTCCTGCAGTTCTCACACCTTGTAGGTTTTGATTTAAAGGGCGATTATCTCTCAGAGATGGGATGGGAAAGTCAATATTGGCAGTGCCAGTGCTGCTGCCTTGCATATGTTGTCCAGTCATGACTGGACATAGATTGACAGTGGGATTTGCCCAAGGTCTCAGTCCTTGGCCTTAGCGCTTCTATGGGATGTCCATTTCCCTCTTATTTTCTGTGGTCTTTATAAAAGAATGTTTGCAATACAAAAATTTCATTCATGCAGTTGAATATTTTGAGTGTAATATTAAATATATTTTGTCAAAACCAATAAAGTGTCTGCACTCACTGGGAGGCTACTGCTATTGGATAATGAAGAAACAGGAAAATTTCAGACTTTTAATTCAGACTGATAATATTTAATAATGAGAATTTTTACTAGGCATGTAGGTTCTATTTTGATTCATGTGCCTTCAAATCTTTATGAAGTTTGGGAATTGTGAAAGCTTCTAAGCCACTCTCCTTTCAGCCACATGGGATAAGGCTGTCTCTGTTATGCAATCTGATGCTAGATTTAGATAATGTTTAAATAAAGGCATTTGGTTTATCACTTATTCATGTGAATAAAATTAATAACTGTCTTAATAGATAAAAGAACTTTAAATATAAGCTTGGAAGACCCTTAAAAACTAACGGCTTTTCATAAGATACAATGCACAACCTTTTAAGCATCAATATTCTATTTATTTATGCACGCATACAATGGTGACTCTCCATCTCGGCCATACACAAAATTAACTACGGGGCTTCTAAGATAAATTTGATGCTTGGGCCTCACCCTAAAAAAAGGGCATGACACACACATCTACATGCACACTTAACCACTCATACAGTTGTTTCTAAGCTGTCTCTTGGCTAGCTTGCTTATAGAAACCTATGCCAAATGATTGGGGAAAAGTTTCTTACTTCTTTTGCTTTATATATATAACCTTCATTCCAGGCTCCATGAGATATCCCATGGCTGGGGACAGATTAGGATGAATTACAGAAAGAATTCAAATATTACCATTAAGTAATATTCAGTTTCTGACATTCCAAAAATATAACTTATCAATAAAACAATACATTATATGCAAAACTCTTATCTTGATAAGGATTCTATAAATTATTTTAACTCCATTTTAAGGGACAGTTGTAGCAGTTGACACCTTATAGTTTTAGATAAAATAGGTACAGATGAGAAGAAGAAGGAAAAGTCTTGTCTTTATGACCCTGAGAAAATTGTGAGCAGAGGAGAAAGAGTGATTAGCAGTGCAAAATGAGTTAATGTGTAAAACTTTGCTTCTCCAAGCTTTGTTCCTCAATAGAAGATACTTTTTGTCCTCATGTTCCCTATTTGGGACACTAAGAAGAGGCCACTTTGCAATCCAATGATTTGGACCACAACAACAATGAATAAAGTCAGCATCTCACAAAGGTTGGAAAGATAGAGGTCTTAAAGGGGAATGTTCCTGAGCTTCTCTTTGAGCAGACTCAGAAGTAACTGCAGGCTGACGGGCAAACTGGTCAGAGGAGGGAACATGTTGGTTCAGAGTAAACTTATAGGGTGGCATAGAGGAGACACCTTGTGCTGAGACTGAATGGGAGTCAAAACTAGATGACAAAAACCAAGGTGAAGTCAAGCAGACATAATAGACATCTACAGAACTCTCCACCCCAAATCAACAGAATATACATTCTTCTCAGCACCACACCAAACCTATTACAAAACTGATCACACAGTTGGAAGTAAAGCACTCCTCAGCAAATGTAAAAGAACAGAAATTATAACAAACTGTCTCTCAGACCACAGTGCAATCAAACTAGAACTCGGGATTAACAAACTCACTCAAAACTGCTCAGCTACATGGAAATTGAACAACCTGCTCCTGAATGATTACTGGGTGCATAACGAAATGAAGGCAGAAATAAAGATGCTCTTTGAAACCAACAAGAAAAAAGACACAACATACCAGAATCTCTGGGACACATTCAAAGCAGTGTGTAGAGGGAAATTTATAGCACTAAATGCCCACAAGAGAAAGCAGGAAAGACCTAAAATTGACATCCTAACATCACAATGAAAAGAACTAGAGAAGTAAGAGCAAACACATTCAAAAGCTAGCAGAAGGCAAGAAATAAGTAAGATCAGAGCAGAACTGAAGGAAATAGAGACACAAAAAACCCTTCAAAAAATCAATGAATCTAGGAGCTGGTTTTCTGAAAAGATCAACAAAATTGATAGACTGCTAGCAAGACTAATAAAGAAGAAAAGAGAGAAGAATCAAAGAGGCGGAATACAAAATGATAAAGGGGATATCACCACCAATGCCACAGAAATACAAACTACCATCAGAGAATACTATAAACTCCTCTATGCAAATAAACTAGAAAATCTAGAAGAAATGGATAAATTCCTCGACACATACATCCTCCCAAGACTAAACCAGGAAGAAGTTGAATCTCTGAATAGACCAATAGCAGGATCTGAAATTGAGGCAATAATCCATAGCTTACCAACCAAAAAAAGTCCAGAACCAGATGGATTCACAGCCGAATTCTCCCAGAGGTACAAGGAGGAACTGGTACCATGTCTTCTGAAACTATTCCAATCAATAGAAAAAGAGGGAATCCTCCTTAACTCATTTTATGAGGCCAGCATCATCCTGATACCAAAGCCTGTCAGAGACACTATAAAAAAAGAGAATTTTAGAATAATATCCTTGATGAACATCAATGCAAAAATCCTCAACAAAATACTGGCAAACCAAATCCAGCAACACATCCAAAAGCTTATCCACCATGATCAAGTGGGCTTCATCCCTGGGATGCAAGGCTGGTTCAACATATGCAAATCAATAAACATAATCCAGAATATAAACAGAATCAAAGACAAAAACCACATGGTTATCTCAATAGATGCAGAAAAGTCCTTTGACAAAATTCAACAACCATTCAGGCTAAAAACTCTCAATAAATTAGGTATTGATGGGACATATCTCAAAATCATGAGAGCTATCTATGACAAACCCACAGCCAATATCATCATGAATAGGCCAAAACTGGAAGCATTCCCTTTGAAAACTGGCACAAGACAGGGTTGCCCTCTCTCACCACTCCTATTCAACATAGTGTTGGAAGTTCTGGCCAGGACAATCAGGCAGGAGAAGGAAATAAAGGGCATTCAATTAGGAAAAGAGGAAGTCAAATTGTCCCTGTTTGCAGAAGACATGATTGTATATCTAGAAAACCCCATCATCTCAGCCCAAAATCTCTTTAAGCTGATAGACAACTTCACCAAAGTCTCAGGATACAAAATCAATGTGCAAAAATCGCAAGCATTCTTATACACCAATAACAGACAAACAGAGAGCCAAATCATGAGTGAACTCCCATTCACAATTGCTTCAAAGAGAATAAAATACCTACAAATCCAACTTACAAGGGATGTGAAGGACCTCTTCAAGGAGAACTACAAACCACTGTTCAATGAAATAAAAGAGGATACAAACAAATGGAAGAACATTCCATGCTCATGGGTAGGAAAAATCAATATTGTGAAAATGGCAATACTGCCCAAGGTAATTTATACTTTCAATGCCATCCTCATCAAGCTACCAATGACTTTCTTCACAGAATTGGAAAAAACTACTTTAAAGTTCATATGGAACCAAAAAACAGCCCGCATTTCCAATCAATCCTAAGCCAAAAGAACAAAGCCAGTGGCATCATGCTACCTGACTTCAAACTATAATACAAGGCTACAGTAACCAAAACAGCATGGTACTGGTACCAAAAAAGATATATAGACCAATGGAACAGAACAGAGCCCTCAGAAATAATGCCACATATCTACAACTATCTGATCTTTGGCAAACCTGATAAAAACAAGAAATGGGGAAAGGATTCCCTATTTAATAAATGGTGCTGGGAAAACTGGCTAGCCATATGTAGAAAGCTGAAACTAGATTCCCTTCCTTACACCTTATACAAAAATTAATTCAAGATGGATTAAAGACTTACATGTTCAATGTAAAACCATAAAAACCCTAGAAGAATAAATAGGCAATACCATTCAGGACATAGACATTAGCAAGGACTTCAAGTCTAAGAGACCAAAAGCAATGGCAACAAAAGCCAAAATTGACAAATGGTATCTAATTAAACTAAAGAGCTTCTGCATAGCAAAAGAAACCACCATCAGAGTGAACAGGCAACCTACAGAATGGGAGAAAATTTTTGCAACCTACTCATCTGACAAAGGGCTAATATCCAGAATCTACAATGAACTCAAACAAACTTACAAGAAAAAAACAACCCCACCAACAAGTGGGTGAAGGATATGAACAGACAGTTCTCAAAAGAAGACATTTAGGTGTGGAGCCAAGATGGCCGAATAGGAACACCTCTGGTCTACAGCTCCCAGCGTGAGGTGACACAGAAGATGGGTGATTTCTGCATTTCCATCTGAGGTACCGGGTTCATCTCAGTAGGGAGTGCCTGACAGTCGGTGCAGGACAGTGGGTGCAGCACACCGTGCATGAGCCGAAGCAGGGTGGGGCATTGCCTCACTCGGGAAGGGCAAGGGGTCAGGGAGTTCCCTTTCCTAGTCAAAGAAAGGGGTGACAGACAGCACCTGGAAAATTGGGTCACTCCCACCCTAATACTGCGCTTTTCCAACGGGCTAAAAAATGGCACACCAGAAGATTATATCTTGCACCTGGCTTGGAGGGTCCTATGCCCACAGAGTCTCACTGATTGCTAGCACAGCAGTCTGAGATCAAACTGCAAGGTGACAGCGAGGCTGGGGGAGGGGTGCCTGCCATTGCCAAGGCTTGATTAGTTAAACAACGCAGCCAGAAAGCTCCAACTGGGTGGAGCCCACCACAGCTCAAGGAGGCCTGTCTGCCTCTGTAGTCTCCACCTCTGGGGTCAGGGCACAGACAAACAAAAAGACAGCAGTAACCTCTGCAGACTAAAATGTCCCTGTCTGACAACTTTGAAGAGACTAGTGGTTCTCCCAGCACACAGCTGGAGATCTGAGAATGGGCAGACTGTCTCCACAAGTGGGTCCCTGACCCCCAAGAAGCCTAACTGGGAGGCACCCCCCAGTAGGGGCAGACTGACACCTCACACAGCTGGGTACTCCTCTGAGGCAAAACTTCCAGTGGAACGATAAGGCAGCAGCATTCGAAGATCACCAATATCCTCTGTTCTACAGCCACCGCTGTTCTACAGCCACTGCTGTTCTACAGCCACCACTGTTCTGCAGCCACCGCTGTTGATACCCAGGCAAACAGGGTCTGGAGTGGACCTCTAGCAAACTCCAACAGACCTGCAGCTGAGGGTCCTGTTTCTTGAAGGAAAACCAACAAACAGAAAGGACATCTACACCAAAAACCCATCTGTACATCACCATCATCAAAGACCAAAAGTAGATAAAACCACAAAGATGGGGAAAAAACAAAGCAGAAAAACTGGAAACTTTAAAAAGCAGAGTGCCTCTCCTCCTCCAAAGTAATGCAGCTCCTCACCAGCAATGGAACAAAGCTGGATGGAGAATGACTTTGATGACTTGAGAGAAGAAGGCTTCAGACGATCAAACTACTCCGAGCTACAGGTGGAAATTCAAACCAAAGGCAAAGAAGTTAAAAACTTTGAAAAAAATTAGACTAATTGATACCTAGAATAATGAATGCAGAGAAGTCCTTAAAGGAGCTGATGGAGCTGAAAGCCAAGGCTTGAGAACAACATGAAGAATGCAGAAGCCTCAGGAGCTGATGCGATCAATTGGAAGAAAGGGTATCAGTGATGGAAGACAAAATGAATGAAATGAAGCAAGAAGGGAAGTTTAGAGAAAACAGAATAAAAAGAAATGAACAAAGCCTCCAAGAAATATGGGACTATGTGAAAAGAACAAATCTACGTCTGATTGGTGTACCTGAAAGTGATTGGGAGAATGGAACCAAGTTGGAAAACACTCTGCAGGATATTATCCAGGAGAACTTCCCCAATCTAGCAAGGTAAGCCAAAATTCAGATTCAGGAAATACAGAGAATACCAAAAAGATACTCCTCGAGAAGAGCAACTCCAAGACACAAAATTGTGAGATTCACCAAAGTTGAAATGAAGGAAAAAATATTAAGGGCAGCCACAGAGAAAGGTCGGGTTACCCACAAAAGGAAGCCCATCAGACTAACAGCGTATCTTTCAGCAGAAACTCTACAAGCCAGAAGACGGTGGGGGCCAATACTCAACATTCTTAAAGAAAATAATTTTCAAACCAGAATTTCACATCAAGCCAACCTAAGCTTCCTAAGTGAAGGAGAAATAAAATCCTTTACAGACAGGCAAATGCTGAGAGATTTTGTCACCACCAGGCCTGCCCTAAAAGAGCTCCTGAAGGAAGCACTAAACATGGAAAGGAACAACCAGTACCAGCCACTGCAAAAGAATGCCAAATTGTAAAGACCATCAAGGGTAGGAAGAAACTGCATCAACTAACTAGCAAAATAACCAGCTAACATCATACTGACAGGACCAAATTCACACATAACAATATTAACTTTAAATGTAAATGGGCTAAATGCTCTAATTATAAGACACAGACTGGCAAATTGGATAAGGAGTCAAGACCCATCAACCCATCTCACGTCCAGAGACACACATAGGTTAAAAATAAAGGGATGGAGGAAGATTTACCAAGCAAATGGAAAACAAAAAAAGGCAGCGGTTACAATCCTAGTCTCTGATAAAACAAACTTTAAACCAACAAAGATCAAAAGAGACAACGAAGGCCATTACATAATGGTAAAGGGATCAAATCAACAAGAAGAGCTAACTATCCTAAATATATATGCACCTAATACAGGAGCACCCAGATTCATAAAGCAAGTCCTTAGAGATCTACAAAGAGACTTAGACTCCCACACAATAATAACGGGAGACATTAACATCCCGCTATCAACATTAGACAGATCAACGAAACAGAAAGTTAACAAGGATACCCAGGAATTAAACTCAGCTCTGCACCAAGTGGACCTAATAGACATCTACAGAACTCTCCACCCCAAATCAATAGAATATACATTTTTTTCAGCACCACACCACACCTATTCCAAAGTTGACCACATACTTGGAAGTAAAGCACTCCTCAGCAAATGTGAAAGAATAGAAATTATAACAAACTGTCTCTCAGACCACAGTGCAATCAAACTAGAACTCAGGATTAAGAATCTCACTCAAAACCACTCAATTACATGGAAGCTGAACAACCTGTTCCTGAATGACTACTGGGTACATAACGAAATGAAGGCAGAAATAAAGATGTTCTTTGAAACCAGTGAGAACAAAGACACAACATACCAGAATCTCTGGGACGCATTCAAAGCAGTGTGTAGAGGGAAATTTATAGCACTAAATGCCCACAAGAGAAAGCAGGAAAGATCCAAAATTTACACCCTAACGTCACAATTAAAAGAACTAGAAAAGCAAGAGCAAACACATTCAAAAGCTAGCAGAAGGCAAGAAATAATTAAAATCAGAGCAGAACTGAAGGAAATAGAGACACAAAAAACCCTTCAAAAACTTAATGAATCCATCTCCCACCAGTTAGAATGGCAATCATTAAAAAGTCAGAAAACAACAGGTGCTGGAGAGGATGTGGAGAAATAGGAACACTTTTACACTGTTGGTGGGACTGTAAACTAGTTCAACCATTGTGGAAGTCAGTGTGGTGATTCCTCGGGGATCCAGAACTAGAAATACCATTTGACCCAGCCATCCCATTCCTGGGTATATACCCAAAGGATTATAAATCATGTTGCTATAAAGACACATGCACACATATGTTTATTGAGGCATTATTCACAATAACAAAGACTTGGAATCAACCCAAATGTCCAACAATGATAGACTGGATTAAGAAAATGTGGCACATATACACCATGGAATACTATGCAGCCATCAAAAATGATGAGTTCATGTCCTTTGTAGGGACATGGATGAAATTGGAAATCATCACTCTCAGTAAACTATCGCAAGAACAAAAAACCAAACACCGCATATTCTCACTCATAGGTGGGAATTGAACAATGAGATCACATGGACACAGGAAGGGGAACATCACACTCTGGGGACTGTTGTGGGGTGGGGGGAGGGGGGAGGGATAGCATTGGGAGATATACCTAATGCTAAATGACGAGTTAGTGGGTGCAGTGCACCAGCATGGCACATGTATACATATGTAACTAACCTGCACAATGTGCACATGTACCCTAAAACTTAAAGTATAATAATACAGATGATACACTAGATAACTAAGTATATTAAGTAAAATATAGTTATCAGTGGCTCCACAGTCTATCTAGATACTTAAAGGAATTATGTGATGGATTAAGCTAAGCCTTTTGACAATTGTTTTCTTAAGTCTTGTGGTATTAGGAGAAAACATAGTTGAGATTTAAAAATTCTCTTACTTCAATATAAAACTAAGGGAAGGCAGATGCACAGATAAAAATTGGAGCGTGTATGCACAGTGCAAGAGAAAACAGGGCTAATAGAAACAGGATACTGAATTTTAAAATTGGTCATCAATTTTTAATCCCAACTCCTTGGGAGGCTAAGGCAGGAGGATCCCTTGAACATAGGAGTTGTAGGTAAGCCTGGGCAACACAGCAAGATGCCATCTCAAGAAAAGAGTAGTCATCTGTTTTTAATTTTATTACAATTTCATGAGATGCTATCATACTCATTAAGTGAAGAATGTTGACTGCTGTTCCAGGAAGATATTTATTTACTCTTATGTGTAACAATACAACAATCCTAGAGATGTTATAATAGATGTAAGAGTTGATGCTACAAATTTTGGGGTCTAACCCAGTGCTTCTGAAACTTGAATATGCAAACATACCAAACACGGAATCTTGCTAAATTCAGATTCTGTTTCAGTAGGTCTGGAAAGGAATTTAGATTCTGCATTTCTAACCAACTCCCAAGTGGAGTCAATGCTGCTGACTGATGCATGCCACTTTGAGTCAGAAGGTACAGAGGAATTGTGCCTGGGCTGACTCACAGACAAGTTGTACTTGGTTCTTTCTCACAGTGAATGGCTTTGGAGCTGACTTCACTTTATCTGCTAGTATCCTTTGAATTTGCATTGTTTCTTATAGATGAAGATGGCCAATAATTTGGCCAATAACTGGGCATGTTTCCAGTAGATGTGATGGATTTGCTGTGGTCTGTTCCTGCTCATTATGCAGGCTTTTTTTTATGGCCAAGAGGAAACACTTTGAGTGTTGGGGAACATCCTGTGGCCATAAGATAAAATAAAATCAGTGGTCCTGTGTAAAATTTGTGATCATGGCCTCATTAGCACTGTGCTTAAATCTATTCTTTATTGAGTTTTGTCAATCAGTCCAATTTTATTGTCTAATGAGGCCAAAGGTCAGACCAATGATCTTTATCTTGTTTCATGACTGCAGATAGCATGCCAAAACAGAGCTGTCTACTTCAGAAGTATGGTCTATGGTTGTTTGAAGAGGAAGTGTGTTTAATGAATAGAAAAACAAATACTGATACTGATAAAAGCTACCCCCACACACACACCTCAAAAGCCATTAACAAATTACTCTGATTGGATTAAACAACTAATCTTCAATATTATGTATTTACTTTAGTGAATTTTTGCTTCTGAAGGCAATTTTTTTCTGAACTCATCATCAAATTCTGGGATGCCATAGTTTTTCTTCTATGGACCAGGCACATCATTTAAATTAAAAAGCACATAAGTTGACTCTGACAAAAAGAATGTGATGGTAGTGACATTTAACACATCAATCCCCTTACAAAAACCAGTCAAATCAACTAGATTAGTGTTTTAGTCCATTCTCACACTACTATACAAAAACTACCTGAGACTGGGTAATTTATGAAGAAAAGAGTTTTAATTGACTCACAGTTCCACAGGCTGTACAGGAAGCATGGCTGGGAAGCCTTAGGAAACTTACAGTCATGGCAGAAGGTGGAGGGGAAGCAGGCACGTCTTCATACAGCCAGAGCAGGAGGAAGAGAGCTGTGGGGAAAGTGCTACACACTTTTAAATGGTCAGATCTCATGAAAACTCACTCAATATCATGAGAACAGCAAGGGGGAAGTTCACCCCCATATCCAATCACCTCCAACCAGGCCCCTCTTCCAACATTGAGGATAGCAATTCGATCTGAGATTTGGGTGGCGTTACAGAGCCAAACCATATCAGTTAATATAAACAAAGCTCATGCATGATGTGTTCAACAAAGCTTGATGACCAGAATTGCCACATACGTCAGAATACAGAAGGATGTAGCAAACACTCAACACAGGAGGCTAGGAAAATAAAAAAGAACCAGAGAAACATAAAATTATTCACAGACTCTAAACTGCAGATGAGAGGGCAAAGCTACAAGAATCACATGGAGTGGGAAGCAGCCTAAGCCTTAAAAATCTCAAAGCATTCAATAAAATCTTGGTTTTAGAAGGATACAGAAGAAACTGAAGAAAAGACTATTAAGAACAGAATCTAAATTGAGCAAACTGCTGGGGAAGGGACTAGCAGAGAAAGACCTCTGAATATACCATAACCACAAAATATAATTTTTGAAGGTAAGAGCACCCTGCAGAAGGCCACAAAGCTCTGAATGTTTCAGAGGTAGAGGCAGGACAACTTTCTGAATCAAGCTTAGCCTCAAAAACCAAAAAGAAACTATATTTCTGAATAGATCAGGGTAACAACAGAGGAAGGAGCTCTTGAGCCATGAATTTGTAAAAGCAACTTTGGCTTTTCTCTGCTCTTCATGTAGAAATATTATCTGAATAATTAAAAGAAACTCAACTTCATTTAAACACAGAAAAAAAATTTATAATCCAATTCCACATAAATAAATTGTAAGACAATATATAAATAAACCAAATAATGTCCCAACAAATAATGAAAACACACCCAATAACCATAGCGATGAAGAAGACAAAATCGATACTTTCAGATTTTTAGATATTCTAGAAAATGTTTTAAATGGTCAAAGCTTTGTGAGAAAAGCATAAATCAGTAATAGAACAGCTCTGAAGAGAGGTAACTAAGCAATAATAGAATCTGTAAAGAGAATGGAAAGGAATTAGTAATGAACTAGATAAATGTAAAAGAAAGACATTTTAGAAATGAACTTTAAAATAGAAGAAACACAAGAAAAAATAGTTGCACACAAGAAAAAGTGTAGTACAGGAATTAAGGTACAGAATAGAGGAATGCACATTTAATGAACAACAATGAGAACAATAACAACAACAAAGTAAGGTAAAAATGTTTCAAGAGAAAGTTATAAATATAGAAGATAGAGCAATACATTGGTAATTTCAATAAATACAAATTGATTAACTCACTTCTTAAAAAGAGAATGTTAGTTTGGCTAACAAAGCAATATTCAATTTTATTGCTGCAGCAAGAAACATAAATAAAAGATTATTAAATTTTAAAAACAAAAGGGATGGCTAGAGGTATACATCAAAATGAATAATAGCTGCAAGCTATTTTAAATATGTTGAATATATTTTAAAGTCACAAATAATGATAATAAAACAAAACAATAAAAAAAACAGAGATAAAAGACATTGTAACTCATGGAAAGTTGCCAGAGCACCCACTTATTATCCTGAAAATAGATCATTAACAAAAGAAATAGCATTTATCCTACCCTTACAATGTAACCTGTATTTCAGGATAATTAAATACACTTAGTAGATACATTTTTCAATGCCTAAACTCTCCAGCTAATTGCCACAAAAAGAATAATGAAATTATAAAAAATAACAATTTTGTGATTACTAATATGGTTTGGCTCAGTGTCCCCACCCAAATGTCAATTGTAATCCCCACGTTCAAGGGAGGGACCTGGTGGGAGGTGATTGGAAACTGGGGGCAGTTTCCCCCATGCTGGTCTCATGACAGTGAGTGAATTATCACAAGAGCTGATGGTTTGAAGAGTGTACAGCAGTTCCCCCTTTGCTCTCTCTCCTGCTGCCCTGTGAAGAGGATGCCTACTTTCCCTTCACCTTCTGCCATGATTGTAAGTTTCCTGAGGCCTCCCCAGCCATGTAGAACTGTGAGTCAGTTAAACCTGTTCTGTTTATAAATTATACAGTTTCAGGTAATATCTTCATAGCAGTGTGAAAACAAGCTAATATAATTACTAATAAAATAAATGATTCAGACTATGATCATTAATAGATAATAAGTCTACTAGTGAAAGTTGATGGGGAACTTTTCAGTGAAGAGATCATGTTGTCACCATGGATCAACTTTGTTATCACTAAGAGTGAGGTTCTTAGACATCATGCGCTTTTTATATAATGATGCAACAGGAAAAACACAGAATGACCCTTGAAGTATTCTTCTCTTTCTCTTGCACACACACCCATGTACACCCAAAAAACCTGAATCTGATCAAATCTTTAGATCTAATTTGCAGTCTATTGAAAATATAGGGGATAGAGGCACAAGTTAAATTATATCGACAGGAAACAATCAGTCAAATCCAGAATGAAGATACTTTGTAGGAAAAACTGAACCGTTTCTCCAATGGCATTAAGAAAAGGTGAGAGTAGATCACAAGTAATTTTAGAAAGACAAGTGTAGGTGAGCATATTTACCAGTTGGCTGGGACAGTCATGGTTTACTCTTGTTACCACAATGTGATTGTTATTTATTCTCCCTTTTAGCTCAGAGGCATTTAGGGTAGGGCTACAGATTATATGACCACTTTACTTAAAAGACATAGAACCAAATATATTGAGAAGACTTTATTTGGATCTGATCCTCACAAGCCAAAACAACAAACAAACTAAAATCCATGATGTTTCAGTTTATACTCACACACACATTTTTTAACAACTGAGATAATTTGAATATGAATTGCATTTACGTCATGTTATGCAATTTCTGTTAGAGAATTCTGTGTGACAATAGAATTGCAGTAATATAAGAATGTGTTTTTTACTCTAAAGCTTATCTCAGTATCTTGGTAGCTGGGATTTGCAATAAAATATTTAAGCAAAAAAGGAGAGAGTGCATCCAGTATGGAAACAAATATGACAAACGTTAATAGTTATGGAAACTGAGAGATGGGTACATAATATTCATTTTCTCTCTGATTTGGTGTATGTTTGCAAATTTACAAAATGGAAAGTTAAAATAATTGATTTTATAAAAGAAGAATTGTAGTAACTGATCAAACTTGAGATCAGCTTATTATGGACATAAATTGTCAATGTTTATGCATCTAATAACAGAGCTTCAAAAGAGAAGAAAGAACAGACAGAATTGCAAAGGGTAATTTAAAAACACAATATTAGTCAGTGATTTCCAAACCAAACCCTCTAAAAATTGATAGAACCTGTAGTCATAAATTAGTAAGGATATAGAAGATTTGAACTACACTATTAACCAGCTTAACATTTATAAAATACTCAAACCAATAAAAGCAGAATAAACATTCTTTTCAAGTGCACATAGAACACTTGCAAAGATAGACCACATTTTGCACTATTTAACAAGTGTCAATTCATTTAAATAATTTAAGTCATACATAATAAATTTTCAAAGCAACTAAATTAGAAATACATAACAGGAAGTTCTCTAGGAAATTACCCCAAATATTTGGAAATGACATAATGCATTATATATAATCCATGGGTCAAAGAAATCAAATAAAATTTAGAAAGTGTTTTGGACTATTCAGTTCAAATGAGAATACTGCCTATCAAAATTTGTGCCATGTTTCCAAAAAAGTATTTGGGGAACATTTATAGCACTAAATACTTGTACTGGAAAGGAAGAAAAGCTTCAAGACAAAGACCTCAGCTTCTACCTAAAAAAATTGGAAAATAAGAAAGAAATATGCAGAAATATCTCTGAAATGTGAGGAAGGGAAATGATAAAGATTAGAGTCTGGAAATTAATGAAATAGAAAAGAGAAAAAACATAGACAATAAATGGAACCAATAGCTGGTTATTTGATAATATTAAGAAAGGATAAACTTTTAGCCAGATATTATTATTATTATTATTATTATTATTATTATACTTTAAGTTTTAGGGTACATGTGCACAATGTGCAGGTTAGTTACATATGTATACATGTGCCATGCTGGTGTGCTGCACCCGTTAACTAGACTTATTAAGAAAAAAAGAAGTTACAAATTGCCAATTGCAGGAATGAGAGAAATTATATTACCACAGATTCTATATATTTAGGAAGAAATACCTAATATAAATAACCCTATATCTATTTTGAAATGTTCATTTTTACTAAATACCTTCATTAAAGGTATAACAAAGAGGTATTATGGAAAACTTTATGATAATAAATGCAAAAATTCAGATGAAACGGGCAAATTCTTTGAAGAGAAAAAAAACCCACCAAAGCTCATTTAAGAAGAAATACCTAATATGAATAACCCTGTATCTATTTATAAATGTTCATTTTTACTAAAAACCTTCCTACAGAGAAAATGCAAGGTTCAGATGCCTTCCCTAGTGGATTCTACCAAACATTTAGGGAAGAAATAATATCAAATCTATATACACTATTTTACATACTTTAAAAGAGGGAATACTTCAGACTCATTCTATGGAGCCAGCATTACCTTGGTTCCAAAACCAAACACCACATAAGACAATTACTGACCAATATCCCTTATAAACATAGGGCAAACATGCTGAATAAATTTTTTCCAATTGAATTCAATAGTACAGGACCAAATGGACTTTATTCCAGGAATAAAAATGTTGGTTGATTTGAAAATCAATCAGTGCAATTCATCACATTAACAAAGTTAGGAAAAATAAATGATAAATTCAATATCTATTCCTGTTAAAAACTCTCAGCAAGGTAGGTATATAGAAGGAATATTATTTTCCTATGGCTGCTATAACAAATCACCACAAATTGGGTGGCAAAGAACAATAGAAATTTATTATTTCACAAGTCTGAAGGTCAAAAATACAAAATCAAGTTGTCAGCAGATCCACACTCCCCAGAGGTTCTTAGGAAAATTATTCTCTGCCTCTTCCACGTTTGGGTGACACTTGCCATTCCTTGGCTTTTTTGGCTTGTGGTCAAATCACTCGAATATCTGCCTCCGTCTTCACAGCACCTTCTCCTCTGTGTGTCTGCATCTTCTCCTCTTCTGTCTCATATAGACACTTGTCATTGAATTTAGGGCCCACCTGGGTAATCCATAATGCTGTCATTTCAAGATATTTAACCTAATTACATCATAATTACTTTTTTTTTTTCAAATAAGTTAACACCCAGAACAAAAGGAAGTTCCACATCCTTACAAAGGGCATCTACAGAAAAGCTACAGCTAGTATCATACTTACGTGAAAGACTGAATGCTTTTCCCCTAAGAACTAGAACAAAACAAGGATATCCACTCCCACCACTTCTATTCAACATTGTACTGAAGGTTCTGGCCAGTGTAGTAAGGCAAGAAAAAGAAACAAAAAGCATCCAGTTTGGAAAACAAATAAGTAAAGCCATTTTTAGTCAAAGATTAAATGGTCATTTATACAAAAAATGATGGAATCTACCAGAAAACTATTAGAACTAATGAATGAGTTTACATTGGTTATAGTATATAAGATCAGTATACAAAAAACAACTGTTTTTCTATCTACTAGCAACAAACAATTAGAAAATGAAATTGCACAAAATAATCTCACCACAGTTTCATTTGTGACCAGAATTATTATTAGTTGTTGTTGTAATAGTACTCTAAATGACACTTTTGAAACAGCAGCAAAATAGAAAGAGTGTCAGTCAACTGTGTAATAGTATTATATCAATATTGATTTTCTGATTTTGCTAACTGGACTGTGGTTATGTAAAAGACTGATCTTTGTTTTAGGAAATATTTGTTGAAATATTAGGTGCTAAGGGCCATCTCAAATCATTATGAAAATGCATAAAATGTACATATTTGAGAGAAAGAAAGAGAAATAACAAAGTAAATGATAATAAGGAGACAATTATGGAATTTGGATGAAAGGTATACAAGATCTCTTCACAATATTCTTAATCTTTTCTGTAAGTAAGCCTGACATTACTTCAAAGAAAAATATTATAAAACAGAATGTGAGGAAAGGAATTGAAAATGATGCACCTAAGTCACTCGAGGAATTTTCCTGCAAATGTAGCCATAGTTGATTGGACAGATAGGGTCAGGAGGTATGAAACTTCACTATAATGCCAGGCACAGAGAGATGCTCAAGCTGAGAGACATTAGGGCAGGAAGATAAAACTCAAAGAAAGCCTTATCCTGATCACTCTGTGGCCAGAAGACGGGTCAGCAATGCTATTCTTTTTCTTTTTTGATTCTCTCTTTTCTCTGATTCAAACAGCTGGGTTTGTGTAAGTTAAGTGTCTCCATTATACACTTAACATTTTATTTATCAATTCTTATACTCAGGATCAGAATTTGCAATGTACAGCTATATGACTTAAAATGCCAAACATCACAAAGTGTAATAGGATAACTTTTGTTTTTTACAAAGTCTTCATAGATCTCTAAACTGGAATGAGGCAATTACCATCAAGCTTTATCATAACAGCATCTATAGAAACAGAAAGAGGGGAGAGACACAATTGCTTTTTCAGAACTAACTAAATCATTTATGAGGATGTTTCCCCACCTACTGTACTGTCCTCCAAGAAGAGTAGAATAAATGAATGTGGAATAATAGTTCTTTTGTAAAGGATCCCGATACTTCATCAGGCTGCAAGATGCTGCTTTAATGCTCTCAGACCATTCTGGGGAACATGGCACATGAGGTCTTGTCTCTTGTATTCTTTCCCACTGCTGTGCAAGGAGGTTAATCAGACAGGCTAGGGAAAGGGTGGTGGGAATACTTGCTCTGTGAAGGCTGCAGTCAATATTCCAAGTTAAGTTATATATTGGAGAGAAAAATACTCATTATATGGCAGTTTTCTTAGACTTATGTCAGATTATTGCCTTTCAGTTATCAACATACATTTATCTTTGGCACCTTACAATATTATTACTAGGTGGCATATATTTCAAGTGTCTCCTCTCTTCTTAATAAGATTCTGAAGAAACTGTGGTTCTTTCAACAACACATAAACAAACCTTTCCTTTCTTGTTTTGTTTTGTCTTTTTCCTGCAGTGGATGAGTCTCTTTTATTAGTTTTTTTTCCTATTTCAACATTAGAAGATGAATGAAGTCTAGGAATACTTTACTATATTTCAGTATCCGTAGGGCCCAAAATTCAAGTTTAGACTTCTGTAAATGATATTTAAAGTATCATTAACACGGTATAATGAAAAGAACACTTTGTTGTCAGGAGTGTGTGTTTAGGTGGGTGAGAGGATAGCAGGGGAAGAGAGGGTGGGGAAGAGAAATAATCCCAACATGGCCATCCATTGACGCTTGGGGATCAAAGCAAAGATAGAAATCAATCATAGAGTTAAAATCAGGGTTTACTAAGGTAATAGATGTGAAAATGATTCTAGACATTAAAAAATGTTATGTAAATATTTGATATCTTTATTGCAAAAAAGGAAAAAAACATCTAGCCATAAGCAGTTTTGAGATAGTGATAATACATTTTAAGGTGTATTTTTGATCTTTGCAAGCTGTTTATTTCATAAAATTGAACTAAGCTGCCTATTTGGTTAATGTTTATTGATAAATTCAGATCTACTAAAAGGCATGAAGAAGCCAGGCATGGTGGCTCATGCCTATAATCCCAGCACCTTAGGAGGTGAAGGTAGGTGCATAGCTTGAGCCCAGGAGTTGAAGACCAGCCTAGGCAACATGGTGAAACCCCATCTCTACAAAATATACAAAACTTAGCCAGGCATGATAGTGTGTGCCTGTGGTCGCAGCTACTTGAGAGGCTGAAGTGAGCAGATCTCTTGAGCCTGGGAGGCAGAAGTTGCAGTAAGCCAAGGTCTGGCCACTGCACTCAAGCCTGGGAGACAGAGCGATGAGACTCTCATCTCAAATGCTTGTGGTATGTATGTGCGTGTGTGTGTGTGTGTGTGTGTATAATTTAGGGGAATAATACTTAAAGAATATCAATTTTAAAAGCCTATATAGGTAGAAAAGATGATCTAGATAGGGCTGTCTGATTAAAAATAAATTGGGATGGTAATACACAGCCAGTATGAGATTAATTCAATTTTTACATTCAAAATAAGGTAATACTATTTTCTATGCTTTTCTAGACAGAACATCTTTGTAAATGGTAGTCTTTTGACTATTTTAATAACAGCCAGCAGCAAAGGAATTTTGAGAATATCAAGTAAGTAAACTAAAAACAAGAAAGTTTGACTTCCAGTAGAAGCAAAGAACAAAAATTATTCATTTTACAAAGGCTGGCCAAATTGGAATGGCCTTAGACAAGAATCTGTAGGATCTTAAGGAGAAGGAAAAATTGTTTAGAATGTAGTAATGGAATGCAATTAAGGAAAAGAAAATGTAGGCTGAATATCAGAAACAATTTCTTAATAGTCTGTTAGACTGTACATTAGTTTCCCACAGGAAGAAATGGAAGCCTCATTGCCTAAGTCATTTAGAGCTAGTCTGATTCCCGGAGGGTGTGGCAACTCAGAAGGAAATGAAAAATGTAGAGACTGAAAGTCAGTCTAAGTTAATTTTATAGCACCGTGCACTGCTGCCGTAGGTATTGAAAGGGGTGTAAAACCACTGTAATAGACATATTCTATCACTTTAAAATGAATGGTTCACATAGCCACGTACCAGCAGCAGCATCAGATTATGCTGTCAGGTATACCCAGGACTGCCCCTGGCTGAGTGCTAGGACAACACAACAACAGATGTTATTAGAATGTGAAAAGAATGTTAACATGGCTGCAACTTCTGTCACACAGAAAGACATGGGGCTGATTTAGACCATCTAGCTGCCTAAGTATATACTTGCTTCTCCCCTCTTTGCCTCATGTGTCTCCCCCAAAGCTACTGAAGAGCATGGACTTTGTAAAATAGGCTGTTCCAAGACTAAACTTCTAACCTGAAAGTACTTTGGGGATCAACTTGTACTCTTCATTTAACCACATTAATGAGAGGGATCTTCTTGTTTTAGATTGTATGGAACATTTCTTTTAAATGTCTTTTAGTCTTTTCTAATTCCTCCATCTTTCTTCTCCTTACCACGAAGGTGAGATTCTACAGTATAGAAGCACACTTATTTCCCCATGCCAGAAAGAACTTTCCAGATACTTCAGGATCCAGCTAGCATTAATATAAAACAGAATCCAAGATTAATGTAAGACATTGTTATGACTCACAAAGAAAGAAAAAAATGCTGCCTGTAAAACTGTCGCAATACTTTTTCTTAGAAATGTATCTTACGATTATTGGAATAGCTTTTTAAAGACTTTTTATTGTAGATGATTTACCATCATCAAATTTGTGTATATTTTTAAATTGGTGAAATAAATTTCTTAATATATTCCTAAACAATTCCACATTTAGACTGCAACTTTTCTGCATCCTTTCAAATCCAGGGGTTTCAATACTTATCTGTGTTTTATCACTAAAAATGGTCCTCTGTGCCATAAAGAGCATTAGTGATGAAGCCAGAATTTCTTTTAAAAGTGCTCCACTATAGTCTCTGGGATTTTCTCACAAGCTGCTGACACCTGTTCTGCAAAATTTGCTGCTGGCGCTTTCTTGCTTGGCATGTAATAGTCAATAGAAGCAAAAGATAACACATCTTTTTCTCCCTGTGGAGTCTTTCTTTCTTAACTCCAACAAATAACTTTATTTTTGATTTCCAAGAAAATTTTAAAATTTCTTTCATTGCTTTTAGGATAGATATTTGTTTCTGGACTATCAAATATATGTCCCACTGCATGTTTCTGTTTCTTTCTGTACATACAATAATTTTTCATTTTAGTACAGAATCATAATATAATTTTTGAAGACATTTTTAAAGGCAATTAAGCATAATGCCTGTAGTACAAGCATAATTCATTTAAAATGGCAACATGAACAACTATGACCAAATTTGCTTATGTGCAGAAAGTGATGTCTATGTCATAACTGCCACCTGGTTGACAATGACAGGAGGATGTGGAAACTGTATTTTCCAGAAATATCTTTAATCCCTTCTTCTTTTAACATTTTCCCCAGGCCTTATTCACCCCAGCTGGAAAATTTTATTGGTCCTTGAGTTAAAGCTAAGTTATTGAGAAATAACCACTAGTGTCTTTCTTTAAAAAAACTACAGGACTCTTAAAAAAAAAAGTCACTCATGGCAAACATCCTGTTTGAAGAAAACACACAAGTTAGAGTGCTTGAAACTTTGCTTGCCATTTTAAGCATTTTTGTTGCTTGTTATCAGAAGGGCTGTGTTCCCCTCAATACGCTATAAAACTACTTCCTTGTAAAAGGTATTTGAAGAATTTTTGCAAAGGCATTCTTCCTTGCTGTACTCAGTCAATGAGGAGCAAATTTTCATTCCTTCAGATCTCCTCATTGATTTCAATAAATATTATTAATTTTAATATGAATTATTATTCTTCATGGGCTAAACTATGGGGAAAGATGTATCTTAAAATTGATATAATAAAGCATCTGTCATTATATGGCCTTTCTTTCCTATTCATTTCTACTCCAGCTAAAGTCAGGTACCATGTGTGTACTGGGATTCTACTGCCAGTGAATGTTATTTGGATACCACTTCCTTCCTATGAATGATCCCTAGTTACCGCAGGATTAGTGCACATAGTGTGTGTGCGAATACCATATCCACTATTGTTCAAAGTATCTTTAGCAGCTACTAATATTACCAGGGAATATGTATATGCTTAACCTTATAAATTCATGCACCCATTTTCCAGTGAACAAAAGTATATTGAGTACCAACCATGCACTGAATTTAGTCCTCAGAATGAGAAATAACAATGAACAAAACAGGCATGATTTCTGAGCTTTCCACATCTACAGACTTGTTCTATACAAAGTCTTTATGGAATGATGAGGAGCTGTTAGGTAATTCAGATAGCTCCAGATACCCAAGATATGCCCCTGAAATTACTAAGAAAGTGGACCTGAAATTATTCCCAAACAAAAGCATAGGAATAACTGTGATCTGCATCATGGGCACTTTGGAATTGTGTGTATGCACATGTGTATGTGCATGTGTGTGTGTGTACTCATGTCAAAGGATATAGAACACACCCAGAATTCTGGTTGAAAGGCAGAAGACCCAAAGCCTTCTGAAAGAAAGCACTGGAAATGGTGTATTTTTATGTGGGGGCTTCTCAAAATATCATGCAAAGCCTCTTCGTGAAGTTAAAGGGCCAAAAATTGAGGTCATTAGAATCATTTTGCTAATCTCTGTACACTTTAAATAAATTAAATGTTAATAATAATATGTTTTATAGTTTCAGTAGCTAGAGGAGAATATTGAACATCTTCAACACAAACAAATGATAAATAGTTGAGATGATGGATATGCTCGTTACCCTGCTCCAATCATTCTACATTATATATATCACAGTATCATATGTTCCCCATAAATATGTGCAATCATTATGTATCAATTTAAAACTTTTTTAAATTAAAATTAAAAAACTAAATGCAAAACAAAACTATATGGGGGATGTGCATAATTTCTATGCAAAAAAAGAGATAAAAGAAAGAAATTAAATGGAGAGAAAAAAGTACCTATTTAAATTTGCCAGGAAAGTGCTTTTAAGAGACCAAACAATCCCCTTCAAAGCATTCTAAGTTTCAAAAGGGCAAGAAAATTGTTAGTTGAATGTTTAATTAACATTTATTGCAAGCATATTAGTTTTACATGACTCACATTTAGTAATACAGTAGGGTTGTGTTCTTGCTACCATATGTGCACTTTATAGCATATTCAGTCCCCATATATAATCAACACATATGATTCATTTATGCCCATTTTGTAACACTTGGAATATAATTTCCCTATTTCAAATGATTATAAGGGTTTATAGTTCTATCAGTGCTTTCACTGAATTCAGCAACAATTTATTGAGGAAACTAAGTGTAAAGTACTTCGCAAATGATGCTGTGAGAGGCATAAAGATGAAATAGGTGTGCTTTCTATGCTTAAAGAATTTGGAATCTGAAGGGGAGAGTGGGTACGATTATGCATCTGTATGTGTCTTGTGCTGTGCTGGGCAAACAGATAACAAAAAAGAGTATGGGTGGTTGCTACTTTTCAGCAGTTTAACTTTAGTCGGGCATTGGAAATAAATACAAGGGTGTTGAAAAGTTCAGAGGCTAAAGAGATCAGGCAAATTTGCAGAAATGGAAGTGTGTTCGATATGTATTAAGAATAGAATGCAAAAGTTGAGGGAAATGACTAGAAATTAAATCACAGGAGTAGGCAAGGATCTGACAGCTATAGACATCACACGTTATGAAATTTGGAAAAGAATTATGGATAGTCATGGTGAGTTTTAAACTGGGGGATGACACGGGTACCCTTTTGTTGTAGAATTATTATTCTGGTAGGGGTAGAGGGGATAGAGAGACAGACTGAGGAAGATTATGCCACATTTCTTAATCTAATGCATAGAAGAGGTGGGGGGAATGGAGAGGTTAGGATTACGAATTCCTACTAATAGTTCCTCAATTCTATATTTTTCTGGTACACCCCTCTCTAAATCCCCAACCCAGATAACATTATCATTGCTTCTATATGTATGTCTGCTCCATTATTCCCTCATTATAACAAAATTATCCTTTCCATGTTTCATATTTTCCAGTCCAAATCATAGAGGAAGCTGCTCTAACTGATTTAATTAATGTCTTGGTAGCAGCTCTAGAGCCCTACATCCAACTGCTTATTATTGCCTGGATATTTCAAAGGCTTCCCAGGATTTAAAATAGTTAAATACTAATTCATAATTTTGGGCAATTACAAAGTTCCAGCCAATGTGCAAAGCAATTGCTATTCACCGTATCATTAAGAGATCATGTTGAATTTGGAAAGGACCTAGGTATAATGAGGCTCTTTAGTCCTGTCTTGCTTCCTGCAGCTATGCTGTCCTAATTCCAGGGCTAGTATATCATTATCATAAACCATAAGCTCCTTTCGCTGAAGTTGGTGTGATGTTTAATTTTATGTGTCAACGGAAGGCATTAGTACCCAGTAACTTAATCAAATACTAATCTAGGTGTTGCTGTGAAGCTATTTTGTAGATGTGGTTAACATATACAGTCAGTTGACTTTAAGTAAAGCAGATTAATCTTGATAATTTCTTTGGGCCTCATCCAACCAGTTGAAGTCCTTAAGAGCAAAAACTTAACTTTCCTGAAAAAGAAAAAATTATGTATCAAGATTTTAAGGTGGATATCCTGCTCATGTTTCCAGCCTGCCAGCCTGCCCTACAAACTTCAAACTCAAGACAGCAAGAAAAATTCATACCTGTGTTTTCAGCCTGCTGATCTGCCCTACAGATTTTGAATTTACCAGCTCAGTGCCCACAATTACATGAGCCAGTTTCTTTGAATAAATCAATATATTTGAGATATATGTGTGTATATATGTATAGACATGTATGTGTATGTATATGTGTATATATATATGTGTGTGAAACGTATGTATGTGTATAAAAAATGATTGCTCTATATACACTTATTGCTATTTGTTCTGTTTCCTTTAGGAACCCTGACTGATAGAGTTGGCTTAGCCACCTGACCTAAGGATTCTTTCCCTAAGGAGAAGAGTGGGGAGGAAAAATAGGGAAGATATTGCATCTATTCCAAGCAAAGTGTGGCATGGGACCCAAAGATCGAAAATGTTTGGAATTAACTTATCCTGACAGTGGTTCCTATTCTTTTCAATTTCTGGATCTACTCGTCTCTTTTATTATGTAGCCTATCTCATATTCTTCCATTGGATCTAAATTTCCATGAGAAATAAAAATCAATTTTTACGTGCTAATTACACCATATATTTTCATGAGATATGTGTAACAGTTGTCTTTAGTTAAATGTATAGTAAACTTATTTTAGATATATTTAGATACTAATGTAGAAAACAAGTACCTTTTTATCTCTTTCACATTTATACACTATTTACATCTAAATGAAAGATATTAAGTGTTCCAATTTCCATAGGTGCCTTTTTTTTTAAGATGGAGTCTCACTCTGTTGCCCAGTCTGGAGTGCAGTGGTGCCATCTCGGCTAACTGCAACCTCTGCCTCCCAGGTTCAAGCAATTCTCCTGCCTCAGCCTCCTGAGTAGCTGGGACTACAGGTGTCTGCCACCAGGCCCAGCTAATTTTTGTATTTTTAGTAGAGATGGGGTTTCACCATGTTGGCCAGGATGGTCTCCATTGGTGACTTTTTTATTAGTGTTTTATTTGCAGGGTAAAATGTTCACAACCATTCCTAAATATAAAACACAGAGGCACTATTTTTTCTCCCCATGACTTCCATCTTAATGCTACATTCAAAAGCAGGAAAAACTTTTTATATACATTGAAACCCTGTGGGTAATGATCCTAAAAAAATGTTAGCCATTCTCTCTAGTGCCACCCCAGGGAAGGAGTGGTGAAAGTAGGGGAAAAATTGATTATATAGATATTCTATAGATTAATACTGCTACAATAAAAGCTAACAACAGGAAGATAACATTTAAATTATTAAATTAGTTCAATGGAGGCCAATCAAGTGTCTCATATGCTATTCAAAGGCAACATAACTGCTGCTCTTCATAAATGTTTCAGAATGGTTTATCACTATCAGTAGAGTTGCAGATTTAAGCAGCATGTTTCTGTGGCAAGAGGCACAAAGGAGAATCATGCATTTTTGAATGCTAATCCTGGATGTTTCATGTGCTTTGGACACTGATTCCATATCCATTTAAAAAATTATGATGGTAAATGACATTTTTAAAGCTTTAAAAAACACAGTGATAAGTAGAATATTGAAAAGTAGAAATGAAGAAATAGGAACTCCTAAAATTGGAAGGTGATATAAGGCACAACACTGAACCCCACTCTGCCCCTACTCACAACTTTTTGGAAATAATAATTCTTTTGATAACTTAAGTATATATCTGCATGTGTTGGACTAGAGCAGAACTTTGTAAAGTCACTTCAAAGAAAAAAAAATAGCCTGTAGTTAAGATCTCCAGTTGAGAAGAGTTGACTGTTAACATTCAAAAGTTATTAAAAATTTTAAAATAAACCGATTACAATCCAAAGAGGTTTAGCTTCTCTTTCTATTTTGTTTCTTGATCTGAATACTATTTTTAAAAGTTCCTTAGGCTAAAATGTCATCAAAGGTGGCTTCGTTGTCATAAGATCTGGTGGTCGCACTGAGTCCTGTGCTCGGAAGAGCCCCACACTTGATTTATTGCTCTGCTGAGAATGTCTTCAAATTCTTAATAATTTTATGTTTGAATTTGTGTTTTGCAAGTGAAGTCTGGTGGGATAATGGAGTATGTGTGCAGGCAGGGGAGACACATATATGGAAAATGTGTTCCTGCCATTCCTTGCTTCTTCATTCCCATAGAGTATTCATTATGCCCATGTGAGCACAGAAATATTGTGGACTCAGAGTGTGGAGCAGTTCAGGGAGACACAAAGCAAATCAATGAATGCCTGTTACATCATGACTGAGTAAGCAGGAGCACAGGCAATCCTGAGAGGCTACATTTCCATTTGAACCAGAACTTGATTCAAATGCACAAAGAAGGCAATGACATTCTAAGAAAATAAACCACCATGAAACTCTGCCATATTCTTTCTTACTCATTACTTTAAGGTATTTGCCAACCAGCTACAATAAAAATGATATAGAAGAAAATGATATAGAAGAAAAGAGAAGGAGCTACTCATAGTTACTTTTTCTTTCCTTCTGTACTCAATAGTAAGCCTGAGGTAGACAGTATTGTTAGAATGTGTGCATATCAAGAACTGAAATAAAAATAACCGAGTTAGTTTTATGCAGTGTTTTCAACTGCCTGTTAACAGCAAAATATACATGCATGTACAAAGTATAAAATACAAATTGTATAATTCCAGTGATTCTACTTAAATGGTTAACAGTTTTACATTTGCATTTAAAACTGGCATTACACAATATAAATGTGGGTGGCAAAGTTCATGCTAATGAATAAAATTTTTATTTTTTTTTACGTAAAGCAACTTCAAAGAGCAAATTTAAACATACACACACACCTCATAACAAGTCATGGAAGAGGCCACAGAAGAAAGGAAAAACATTTTTAGATTTTTAGTATCCCTTATGTAAATATTTTTCTGCATTTTGAACAAATGGTGTCACATTTTCATTTGGCACTGAGTCCCACAAATTATGCAGTCAACCCTGAATGTCATCAGCTTTTTTCATACTTCGTCACTCATTTGGCTAATACAGACCTTATAGGCAATTTCTTTTTGGTTTTCATAAGAATTGCCTTCCTATTGGTCTCAGCTTGATCTCCCATTCTGATCCCACATGTTCAAATTTTGTGGGTTGCTTTGTTTTATTTTTCTTTCCATCTGAGTATAAGATGTCACATTCAAATCTTTTAATCTTGTTATAATTCCCATTGGCAAAATTGATTTTGTATTAATTAACTCTACTATAGTAACAATTGGAACAATGGAAGCAGACATTTATCAAAATAAGAGTAAACTCAGAGCTAGCCCTCCTCATTTTGGCAAAATATCTTTATTTCCAAAAGATCTTTTACTCCAATTCAGTGTTCTATGCTGCCAAAGATAGTTCTTTCTTTGTCTTGCATTTATATTTCTTTCCCTAAAATTCACAAGAATTTTATTCATAATATTTTGGATTGCTCCAATGACACAAATGGTGTCTATTACTTGTCTCACATTTAATCACTAATTATATGCATAAAGTATAATACAGCAGTTTTCCAGCTGTGTACAACAACCCATGATGCCAATCTTTAAGAACTAATATAGTTTTTCCTACTTTAATCCATTTAATTAAAAAACTCCAAAATTATTTCCAAATAATGTTAATAAGTATGTATGTGCTTTACATTGTAATTGGATATTGTTTATTGGTTGTATATTTACATTCTTTACATCTCTTTTCCTGATACATACATTTATTTTTACTGACGCAAAGAGTAAAACATGTACCCACTTAAATAAATGTTACTTAACAGTTTATTACCAGCTAAATAACAATTGAAGAATTTATTTATGATGAAGTGCCAAAGACAGTACTTTATAAAATAACCTTTGCTCAACAGACATTCGAAGAATTTCGAACTGACCAATTGTATAATCTTGGACAAGTTACTTAACTACTAAGGTTTCTACCTTCCTTCTTTGTTAAATAAAGTTAATAGCAGTGCCTAACTTGAACTTTTGTTAGAAGCATGGTTGTTACATCATAAGCATTTAATAAATATTTGATAATATCTGCTCATTATTATTATTGGTGGTGGTGATGTAGTTATTAGTCTTATCATGTGTAGCTAATTGCTACAAATGTCATTTTTTCTTTCTTCCTGGATAATGTAAGTTGAATTTGGAAATAAAGCAGTGATGTGTTCACTTCAGGTAATGGACCATTATTAGTCTTAGGCAGGAATAATAATCTTGTTTCTCACTCTTGCTTAATTTCCCAATATCCCTTGCAGCAAGGGCAGCCAAAGGATCTAAGTTAGGCAAATAAGATTTACACAGAAATTTTCTGATGGTGTTTCTGAGAAGGTACTTAATTACCTTGTAAAAGAAGACAGATGTGCCTGGCATAGTCCCTTACCTCTTCTATTTGCCTTCCTTGAATGTGAATCAGATGCAGCAGCCATCTTTTGACAAGTCATGAGGATAAAAGCCAACACACTCACCATGGCAAGCAAAGAAACCGAAAAAGCCTGCGTGTCCGATGACATAACTGAGCAGTGAGGCAGAGTTCAGGTACATCCTATGTCTGCTAAGGGATACATAATGGCATCATTTAAAATACTTTGGATGCTTCTAATAACTTATTCTTCATGATTTTTCAGATAAATAATTTTGTTTTCAGTGTATAATTATAATAGCATGTAGTAAATGGGAAATAGTCATAGAAATGATTTTAAAGGGAAAAGTGAGTTACATCTAGTATGTCTTCCAGATGAATTTAGATGATTGTCTTGTAAAACTGGCTGAATACAAACTCTTAGAAATTTTAAGATGGGCTGGATATTGTCTACTTACTATAGGACATACAAGAGTCATTTAATTTAAACAATTACACATTATTATAAAGAATTATTTTTAAACTTATAGGGCAATGGTTCTCAACTGATTGCACCTTTGCATTTGACAATGCATAAATAAATTTTTGGTTGTTACACTGGAGGGAATTCTACTTGCATCTAGTATGTCTAGCCAGATATTTCCTCCCAACAAAGAATTATCCTGTCCAAATGCCAAAAGTGCCAAAATACTTGCAAATAATTTGGAATGCATCTATTGGGAATGTTAAGGGTTGTCCTTATAAAGATTAAATTAATTAAACTATTTCTTATAGTCATAGTTAATGGCCAGATTATACCTGTGACAAAGTTAGTGCCAAATTTGAGGACTCTTAATATTTTTTTAGTTGAAATGATATCATTTAAAAATAGTTTTAATTAGTTGGCTACAGATGAGAGCAAAATATGAAACAATCACTACACACAGTAGAAATCTGAGATAAAACAAATAGACCATCTGATGTTCAAAGGGCTTCTACCCTGCTGACTGTTGAAGAACTTTTGTTATTATTTCTGCAACCTTATCTCCTGAAAATTTTATACCTTTATGACACAATAATACAAGTTTAGAAGTTAAAAATATTTTCTTACCTTGGGCAGTATGGCCATTTTCATGATATTGATTCTTCCTACCCATGAGCATGGAATGTTCTTCCATTTGTTTGTATCCTCTTTTATTTCATTGAGCTGTGGTTTGTAGTTCTCCTTGAAGAGGTCCTTCACATCCCTTGTAAGTTGGATTCCTAGGTATTTTATTCTCTTTGAAGCAATTGTGAATGGGAGTTCACTCATGATTTGGCTCTCTGTCTGTTGTTGGTGTATAAGAATGCTTGTGATTTTTGTACATTGATTTTGTATCCTGAGACTTTGCTGAAGTTGCTTATCAGCTTAAAGAGATTTTGGGCTGAGACAATGGGGTTTTCTAGATATACAATCATGTCGTCTGCAAACAGGGACAATTTGACTTCCTCTTTTCCTAATTGAATACCCTTTATTTCCTTCTCCTGCCTAATTGCCCTGGCCAGAACTTCCAAGACTATGTTGAATAGGAGTGGTGAGAGAGGGCATCTCTGTCTTGTGCCAGTTTTCAAAGGGAACTCTTCTAGTTTTTGCCCATTCAGTATGATATTGGCTGTGGGTTTGTCATAGATAGCTGTTATTATTTTGAGATATGTCCCATCAATACCTAATTTATTGAGAGTTTTTAGCATGAAGTGTTGTTGAATTTTGTCAAAGGCCTTTTCTGCATCTATTGAGATAATCATGTGGTTTTTGTCTTTGGTTCTGTTTATGCTGGACTACATTTATTGATTTGGGTATACTGAACCAGCCTTGCATCCCAGGGATGAAGCCCACTTGATCATGGTGGACAAGCTTTTTGATGTGCTGCTGGATTTGGTTTGCCAGTATTTTATTGAGGATTTTTGCATCAATGTTCATCAAGGATATTGGTCTAAAATTCTCTTTTTTGGTTGTGTCTCTGCCCGGCTTTGGTATCAGGATGATGCTGGCCTCATAAAATGAGTTAGGGAGGATTCCCTCTTTTTCTATTGATTGGAATAGTTACAGAAGGCATGGTACCAGTTCCTCCTTGTACCTCTGGTAGAATTCGGCTGTCAGTCCATCTGGTCCTGGACTCTTTTTGGTTGGTAAGCCATTGATTATTTCCACAATTTGAGATCCTGTTATTCGTCTATTCAGAGATTCAACATCTTCCTGGTTTAGTCTTGGGAGAGTGTATGTGTCGAGGAATTTATCCATTTCTTCTAGATTTTCTAGTTTATTTGCGTAGAGGTGTTTGTAGTATTCTCTGATGGTAGTTTGTATTTCTCTGGGATCGGTGGTGATATCCCCTTTATCATTTTTTATTGTGTCTATCTGATTCTTCTCTCTTTTTTTATTTATTAGTCTTGCTAGCAGTCTATCAATTTTGTTGATCCTTTCAAAAAACCAGCTCCTGGATTCATTAATTTTTTGAAGGGTTTTTTTGTGTCTCTATCTCCTTCAGTTCTGCCTGATTTTAGTTATTTCTTGCCTTCTGCTAGCTTTTGAATGTGTTTGCTCTTGCTTTTCTAGTTCTTTTAATTATGATGTTAGGGTGTCAATTTTGGATCTTTCCTGCTTTCTCTTGTGGGCATTTAGTGCTACAAATTTCCCTCTACACACTGCTTTGAATGCATCCCAGAGATTCTGGTATGTTGTGTCTTTGTTCTCGTTGGTTTCAAAGAATATCTTTATTTCTGCCTTCATTTCGTTATGTACCCAGTAATCATTCAGGAGCAGGTTGTTCAGTTTCCATGTAGTTGAGCAGTTTTGAGTGAGATTCTTAATCCTGAGTTCTAGTTTGATTGCACTGTGGTCTGAGAGATAGTTTGTTATAATTTCTGTTCTTTTACATTTGCTGAGGAGAGCTTTACTTCCAAGTATGTGGTCAATTTTGGAATAGGTGTGGTGTGGTGCTGAGAAGAATGTATATTCTGTTGATTTGGGGTGGAGAGTTCTGTAGATGTCTATTTACAGATTCAATACCATCCCCATCAAGCTACCAATGACTTTCTTCACAGAATTGGAAAAAACTACTTCAAAGTTCATAAGGAACCAAAAAAGAGCCCGCATCACCAAGTCAATCCTAAGCCAAAAGAACAAAGCAGGAGGCATCATGCTACCTGACTTCAAACTATAATACAAGGCTACAGCAAACAAAACAGCATGGTACTGTTACCAAAACAGAGATATAGATCAATGGAACAGAACAGAGCCCTCAGAAATAATGTCACATATCTACAACTATCTGATCTTTGACAAACCGGAGAAAAACAAGCAATGGGGAAAGGATTCCCTATTTAATAAATGGTGCTGGGAAAACTGGCTAGCCATATGTAGAAAGCTGAAACTGGATCCCTTCCTTACACCTTTTACAAAAATTAATTCAAGATGGATTAAAGACTTACATGTTAGACCTAAAACCATAAAAACCCTAGAAGAAAACCTAGGCATTACCATGCAGGACATAAGCATGAGCAAGGACTTCATGTCTAAAACACCAAAAGCAATGGCAACAAAAGCCAAAATTGACAAATGGGATCTAATTAAACTAAAGAGCTTCTGCACAGCAAAAGAAACTACCATCAGAGTGAACAGGCAACCTACAAAATGGGAGAAAATTTTCGCAACCTACTCATCTGACAAAGGGCTAATATCCAGAATCTACAATGAACCCAAACAAATTTACAAGAAAAAAACAAACAACCCCATCAAAAAGTGGGCAAAGGACATGAACAGACACTTCCCAAAAGAAGACATTTATGCAGCCAAAAAACACATGAAAAAGTGCTCACCATCACTGGCCATCAGAGAAATGCAAATCAAAACCACAATGAGATACCATCTCCCACCAGTTAGATGGTGATCATTAAAAAGTCAGGAAACAACAGGTGCTGGAGAGGATGTGGAGAAATAGGAACAGTTTTACACAGTTGGTGGGACTGTAAACTAGTTCAACCATTGTGGCAGTCAGTGTGGAGATTCCTCAGGGATCTAGAACTAGAAATACCATTTGACCCAACCATCCCATTACTGGGTATATACCCAAAGGACTATAAATCATGCTGCTATAAAGACACATGCACACGTACGTTTTTTGTGGCATTATTCACAATAGCAAAGACTTGGAACCAACCCAAATGTCCAACAATGACAGACTGGATTAAGAAAATGTGGCACATATACACCATGGAATACTATGCAGCCATCAAAAATGATGAGTTCATGTCCTTTGTAGGGACATGGATGAAATTGGAAATCATCTCTCAGTAAACTAGCACAAGAACAAAAAACCAAACAACTCATATGCTCACTCATAGGTGGGAATTGAACAGTGAGAACACATGGACACAGGAAGGGGAACATCACACTCTGGGGACTGTTGTGGGGTGGGGGGAGGGGGGAGGGATAGCATTGGGAGATATACCTAATGCTAGATGACTAGTTAGTGGGTGCAGCGCACCAGCATGGCACATGTATACATATGTAACTAACCAGCACATTGTGCACATGTACCCTAAAACTTAAAGTATAATAATAATAAATAGACAAATAAATAAATAAATAAATAAATAAATAGAAAGAAAATGTGGCACATATACACCATGGGATACTATGCAGCCATAAAAAAGGCTGAGTTCTTGTCCTTTGCAGGGACATGGATGAAGCTGGAAACCATCATTCTGCACAAACTATCACAAGGACAGAAAACCAAAGACTGCATATTCTCACTCATAGCTGGGAATTGAACAATGAGAACACTTGGATGCAGGGTGGCGAACATCACATGGGGGCCTGTTATGGGGTTGGGGGGCTGGGGGAGGGATAGCATTAGGAGATATACCTAATGTAAATGATGATTTAATGGGTGCAGCACACCAACATGGCACATGTATACATATGTAAGAAACCTGCACATTGTGCACATGTATCCTAGAACTTAAAGTATAATAATAATAAAAAAAGAGAATGGTAAAAAAAAAATTCTTATACTTTGATTGTATCTATTGTCATACATATATTGTATTAATTAGATGACTAGTAATAGTTTACATTGCAGCCAAAAACTTAGAGGTGCTACCATAATCTAATGCAGGAACAGAATTGGAACCTCAGGCATGGAGGAGATCAAGTTTGCTAGGTAAATTTTAGTGCTAAGAAATATAAAAATATATGGACACATATTTTTTATTTCATTTTTCAGTATCTTCTTTCCATTTCTGTACTTTTGGCTCTTCTGGAATAGCAAAATATTCTATTTTTGTCTTCCTAAAAAATGTATGATACCATACACAGAATAACTGCTTTTTATTAAGGAGTTGAGCTACATTCATCACTCATTATTTTGTGACACTGGAGTCACTCTCTCAGAATTTTGTATAATAAAGATTGCAATAATTATTAAATGAGATTATGCAAGCAAAAAAGTGCTTCATTTTCTACCTGGCACAGAATGAGGTTCTCAATAATGCTAAGTTACTTTTCTCTCTGCTGTGGCATTCTTGCTCCTGTAGAAGTGCTTACAATAATTCATGGTTCAGTTGGGCACGGTGGCTCACGCCTGTAATCCCAACAATTTTAGAGGCCAAGGTGGGCGGATCACCTGAGATCAGGAGTTTGAGACCAGCCTGTAGTAGAAACTTCGTCTCTACTAAAAATACTAAAAATAGCCAGGTGTGGTGCTGTGTGCCTGTAATTCCAGCTACTCTGGAGGCTGAGGCAGGAGAATCTCTTGAACCTGGGAGGTGGAGGTTGCAGTGAGCCAAGATCTTGCCACTGCACTCCAGCCTGGGTGACAGAGCAAGACTCCATCCACCGCCTCCCCCAAAAAAAGAAAAAAAAAATACAGGTGACAGAAGGGTGGGTGGCAAGATGGCTGAATAGGAACAGCTCCGGTCTGCAGCTCCCCACGAGATCAATGAAGAAGGGGGTGATTTCTGCAATTCCAACTGAGGTATCCAGCTCATCTCATTAGGACTGGTTAGACAGTAGGTGCAGCCCACGGAGGGCAAGACAAAGCTTAATGGGGCATGGCCTCACCCAGGAAGTGCAAGGGGTGGGGGAACTCCCTCGCCTGGCCAAGGGAAGCCGTGAGGGACTGTGCCATGAGAAATGGTGCATGCTAGCCCAGATAGTTGGCTTCTCCCATGGTCTCCACAACCCACAGACCAGTAGATTCCCTTGGTTGCCTACAGCACCAGGGCCCTGGGTTTCAAGCATAAAACTGGGAAGCCACTTGGGAAGACACTGAGCTAGCTGCAGGTATTTTTTTTTCATACCCCTGTGGCACCTGGAACTCCAGCGAGACATAAGTGTTCACTCCCCTAAAAGGGGGGCTGAAGTCAGGGAGCCAAGTAGTCTAGCTCAGCAGATCCCACCCCCATGGAGCTCAGCAAGCTAAGATCCACTGGCTTGAAATTCTTGCTGCCAGCCCAGTAGTCTGAAGTTGGCCTGGGATGCTCAAGCTTGGGGGTGAGAGGGGCATCCACCATTACTGAGGCTTGAGTAGGCAGTTTTCCCCTCACAGTGTAAACAAAGCTACCAGGAAGTTTGAACTGGGCAAAGCCCACCGCAGCTTGGCAAAGTCACTGTAGCCAGACTGCCTCTCTAGATTTCTCCTCTCTGGGCAGAGCATCTCTAAAAGAAAGGCAACAGAACCAGTCAAAAGCTTATACATCAACCTCTCACCTCCCTGGGACAGAGCACCTGGGAGAAGGAGTGGCTGTGGGCACAGCTTTGGAAGACTTAAATGTTCCTGCCTACCAGCTCTGAAGAGTGCAGCAGATCTCCCAGCACAGTGCTCTAGCTCTGCTAAGGGACAGACTGCTTCCTCAAGTGGGTCTCTGACCCTGCATACCTCCTGATGGAGAGACACTTCCCAGCAGGGGTTTAAAAGACAAGTCATATAGGAGAGCTCCGGCAGGCATCTGGTGGGTGCCCTTCTGGGATGAAGCTTCCAGAGGAAGGAACAGGCAGTAATCTTTGATGTTCTGCAGCCTCCGCTGGTGACACTCAGGAAAACAGGGTCAGCCTGACTGTTAGAAGTAAAACTAACAAACAAAAAGGAATAGCATCAACATCAACAAAAAGGATGTCCACACAAAAACCCCATCCGAAGATCACCAACATCAAAGACCAAAGGTAGATAAATCCATGAAGATGAGGAAAAACTGGTGCAAAAAGGCTGAAAATTCCAAAATCCAGAAGCCCTCTTTTTCCCCAAAGGATCACAACTCCTCACCAGCAAGGGAACAAAACTGGTTGGAAAATGAGTTTGATGAATTGACAGAAGTAGGCTTCAGAAGGTGGATAATAACAAACTCCTCTGAGCTAAAAGAGCATGTTCTAAACAAATTCAAAGAAGCTAAGAATCTTGAAAAAATGTTCGAATAATTGTTAACTAGAATAACCAGTTTAGAGAAGAACATAAATGACCTGCTTGAGCTGAAAAAAACAGCACGAGAATTTTGCGAAGCATACACAGGTATCAATAACCGAATCGATCAAGCAGAAGAAAGGATATCAGAGATTGAAGATCAACTTAATAAAATAAAGCATGAAGACAAGATTAGAGAAAAAAGAATAAAACGGAATGAATGAAGCCTCCAAGAAATATGGGACTATGTGAAAGACCAAACCTATGTTTGATTGGTGTACTTGAAGGTGATGGGGAAAATAGAACCAAGTTGGAAAACACTTCAGGATATTATCCAGGAGAAGTTCCCCAACCTAGAAGACAGGCCAACATACAAATTCAGGAAATACAGAGAACACCACAAAGATGCTCCTCGATAAAAGCAACCCCAAGACACACAATTGTCAGATTCACCAAGGTTGAAATGAAGGAAACAATGTTAAGGGCAGCCAGAGAGAAAGATCAGGTAACCCACAAAGGGAAGCGCATCAGACTAACAGCGGATCTCTCTGCAGAAACCTGACAGGACAGAAGAGACTGGGGGCCAATATTCAACATTCTTAAAGAAAAGGATTTTCAACCCAGAATTTCATATCCAGCCAAATTGAGCTTCATAAGCAAAGGAGAAATAAAATCCTTTACAGACAAGCAAATGCTGAGAGATTTTATTACCACCGGTCCTTCCTGAAGAAAGGAAATATGGAAAGGAAAAACTGGTACCAGCCACTGCAAAAACATACCAAATTGTAAAGACCATCGACACTATGAAGAAACTGCATCAACTAATGGGCAAAGGAACCAGCTAGCATCATAATCACAGGATCAAATTAACATATAACAATATTAAACTTAAGTGTAAATGGACTAAATGTCCCAATTAAAAAACATAAAGTAGAAAATTGTATAAAGAGTCATGACCCATCAGTGTGCTGTATTCAGGACACCCATCTCACATGCAAAGACAGACATAGGCTCAAAATAAAGAGATGGAGAAATATTTACCAAGCAAATGGAAAGGAAAAAAAAAAGAAGGGGTTGCAGTCCTAGTCTCTGATAAAACACACTTAAACCAACAAGTTCAAAAGAGACAAAGAAGGGCATTACAAAATGGTAAAGGGATCAATGCAACAAGAAGAGCTAACTATCCTAAATATATATGCAACCAATAAGGAACACCCAGATTCATAAAGCAAGTTCTTGGAGACCTACACAGAGACTTAGACTCCCACACAATAATAGTGGGAGACTTTAATAGCCTGCTGTCAATATTAGACAGATCAATGAGACAGAAAATTAACAAGGATATTCAGGAGTTGAACTCAGCTCTAGACCAAGCAGACCTAATAGACATCTACAGAACTCTCCACCAAAAATCAACAGAATATACATTCTTCTCAGCACCACATCACACTTATTCTAACACTGACCACATAATTGGAAGTAAAACACTCCTCAGCAAATGCAAAAGAACGGAAATCAAAGAACAGTCTGTCAGAACACAGTGCAATCAAAGTAGAACTCAGGATAAGAAACTCACTCAAAACTGCCCAATTACATGAAAATTGAACAACCTGCTCCTGAATGACTACTGGGAAAATAATGAAATTAAGGCAGAAATAAATAAATTCTTTGAAACCAATGAGAACAAAGACACAACACAGCAGAATCTCTGGAACACAGATAAAGCAGTGTTTAGATGGAAAATTTATAGCACTAAACGCCCACAGGAGAAAGTCAGAAAGATCTAAAATCGACACCCGAACATCACAATTAAAAGAACTAGAGAAACAACAGCAAACAAATTCAAAATCTAGCAGGAGACAAGAAATAACTAAGATCAGAGCAGAACTCAAGGACATGGAGACATGAAAAACCCTTCAAAAATCAATAAATCCAGGGGCTGGTTTTTTGAAAAGATTAACAAAATTGATAGACTGCTAGCCAGACTAATAAAGGAGAAAAGAGTGAAGAATCAAATAGAAACAATAAAAAATGATAAAGGGGATATCACCACTGATCCCACAGAAATACAAACTACCATGAGAGAATACTATAAACACCTTTGTGCAAATAAACTAGAAAATCTAGAAGAAATGGATAAATTCCTGGACACATACACACTCCCAATACTAAACCTGGAAGAAGTCAAATCCCTGAATAGACCAATAACAAGTTCTGAAATTGAGGCAGTAATTAATAGCCCACCAACCAAAAAAAGCCCAGGACCAGATGGATTCACAGCCAAATTCTTCCAGAGGTACAAAGAGGAACTGGTACCGCTCTTTCTGAAACTATTCCAAACAATAGAAAAAGAGGGAATCCTCCCTAACTCATTTTATGAGGCCAGCATCATCCTGACACCAAAACCTGGCAGAGACACAACAAAAAAAGAAAATTTCAGGCCATTACCCTGATGAACATTGATGCAAAAATCCTCAATAAAATACTGGCAAACCGAATCCAGCAGCACATCAAAAAGCTTATCCACAATGATCAAGTCGGCTTTATCCCTGGGATGCAAGGCTGGTTCAACATACACCAATTGATAAACATAATCCACCACAGAAACAGAACCAAGGACAAAAAACACATGATTATCTCAATAGATGTAGAAAAGACCTTTGACAAAATTCAACACCCCTTCATGCCAAAAACTCTCAATAAACTAGGTATCAATGGAAAGTATCTCAAAATAATAAGAGCTACTTATGACAAACCCTCAGCCAATATCATATTGAATGGGCAAAAGCTGGAAGTATTACCTTTGAAAACCAGCAAAAGACAAGGATGCCCTCTCTCACCACTCCTATTCAACACAGTATTGGAAGTTCTGGCCAGGGCAATCTGGCAAGCGAAAGAAATAAAAGGTATTTAAACAGGAAGAGAAGAAGCCAAATTGTCTCTGTTTTCAGATAACATGACTGTATATTTAGAAAACCCCATCATCTCAGCTCAAAATCTCCTTAAGCTGACAAGCAACTTCAGCAAAGTCTGAGGATACAAAATCAATGTGCAAAAATCACAAGCAGTCATATACACTAATAATAGTCAAATCCTGAGTGAGCTCCCATTCACAATTACCACAAAGAGAATAAAATACCTAGGAATACAATTTACAAGGGATGTGAAGGACCTCTTCAAGGAGAACTAATATCCACTGCTCAAGTAAATAAAAGAGGACACAAACAAATGGAAAAATATTCCATGCTCATGGATAGGAAGAATCAATATTGTGAAAATGTCCATACTTCCCAAAGTAATTTATAGATTCAATGCTATCCCCATCAATCTACCACTGACTTTCTTCACAGAATTAGAAAAAAACTATTTTAAATTTCATTTGGCACAAAAAAGAGCGCGCATAGCCAAGAAAATTCTAAGCAAAAAGAACAAAGCTGGAAGCATCATGTTACCTGACTTCAAACTATACTACAAGCCTACAGTAACCAAAACAACATGGTACTGGTATCAAAACAGATATATAGACCAATGGAAAAGAACAGAGGCCTCAGAAATAACACCACACATCTACAACCATCTGATCTTTGACGAACCTGACACAAACAAGCAACAGGGAAAGGATTCCCTATTTAATAAATAATAGGAAAACTGGCTAGCAATATGCAGAAAACTGAAACTGGAACCCTTCGTTACACCTTATACAAAAATTAACTCAGGATGGATTAAAGACTTAAATGTAAGACCTAAAACCATAAAAACCCTGGAAGAAAACCTAGGCAATACCATTCAGGACATAGGCATGGGCAAAGACTTCATGTCTAAAACACCAAAAGCCATGGCAACACAACCTAAAATTAACAAATAGGATCTAGTTAAACTAAAGAGCTTCTGCACAGCAAAAGAAACTATCATCAGAGTGAACAGGCAAACTACAGAATGGGAGAAACATTTACAATCTATCCATCTGACAAAGGGCTAATATCCAGAATCTACAAGGAACTTAAACAAATTTACAATAAAAACAAACAACCCCATCAAAAAGTGGGCAAAGGATATGAACAGACACTTCTCAAAAGAAGATATTTATGTAGCCAATAAACATATGAAAGAAAGCTCATCATCACTGGTCATTAGAGAAATGCACATAAAAACCACAATGAGATACCATCTCATGCCACTTAGAATGGCAATTATTAAAAAGTCAGGAAACAACAGCAGATGCTGGAGAATGTGGAGAAATAGAAACGTTTTTACACTCTTGGTGGGAGTGTAAATTAGTTCAACTATTGTGGAAGACAATGTGGCGATTCCTCAAGGTTCTAGAACCAGGAATACCATTTGACCCAGCAATCCCATTACTGGATATGTACCCAAAGGATTATAAATCATTCTACTATAAAGACACATGAACACACATGTTTATTGCAGCACTAATCGCAATAGCAAAGGCTTGGAACCAACCCAAATGCCAATCAATAATAGACTGGATAAAGAAAGTGTGGCACATAAATACCATGGAATATGGTGCAGCCATAAAAAAGGGTGAGTTCATGTCCTTTGCCGGGATATGGATGAAGCTGGAAACCATCATTTTTCAGCAAACTAAGACAGGAATAGAAAACAATACACCACATGTTCTCACTCACAAGTGGAAGCTGAACAATGATAACACATGGAGAGAGCAAGGGGAACATCACACATGGGGACTTTTGGGGGTTTGGTGGCTAGGGGAGGGATAGCATTAGGAGAAATACCTAATGTAGATGACGGTTTGATGGGTGCAGCAAACCATCATGGCACATGTATACTTATGTAACAAACCTGCACATTCTGTACATGTATCCCAGAACTTGATGTATAATTAAAAAAAAAAAAAAGACTTCCTGCAAAAAAAAAAAAAAAGAGAGAGAAAGGATATGTAAAATGTTTTAAAAGGAAAGCCAGTGTTTCTAAAAAAAAAATCAAATACTTGAAAGGCTCATCTATGCCCATAAAGTATCTCTTCTCTGCACTGTCCCCTCGTAATTTACTCACTTGTGCAAGTTAAAGAATGGAAAGTAGTAGAATGAGTAGCTCAGAGAGGAGGAGCTGCATGAGAAGATGAACCAGGGAAATCATGGAATGGGACTGCCCTCTCTGAGGCCTTTTCCTTGCTGTTTATAATGATAGCGGGCATTGTGACTTCTCAAACACTATCTCTGGTGGTAGTACCATAAAAACTTTTTATCAACAGTAAACGTCCGTGGACTCTTGAGTATAGCTGGCCTTGATAGCTAAACACTGTTTACTTATCATCTTTGCTTGGCCATGGTCATCTCCTTACACTCCAGTTGTCTCTACAGACATATGTTTGATCCTTGTGAAATTCATAATGAAAAGTTTGCTTGATCATTAAAAAAAATTTCACAAGTAGTGATTTACCTCTGGGAAGGCAGTTGTGTCTGAATGTGCTGATATTATGCAATCTCCATAATATATTATTAAATGAAAAAAACAATAGACATAGGAACTTATTGTGTATGCTCTCATATGCATACAATGGGGTATATGTGTATGTATGTATATATATTTGGATATCTATCTACCTATCTTCTTGGCCACAAATAGATTATCTTTTTGAAGGATTCAGGAGAAACTGTTGGTGATCACCTTTGAGTAGGGCTTAAAGTTCTGCGAATGAGGTTCATTTTTCCAGCATGCCATTTATTCTAGTTGAGTTTTTGACAGTGTAAATGAATTATTTTCCCGTTAATAAAAAGTTGGTTAATAATAAAACATGTATTTCATTACTTTAGTTGAGATATTGAATATTTTCTTCTTCATCAGAAATTTACATTAGTCTAATTATTTTTAATTATTTTTAGGTAGCACCACTAATACAATGGGATTTCATAACAAATGTTACTCTTTGTTTTGTCACTTTGTAAATCTGTAGATATTTTACTTAAAAATATTTACAGTTATATAATAGAACACTATAGGCTATATTTTTTAACATTTATTATGCCTTGCTGTATTTTTACCTCTTCTATTCCCCTTTATTTCCCACATCAGCCCCTTCCAACCTTTCAAAATATCCTCCATGCTCAAAGATTCATGTAAAACACCCATACACATAAAGGTGAAATATTTGGAGTCATTTTAAAAGAGAAGGAACCATGCCATGGGCTTTTCTCTGCAACTTGCTTTTCTTGTAGTTTATTATGAAAATCCCTTCAAGTCAATTAATGTATTGTTGACTCATTCTTTATAATCTGTGATAATATTCCATAGCATGAATGTAACACAATTTTATCAACCATTCTTAAGTTAGTGGCCATTAAAATCATTATTATACTTAGCCACCACAAACCATGTTGTAATAAATATTCTCATCATAGTCTGATAAACTGGTGCTGATATTCCTTAGAATAGGTGTGAAATTGCTGAGCCAAAGGGTAGGCATGCTTTGAATTTAACAGATACCACCAAAGTATATTCTAAAATATGAATAGTAATACATATTCATACATAGCAGTGACTTTTTCTTGACACACTTACCAGGTATAGCTGTTTTCATTACTTTAATTTTTTAATTAACACAATATTTAAAAAGTAGGATATTATTATTTTAATTCTTAGTTCTTTGTACTATCGATGAATGAATGTTGATTCATCATTCTATTTGCCACATAACTTTTCTCTTCTGTGACTTGTCCATTCATTTCCTTCATCCATTTTCCAACTTGGTTGTTTTACTTTTGTTATTATTTATAGGAGGATTTTTTGCCCAATTTTATTGCAAATCACAACACAAAGTAATGAAGTTGAAAATTTGTCAAATAAAGATGAACTCTCAAAAATATCTCAGCAAGTCTACAGAGTCTATGACTCCAATCTTTTCTTTGTTAAAACAGCAGGAATGAAAATATTAGTGAATTATTATTCTCAAACAGAGGTTAGCTTATTGACATAAAATTTCTAGATATCTGTAAAATTATTCTAAATTTCTCTTAAATTCCTTATATTTTGTTTAATGCAGTAGTGTCCTACTCCATGACACATTTAATTACAAACTTTACCCCTATAGAGGCTATTTATTGGGTACAGTGAGCCTATAAGACCAATGTTGCAAAATGGCTCCTCCATAGGCCAAGCCACTCCTCTCCTTTAATGACCTATGAATCATCATTTTTTCTAGTGATTTGGAGGATGATACTGGCTTCATGCTTCTTTTGCTTATGAGAGAATATTCTTCTGCCTCTAATCTGTTTTTTTATTTTCTTCTTTAGCACACTTCCAGTTCTGTAGTGAACATATGTAGGCAGATCTAAAGCCAATGGATACCAGAAATGGGCACGAGGAGGCTGTGCATGAATTTTCATGAGGAACATTGAGAGACTCCTCAGCTATAGACCAGTCTCCAGAGTCTAATTTCAATCACCCTTCAGAGTCTGGGCTCTAAGAATATTCAGCAATTTTTTTTTCATATACTTTCCTACTTCTAACCTTTGCTTAGTTAATTTCTTCCACCTAGAATATTCTTTCTTCACATTTCCACGTGCCTCAATTTTACAAATTTTATAAGGCCAATGTGGTAGATTATTTCCAAAGATAGCCACCAACAATTCTTCCCACAACTATATACACATGCTATTTTCCCTCCTTTTGAATATAATCCACTCTTGTGATTTGCTTTAGCCAATAGAATGTGGCAGGCGTGACACTTTGCCAGGTATAGGTCTAGATTTTACTGAGCCCGCTGCTTCTACTTTCACCTTCTTTGAAACCAGCAACCATGTAAAGAAGTCTGATCTTCCTCCTAGAAACAGAGGCTCTGGAGGATGAGAGACCATGAAGGGCAACAGAGAAAGACCCGGCCAACCCAGGTAAGATGCCAGACATGTGAGTAAAAAAATCTTGGATCCTCCAGTTTTAGTCAAACAATCCTAGTAAGCACGACTTGAAGCAGAGACAAGCTACCCATATTTAGCCTTACTGAAATTGCAGAATTGTGAGCAAATTAATGGTGATTGTTGTTAGCTCTTAAGTTTTAGGCATGATATTCTTATATGGACGTGATCTGAACTCTACCCCTCTGTGAAATCCTATGGCATTTTATTTCTCACTTTTTTGTGGTATATCACTTCCTACACTGTGTAGAATAAAATATCTCTCAGACTAAATTATGTGTAAAATTCTTGAGAGAAATGTATTATGTCATATTTATCTTGTATTTCCAAGCTAAGGCAATATTTTCTTGTATGGGACTCAACATTTATACATGAGTGATTGTGTGTGTGTTTTCATATATGCTATTCACACATATGAACTCTACACAATAAAATTAGGGATGATTTCCTCCTCACCCAAAGCAATCACTGTTTTCTTTAGAAACTAAGGATAATACTGTATCAGCTAGATCAGCCCAAGGTTGATACTGAGGTATTCTTAACAGTATTGGTGTTTTCTTCAAAACAGCTTGAAATATTGAGATAAAGTTAACCATTAGAATGCATTTGTTTTGGGTTTACCTTCCTGCAGATATATTTTAAAGTCGAGTCACCATCCTAAGGTCCATTTTCCAGTTTTTTGCATATGCCTTATCATTTTTCTGTGGATTTTTGAAGTGTTTTATGGTGACATAGATACTTTCCACCCCAAAATATGCATTGACAACACTGATTACATTGGCTCTTATTGGCTCTCAGGAAAGGTTTAGTATATCCGACAGCATGTCATTGGCTTTATGGCATAGATAGAGACTTTACGGTAGTGAGGAAACAAGCAAAATATGGAGCGAACATCAGCAACACGGACACATCCAGCACAAAGTCCCAAATGTAGTGTCTGGGCACCTGTCAGTAATAATGAGTCAAAGAAAAAAGAGCAGGGGCGTAACTTGGGCGATGTGATCAGAGGAGAAATACCCAGAGCCACATAGAATATGGCATTAATTGGGTATGTCAGTTACAAGTGAGGGGAGAGAAGTGGAAAGCAGATGCAAAGAGTTCACAGGATCCTTTAAGTGAGGGCAGGTCAACTCTGCCTACGTGGGTCCCAGACCCGTATTTTTCATAAATGCCAAGGTTTCTAGGTGATGGGATAATTGACAGGCTGCTGTCCTCTTTGGAAAAGGAGTAGGAAGTCAAAAATTCAGCAAGCTAGATTTTTAGGAGTACCTCCAAAATAGCAAGTTTTGGCTTCAAACTACAGGATCCCTCAGCCTTTCTGGCATAGAAGAGGGGAGCAATGTTCTTGAGTATCACATATGTAATGATAGCTACCACTTATTGCTGACTACTATATCAATCCAATAAGCTAGATC